>NC_000011.10:60585680-60888710 GCF_000001405.40 Homo sapiens | reverse complement strand
ACTTCATACCGCTCTTCCTTTGCAGAACGGAGCAGAAGGTGGGAGCATAGTCCTGGCACTGGACTCTCTGGCTTTGAATCCCAGTTCTGGCACTTAGTTGCTGCAAGACCTTGGACAGATTATTTAACTTTTTTCTGTTTGAGTTTCTTCATCCAAAAGATGGGGATAGTGTACTTACTAGAGATATAGTAAGGATTAAGTGAATGTGACAAGTGCTTAGAATAGGAATTGCACATCATAAATGCTGCTACTATTAACTATTACCACTCTCCTGCTCCCTCTCCCTGGAGTCTGCCCTCCCCAGAGATAGACCAAGTCCTTCAGGAAGCCTCTGGAGCCCATTGCTGCCCTGCCAGGTGAGTGAGCTTTCTTGGAGCCCATGGTTCATGCCTTTAGCATAGCTCTGTGTTACCTTGAAGGTGTTTGCGCATTTGTCTTTCCCACTTAGAATCTTAAGAGCAGAACCAGGTATCCGTTGCTATCATTCATCTCTTCAGCTCATGTCACACTGCTGCCAAGTGGCAGATTGAGAGATTCAACCTTGGGGCTCAGTCCAATGCCCAGGCAACGTCTGTCTCTTTCTTTGATAAGTAAACACAGAGGGCTTGACAGAATGTTAGTTATATCAGCCAAAATGAATGAAGAGCTATCACCTCCTGCCACAGCTCACCAGATGTTGGCCCAGCTGCCTTGTAGGTGAACCTTCTGGAAGTAGATCTTGGTTGGGGGTTGGTGGATTCTAAAGGACTCACCTCTGTTGTCTAGCTAGTGAGTTTTGTATTTAGGACCCAGCAGCAGTCAGTAGTCCCAGGTGTCCATAGGGAAATTGTTCGGTGATATTATCAGTGATTACTGCATCTTTTGTGCACTTGGGCCTTTGGTGATCAAACCCTGCTTAGCCTCCGCTATTGAAAGTGAGGAAGCATCTATATTGTTCCTGAGCTTGGAGCACTAACCAAGGAGGTCACCTGGGGGCAGTGTAGTCACAGCAGTCTCCCCAGTAACGTTGGTACTGTGATGGAGCTCCTCACAGTACCACAGAATGACCCTGCCAGACAGGTGGTGGTGTCCCCAGTCTATAGATGAGAAGACAAGCTCAGAGAAGTGCCTTGTTTAGGCCACCCAGTAAATAACGCAGCTAGGGTTTTTAAGCCGTGTGGCTTCAGAGACCAAGCTGATTAAGATAGGCATGGGCAGCTAATGACCCACTGCTCAGCTTTGCAGGAGGTAGTATCATAGTTAAATGCAGGCTCTGGAGCCAGCAGCCCAGGTTTGAATCCCAGCTCTGCACCTTTCTGTGATGTGCATCTTTATGTCTCAGTTTCTTCATCTGAAAAGTCAGTTCCTGGTGCCTACTTCGTAGGGCTCTTGAGAATTTTTATTTTTAGTTTTATTTATTTATTTTTTTAAATAGCATTTCTAATAGAATCTAAACATTGATTGGTCTGACAGGTCTTCTGTGTGGCATTTTTTTGTGTGTTAAATTTCTTAGTGTTTTTTTAAATTATTATACTTTAACTTCTAGGGTACATGTGCACAACATGCAGGTTTGTTACATATGTATGCATGTGCCATGTTGGTGTGTTAACTCGTTAACTCGTCATTTACATTAGGTATATCTCCTCATGCTATGCCTCCCACCTCCGCCCACCCCAGGACAGGCCCTGGTGTGTGATGTTCCCCACCCTGTGTCTAAGTGTTCTCATTGTTCAATTCCTACCTGTGAGTGAGAACATGCGGTGTTTGGTTTTCTGTCCATGCGATAGTTTGCTCAGAATGATGGTTTCCAGCTTCATCCATGTCCCTATAAAGGACATGAACTCATTCTTTTTTATGGCTGTGTAGTATTCCATGGTGTATATGTGCCACATTTTCTTAATCCAGTCTATCACTGATGGACATTTGGGTTGGTTCCAAGTCTTTGCTATTGTGAATAGTGCCACAATAAACATATGTGTGCATGTGTCTTTATAGAAGCATGATTTATAATACTTTGGGTATATACCCAGTAATGGGATGGCTGGGTCAAATGGGATTTCTAGCTCTAGATCCTTGAGGAATCGCCACACTGTCTTCCACAATGGTTGAACTAGTTTACAGTCCCACCAACAGTGTAAAAGTGTTCCTATTTCTCCACATCCTCTCCAGCACCTGTTGTTTCCTGACTTCTTAATGATCGCCATTCTAACCGGTGTGAGATGGTATCTCACTGTGGTTTTGATTTTCATTTCTCCGATGGCCAGTGATGAGCATTTTTTCATGTCTGTTGGCTGCATAAATATCTTCTTTTGAGAAGTGTCTGTTCATATCCTTTGCCCACTTTCTGATGGGGTCGTTTGATTTTTTTCTTATAAATTTGTTTAAGTTCTTTGTAGATTCTGAATATTAGCCCTTTGTCAGATGGGTAGATTGTAAAAATTTTCTCCCATTTTGTAGGTTGCCTGTTCACTCTGATGGTAGTTTCTGTTGCTGTGCTGAAGCTCTTTAGTTTATTTAGATCCCATTTGTCAATTTTGGCTTTTGTTGCCATTGCTTTTGGTGTTTTAGTCATGAAGTCCTTGCCCATGCCTAGGTCCTGAATGGTATTGCCTAGGTTTTCTTCTAGGGTTTTTATGGTTTTAGGTCTAACATTTAAGTCTTTAATCCATCTTGAATTAATTTTTGTGTAAGGTTTAAGGAAGGGATCCAGTTTCAGCTTTCTACATATGGCTAGCTAGTTTTCCCAGCACCATTTATTAAATAGGGAATCCTTTCCCCATTTCTTGTTTTTATCAGGTTTGTCAAAGATCAGATGGTTGTAGATGTGTGGTATTATTTCTGAGGGCTCTGTTCTGTTCCATTGGTCCATATCTCTGTTTTGGTACCAGTACCATGCTGTTTTGGTTACTGTAGCCTTGTAGTGTAGTTTGAAGTCAGGTAGCATGATGCCTCCAGCTTTGTTCTTTTGGCTTAGGATTGTCTTGGCAACGTGGGCTCTTTTTTGGTTCCATATGAACTTTAAAGTAGTTTTTTCCAATTCTGTGAAGAAAGTCATTGGTAGCTTGATGGGGATTGCATTGAATCTATAAATTACCTTGGGCAGTATGGCCATTTTCATGATATTGATTCTTCCTATCCATGAGCATAGAATGTTCTTCCATTTGTTTGTGTCCTCTTTTATTTTGTTGAGCAGTGGTTTGTAGTTCTTGAAGAGGTCCTTCACATCCCTTGTAAGTTGGATTCCTAGGTATTCTATTCCCTTTGAAGCAATTCTGAATGGGAGTTCACTCATGATTTGGCCTGTTATTGGTATATAGGAATGCTTGTGATTTTTGCACATTGATTTTGTATCCTGAGACTTTGCTGAAGTTGCTTATCAGCTTAAGGAGATTTTGGGTGGAGACGATGGGGTTTTCTAAATATACAATCATGTCATCTGCAAACAGGGACAATTTGACTTCCTCTTTTCCTAATTGAATACGCTTTATTTCTTTCTCTTGCCTGATTGTCCTGGCCAGAACTTCCAACACTGTGTTGAATAGGAGTGGTAAGAGAGGGCATCCCTGTCTTGTGCCAGTTTTCAAAGGGAATGCTTCCAGTTTTTGCCCATTCGGTATGATATTGGCTGTGGGTTTGTCATAAATAACTCTGATTATTTTGAGATACATCCCATCAATACCTAGTCTAGGGCTGGGCGCGGTGGCTTACGCCTGTAATCCCAGCACTTTGGGAGGCTGAGGCAGGCGGATCACAAGGTTAGGACATCGAGACCATCCTGGCTAACACAGTGAAACCCCATCTCTACTAAAAATACAAAAAATTAGCCGGGCGTGGTGGCGGGCGCCTGTAGTCCCAGCTACTCAGGAGGCTGAGGCAGGAGAATGGTGTGAACCCGGGAGGCAGAGCTTGCAGTGAGCAGAAATCGTGCCACTGCACTCCAGCCTGGGCGACAGAGCAAGACTCCTTCTCAAAAAAACAAAATGAAACAAAACAAAAGAAATACCTAGTCTATTGAAAGTTTTTAGCATGAAGGGCTGTTGAATTTTGTCGAAGGCCTTTTCTGCATCTATTGAGATTATCATGTGGTTTTTGTCATTGGTTCTGTTTATGTGATGGATTATGTTTATTGATTTGCGTATGTTGAACCAGCCTTGCATCCCAGTGATGAAGCCAACTTGATTGTGGTGGATAAGCTTTTTGATGTGCTGCTGGATTCAGTTTGCCAGTATTTTATTGAGGATTTTTGCATCGATGTTCATTTGGGGATATTGGTCTAAAATTCTCCTTTTTTGTTGTATTTCTGCCAGGCTTTGGTATCAGGATGACGCTGGCCTCATAAAATGAGTTAGGGAGGAGTCCCTCTTTTTCTATTGATTGGAATAGTTTCAGAAGGAATGGTACCAGCTCCTCTTTGTACCTCTGGTAGAATTTGGCTGTGAATCCGTCTGGTCTGGACTTTTTCTGGATGGTAGGCTATTGTTGCCTCAATTTCAGAGCCTATTGTTGGTCTATTCAGGGATTCAACTTCTTCCTGGTTTAGTCTTGGGAGGGTGTATGTGTTGAGGAGTTTATCCATTTCTTCTAGATTTTCTAGTTTATTTGCATGGAGGTGTTTATAGTGTTCTCTGATGGTAGTTTGTATTTCTGTGGGATCGGTGTTGATATCCCATTTATCATTTTTTATTGCATCTATTTGATTCTTCTATCTTTTCTTCTTTATTAGTCTTGCTAGCAGTCTATCAATTTTGTTGATCTTTTCAAAAAATCAGCTCCTGGATTCATTGATTTTTTGAAGGGTTTTTCGTGTTTCTATCTCCTTCAGTTCTGCTCTGATCTTAGTTATTTCTTGCCTTCTGCTAGCTTTTGAATGTGTTTGCTCTTGCTTCTCTAGTTCTTTTAATTGTGATGTTAGGGTGTCAATTTTAGATCTTTCCTGCTTTCTCTTGTGGGCATTTAGTGCTATAAATTTCCTTCTATGTACTGCTTTAAATGTGTCCCAGAGATTCTGGTATGTTGTGTCTTTGTTCTCATTGGTTTCAAAGAACATCTTTCTTTCTGCCTTCATTTTGTTATGTACCCAGTAGTCATTCAGGAGCAGGTTGTTCAGTTTCCATGTAGCTGAGCGATTTTGAGTGAGTTTCTTAATCCTGAGTTCTAGTTTGATTGCACTGTGGTCTGAGAGACAGTTTGTTACAATTTCTGTTCTTTTACATTTGCTGAGGAGTGCTTTACTTCCAACTATGTGGTCAGTTTTGGAATAAGTGCGATGTGGTGCTGAGAAGAATGTGTGTTCTGTTGATTTGGGGTAGAGAGTTTGGTAGATGTCTATTAGGTCTGCTCGGTGCAGAGCTGAGTTCAAGTCCTGGATATCCTTGTTAACTTTCTGTCTCATTGATCTGTCTAATGTTGACAGTGGGGTGTTAAAGTCTCCCATTATTATTGTGTGGGAGTCTAAATCTCTTTGTAGGTCTTTAAGGGCTTGCTTTATGAATCTGGATGCTCCTGTATTGGGTGCATATATATTTAGGATAGTTAGCTCTTCTTGTTGAATTGATCCCTTTACCATTATGTAATGGCCTTCTTTGTCTCTTTTGATCTTTGTTGGTTTAAAGTCTGTTTTATCAGAAACTAGGATTGCAACTCCTGCTTTTTTTTTGCTTTCCATTTGCTTGGTAGATCTTCCTCCATCCCTTTATGTTGAGCCTATGTGTGTCTCTGCACGTGAGATGGGTTTCCTGAATACAGCACACTGATGGGTCTTGACTCTTTATCCAGTTTGCCAGTCTGTGTCTTTTAATGGGAGCATTTAGCCCATTTACATTTAAGGTTAATATTTTTATGTGTGAATTTGATCCTGTCATTATGATCTTAGCTGGTTATTTTGCTCGTTAGTTGATGCGGTTTCTTCCTAGCATCAATGGTCTTTACAATTTGACATGTTTTTGCAGTGGCTTGTACCGGTTGTTCCTTTCCATGTTTATTGCTTCCTTCAGGAGCTCTTGTAAGGCAGGCCTGGTGGTGACAAAATCTCTCAGCATTTGTTTGTCTGTAAAGGATTTTATTTCTCCTTCACTTATGAAGCTTAGTTTGGCTGGATATGAAATTCTGGGTTGTAAATTCTTTTCTTTAAGAATGTTGAATATTGGCCCCCACTCTCTTCTGGCTTGTAGAGTTTCTGCCGAGAGACCTGCTCTTAGTCTGATGGGCTTCCCTTTGTGGGTAACCCGACCTTTCTCTCTGGCTGCCCTTAATATTTTCTCCTTCATTTCAACTTTGGTGAATCTGACAATTATGTGTCTTGGAGTTGCTCTTCTTGAGGAGTATCTTTGTGGTGTTCTCTGTATTTCCTGAATTTGAATGTTGGCCTGCCTTGCTAGGCTGGGGAAGTTCTCCTGGATAATATCCTGAAGAGTGTTTTCCAACTTGGTTCCATTCTCCCTGTCATTTTCAGGTACACCAATCAGACGTAGATTTGGTCTTTTCATATAGTCCTATATTTCTTGGAGGCTTTGTTTGTTTCTTTTTACTCTTTTTTCTCTAAACTTCTCTTCTTGCTTCATTTCATTCATTTGATCTTCCATCACTGATACCCTTTCTTTCACTTGATCAAATCAGCTACTGAAGCTTGTGCATGCGTCATGTAGTTCTTGTGCCATGGTTTTTAGCTCCATCAGGTCATTTAAGGACTTCTCTACACTGTTTATTCTAGTTAGCCATTCGTCTAATCTTTTCTCAAGGTTTTAGCTTCTTTGCGATGGGCTCGAACATCCTCCTTTAGCTCGGAGAAGTTTGTTATTACCGATCGTCTGAAGCCGCCTTCTCTCAACTCGTCAAAGTCATTCTCTATCCAGCTTTGTTCCGTTGCTGGCGAGGAGCTGCGTTCCTTGGGAGGGGAAGAGGAGCTCTGATTTTTATAATTTTCAGCTTTTCTGCTCTGGTTTATCCCCATCTTTGTGGTTTTATCTACCTTTGGTCTTTGATGATGGGGACGTACAGATGGAGTTTTGGTGTGGATGTCCTTTCTGTTTGTTAGTTTTCCTTCTAACAGTCAGGACCCTCAGCTGCAGGTCTGTTGGAGTTTGCTGGAGGTCCACTCCAGACCCTGTTTGCCTGGGTATCACAGCAGAGGCTGCAGAACAGCAAATATTGCAGAATGGCAAATGTTGCTGCCTGATCCTTCCTCTGGAAGCTTCGTCTCAGAGGGGCACCCGGTCGTATGAGGTGTCAGTTGGCCCCTATTGGGAGGTGTCTCCCAGTTAGGCTACTCGGGGGTCAGGGACCCACTTGAGGAGGCAGTCTGTCCGTTCTCAGATCTCAAACTCCGTGCTGGGAGACCCACTACTCTCTTCAAAGCTGTCAGACAGGGACGTTTACGTCTGCAGAAGTTTCTGTTGCCTTTTGTTCCAGGGCTCTTGAGAATTAAGTGAACTGTTTCATGTAGAGATGAGGCACTCAGTAAATGTTGACTACCGTGCATCTTCCGTGCTCTGCCTGCACTGGCATTGTCCTTGAGATTTAACTGTATTGACACATGTCGCCAAGGTCATGGTGGTCCCTGACACTTGACACCTATCGAATAAAGGCATGGTCTGACTGCCTTCTCTGCTGCATTAGTAAACCTAAGGCTCTGTTGACACAAAGCGGCTGGAACATAATCCAGGCACGGAGACAAGAGTCAACAGAGCAATACAGACATGATGCTAGAGTTCTGATAGAGCTGCCAGCACAGAGGACAGGATGTGCAACTGTTTAGGATGTCAGGTGGACCTAGGGGAGGTGGCACAGCCGCGTTTTGAAGTGGAAGTTCCTTAGGTGGACATAGGACAGAGGAACAGAGTAGGGGTGTCTGGTGTGAGCAAAGGTACTGGCAGCCCCACTGCCTGGGGAAGGAGTGAGAAAGCAGGTTTGAGGGAACAGGCAGCTGGGGAGGGAGGAGCAGCACTGTGGTTGGAGACAGGCCCAGCAGATTGTAGTAAGGCAGGCCAGGAGGTTAAAAGTTTTCTGAAATATTCACCCAAAGTGTCTAAAAATGTACCTGTACAGTTTAAAGAATAGTAAACATCTTTGTGTCCACCAGCCAGCTGAAGAAAGCATTAGGGGCCATCAGTGTGTTCCTCAATGAATGCATCGCTCCCTGCCCCTGCAGAGAAAACCACTACCCTGAAATTGGTGCTGATCATTCGTTTGTTTTTCTATACAATTTTACTACTACATTGGGGTTTTGGGGACTGATTTTTGAGCTTTATATAAATGAAGTCATTCAATCTAGTTTCTTTGATTTCACCTTCTCAGCATCGTCCTTGAGATTTACCTGTATTTACACACATGGCCCTAGTTCATTCACTACTGGGAAAACAAAGGAAAATGGCCAAACAGAACTCACACCAGGTACTGTGACAGCATTTATTGAAGGTAGGAGCAGCAGCAGATGTGCCGGTCCTGTGTGGCCCATTCATTCTAGGACAGTGCACGCTGGGAGAGGGATCCTGGCCATTGGGCTATGGGGCTTTTAAGCTGCATGATTAGGAAGCACAGCTCCTCCTCCTGCTGTGATCAAGGCTCTAGGGTCTTAGTTTTGCTGTTGCAGTTATTTGATGTGGTCAGCCAGCAGCAGGATTTACTGCAGTGTGTTCGTGGCTGGAGAAGCATCAGCCCTTCCTCTGATGTGATTAAAGGGCTGGGGTCCAAACCTTGTAATTGATCAGTGTCTTAGGCACTTAGCAATGGCCAGATTCCATGGAACCTTGTAAGGGGCCAACTCCTTTCCTGGGAGGCCAGCCTGCCAGGGACAAACAGGTTAACTCTTACCTCTCATTCATCGTAGAATTTGATTGTAGGAATATACCGGAGTGTATTTATATGTTCTAGTGTTCATGATGGACATATGGGTTGTTTCTAGTTTTTTATTTTTATTTTGCTATTACAGTGTTTCTGTGAACATTCTGGTGCAAGGGTTTTTCTGGGATAGTTAGGAGAGGACTTATATATTAGGGAATGACAATTTTTCAACATAGGTATACCAGTTTATATTCTAATTAACATTGGTAGAATGTTCCTGTCCTCATACCCTCACCAATGCTTATTTTCTGGCTTTTTAATTTTTGCCACTCTGGTGGGTGTATAATATTATCTTCAAGTTTAATTTTTCACATTCATGATTACTGTTGAAGTTGAGCATCTTTTCAGCCACTTACAGACCATGTGAGTTTTTCCTCTTGTGAAATGCCTGTTAGTGTCGTTTGCCTATTTTTCTATTTGTGTTACCTTTTTCTTGATTTGTAGCAGTTTTAAACATATTTTTGGATAGTAATCCTTTGTCAAGAATGTATTGCAACTATCTTCTCACTTTGTGCCCTGACTTTTCACTGTGTGTTGTTATCTTGTGACTTATTGTGAGGTGTTCATCTTGTTTGCAACTTGATCTGTCATAATTCTCTGAGGCTTTGGCTGAAATCACCTTTCAGACAGGACCTGCATTTGCTTCTTCCTGAAGCCTGGGGATCACTTTAAATTAAATTTAGCCCTTGAGGTTTGTTCCTAGATTGAACCTGAGGGGTTCTTTCTCTTCTCTCCTTCAGTCTGAGGATTTGACTGCACACACCAGAGAAGAAGGAATTACACTTTTCATTCTCAAGGTGATTTTTTTTTTTTTCAATACATCCTGCCCCATGATAAAAATAGGCAGGATTCCTTGCTGCCCACTTTTGCCAGAGGCTTGTTTCTCCTTCACTCTTGCACTGAGGACTGGGACCTCTGAAGTTCCAGCTTTAGAGGAGGCCCTGCATCTGGACTTGTTGCCTTTGTAGGCTCCGGGCTTGATCTACAGTTCCCTGGACTCATCAAAGCAGAAGGCCAAGGTCTCCAGAGTCCTGTAGAACTTCCCAGAATAGAAGCTGATTTTACTTCCCAGAGTTTTTGCTTTTTATTTTTGGCCTATCTGCACGCCTCATTCCCCATGTTAATTCAACACTAGTCTAAGAATATTTTAAAATATTTATAATCTGGTATTTTAGTTGTTTACTTCAGGTTGATCCAAGTATCTAGTGTTCCTACTGCTGGAACAGAAGTGGCACTTTTCCATGAAATGTTCTCACATAAGTGTCCAGACAGGGAGTTGAATTCAGCTGAACTAACAGGCGGTGAAGTATTCTGTCCCCTTTATTAAAAACAAAGCACCATGAAGTTAATTTGCTCTCAATGTATAATGTAAGTATATGGAAGCTGGTGGGGGCCTGGGGAATGGAAAGACAGGGGATTCCCTTAGGTCTTATATAGATATAGCCACAGCCTCTGCCCCCATCCCCATCCCCACCTCCCCAAAAGGGCAGGAAGAGACAAAACCTGACGGGCCCTGAGCAGCTCTGCTTCCTGCCACAGGTCAGAGACAGTGGTTATTGTCCCCATCGGGTCTGATGAATTGTTCTCAAGGTCCAGCAGGGGCCTGCTCACATCAGGAGGCAGTAAGAAGGGAGGAAGAAAGCTTTAAATTGGGCAAAATTTAGACTAAATTTTGTTATCTAGGAAAGCCAAAGTTTAGATTGCTTCCCCCGAGAGAAAGCTAGCACTGCAGTGAACTTCATTGTTCATATAGTTTGTATATTTGTTTCAGTAAACAGACTCCTTTGACATGGAATTGTTGACAAAATCTATGCACAATTTATCAGTTGCCAAAATCATGTACCTATATACACTTGGAAGTAGGAGATACACAATTGCATTGTTACTGGAATATCACAATAAAGCAAATGGATACTTGGATGATTATATAGGATAGGGGAAAGTCTTTGCCATACTCAAAAATACAAATATGAGAGGGAAAAATTCATTGTTACATAATCCTTTCTAAGATAAAAGAACCCGGCAGAGAAAAGCCAATGGCCAATTAGATGGAAAATTTATAAAATGAGGATACTGGCCCCTTGATTTGTGAAAGCTCTTTACAGATGAGGAGAGAAATAGTGGAGAGTAGATAAAAGACATGAAGGGTAACTTATGCGATACCAATGGCTAGAAAGATGCTTGACTTCTAATCAAAAAGAGCCCCTTCAAAACGGCCAATGCCATTTGCCTTATGATGCTCAGATAGGCAAAGATTTAGAGTGTTACTGGCCTGTGGTGGCAAGCCTGCACAGTGGGATTGGGTGGGGAGACACTCAGACAGTCCCGAGTCCCACAGTCATAAGAGGTGTGGTCTTGACCCAGCAGTTCTAAGACTGTCTTTCAAGAAAATAGTATACAAAGAACTATATGCTTAAGTAATTGTGTTCAACACTCGTCATCCTTAACCCACTTGGTCTCTATCAACAGATCAAATATCATAGTTCAACCGCAGTTTAGAGACTACCTCTATTTGAAATGATAGGAAATGACACAAGACATCCACCCTTGTGTTAAAGCAAATTCAGTTACACAGCATTATTCCAATTGGTACCTCTGGAAGTTTGAAATCCTTACATGAGCTTGTATGATGGAGGGAGGGGAAGGAGGAGGAGTTAATGCTGGAAGGAACCAGAACCCAGGCCCCTAAGACCAAGTCAACCTGGCTTCTCCAACCAGCCAAGCTAAGAATCCTCACCTATATCACACTGACCCTGCAGGATATATCCTGTGTCTCCCTGTACAAGCCAGGAAGTTGGGCAGGGCAAGACTGGCCGTTGCTAGCCATAGATGGGAAGACAGGCCCAGAGAAGGGAAGTCACTTAGCTTCCATGGCAAATGTTTGGGCCTTCCTGCCTTTTATGTTCTCCCTCTAGCTAGAAGAGTCAAAAGACAGCAGTTTCCCCTAGCCCCTCTTCGTATTGGCCTGTAAACTTGTACATACAAAACCAAACCAAAACATTGACAACAAAAACTAAGTAAGCATTAGGCTTGGGGCAAGAGGAAATGCAATTCTAGTCAGTAGTTAATAGCACCCAGTTACTGTTGGCCGTTATGTACTATTCTAAGCATTCTTATCTGTTAACTCATTTTACCCAATACTTCTATGGGAATAGACATTAACCTCATTTTACAGATGAGAAATCTGAGGCCCAGGGAAGTTGAGTAACTTACTGAATATCACACAGCTAGTAAGAAGCCAGCTCTGGGGTCCACATGCTTGTCCAGTATTCTGAAGACAGGAAAGGCTGAGTAGGCCAGAGCTGGATGAGTAGGGGGTACATGCAGTATTAAGGCCACAGGCATGACTTGAGTACCTCAGCTCCTCTTGTAACAGCTCTCTAAGCTCGTGCTCTACCTGAAGTCCGGAAAGGTGTCTGAAACCAAGTTCAGGCTTCCCTACCAGATTCTTCTCCCTGTCCCATTGAGGCCAAACCCTAGCATCCTGTCCCCTTCTCCACCTAGAGGATTGACATGTCTAGAAAGGGCTTTGCTGCCAAGTCAGAGATGAAGGCCCATGCCATACATGGGCAAACTGGGCTCAGCGGCATAGCCAGCACTGGCACAGACCTGTCTGGTGGCCATGCCCACCATCGCAGCCAGTGTCAGGGCCAGCAGGCTGCCATTCCTCCTGTGCCAGCCCTTCCCACATGGATAGTCTTGGGAGGCCAGGGGAAGGGATGGGAGGCTGTGGTCAGAAATGCAGCCTTTAGCGGTAGGCTGGCAGGCTCAGGGGGTCTGTGAAGTGCTCCTTCAACTCAGTCTTAGAGTAACCCTTATCCATGACAGCAGCTGCTCAGGGTGCTTTGAGGATGCCCTTGTCAGAACTTCTGTGTCTGTGAGGAGGTGACAAGCCTTCACAAGCCATTCATTCCTGCCAGGGGCCCAGTTCCCAGCTGTTGGTGTTCTTTGACTGTCAATGTCTTAACCTCCAGTATCTTTGTCCTGTTTGCTCTGCCTGAAATGCCACCGTTCCTTGTGGAGAGGCAGAGGCTCCCGAGTTGAGCCTTGGGGGACATTGGCCTCTGTGCAGGGTGTGGCATATATGAAGTATTTGTAATCAACGTCACAGTTTTGGAAGGACAGAGCTGACTTGGAGGAAGTTTCTCACATAAGAAATAGTTCTGTTCTAGTCGTCACAAATAACTTCTCCACACCTGGTTTCAGTAGGTTTGAAATGATTGTTTATTGGGCCCATTCACTGTCTGTTGCTTTCCCAGAGCTTCTGGGCCCAGGTCTGGCTCAGGCCCACAAAGACACCAAACCCAAGGACCAGGGCAACAGCTGGCAGCAAAAGGACCGCCCAAAGGAGAGGTCTCAGGCTGGAGTTCCCATTGGAGTCTGTCAGAGAGACGGGATTGGCAGGGCTGGGTGAGGCCCCTCCAACCCTCCCCTCCACCCCAGAACTTTGTATCACACTGGGCAGAGCTGAAGCTGCCTTTCTGCAGATGAGGTGGACTGTGTCTGTCTTCACTTAGTTCCCCACTGACTGCAGTGACACCATCTCTTGCCCTCAGCTATGGCTGGAGCATCCCTGTTTTGTCAGCACAATCTTGGGGGCTGAGAGTGGGTAAGGCCTGAGGGGCCCACCCAGAAGCCCTCCTACCTGTGGGCCCAAGTGTGGGCTCCTGCCCATAAGAATCCTCAAAGCCCACTGGCCCCGGAGAGCTCACGATGTCCTGGGGCCTGGCAGTGTCATTACGGTGACCTGAGGATCGTCGCTGTCCTGCCCAGGGGAAGAATGAAATCTTGGGCTGGTCTCCTGCCCCTGTGGCCCAGAGGCCAGGCACAGGCCTGAAGATGTATAAAGGAACAAATACCACTCGCAACCCAGACTCACTTGTAGTGCCAGTGCTACATGCAGTGGAGCAAGTCTCCAGCCCTGAGGTGTGGCAGGCAGAGGTGCTGCAGAACAAGTAAACCTGGTGGAAGGAGAAGAACATCAAAGTGGCTGGCTCAGTGCCACCGGGCAGGAAGCACAAAGGGAAGGACATGGAATCCCCGAGCTGGGCCAAGTCTAGGCTGCTGCTAGCCAGGCAGGGAGAAATCTGAGCTGCTTGACCAAGATGATGACTGCTGCCCATGCTGAGGGAGTGCAGAGCTGAATGTGTTCCTTCCAGATTTGAAATCCACACCTTCCTTGCTCCCCAAGGTCCAAGTCTGCAGTGGAGTGCCCTGCAGGCGGGGACCACCGCACTTCGTAATGCCCCAGTCCTTGGCGGGCCTGCTTCACCAATGCTGCCTCTGGCTGCACAGCCCCTGGGAGGGCTGGCTCTCTCCCTTCCACCTGCCCTACTGAGGGAGACAGCAAATTCCAAGGAGGTGGGACTTGGCCAGGCAGCAGGATAATAGATGTTTGCCCTCCCTTTGTGACCCCTGGAGACCAGTGACTGGGGGCAGAGGGGAGGGCAGATTACCACCGCTTCCAGATACAGAAGGGCAGGGGCAGTGCCCTACGGGACCAGAAGCAGGAGGAGCTGACCCAACCCAGCACCCAGGAGGCCCCACTCATGGGCAGCACACAGCAGAGATGAGAACGAAGCCACACTAACCAGTGCTTCCAAGTGAAATCAGTCTACATCTGACATAATAACAGGCAGTGATTTAAGAATCTAGAGATTTGGGTATGTGATGTGAAAGATACGTTGTTCAATGGGACAAGTGCATCTGTCACCTCTGAGGCCATCTGTATATTACATAGGAGACCTAAATATACCCTGAGTTTATCTACCTTTACCTTCTGGAGAAGTTGCTGAGTTAAAGAAAATTCAAAGAATTACATGGAACACATTATCATTTCTGGAATCAGAAGTGAGGTGAGGCCACCCTAGAACACCATGACCAGAGTTCAGATTTAGGGCTGATTGCAGCACAGGCAGCATTTTCCTTCCTCCTGGTGGTGGTTATGGGTTACCTTCTTGCTGACCCGAAGCCCGCTGCTTTCCATGACACCTGGTAGACGCCAAGCCCCATCCCAGAACTTTGTCCATATAAGTTCACAGGGTGCCAGAGGGATTTGGCGACCAGCTCCTCCCACTTAACAGATGGGACCAGGCATGCGGCAGCCGGGGCTTCTTACCAGTCCTCTGAGGGCTCTCTGGGAGCCTGAGTCCAGGAGGGCGAAGGTAGCAACAGTGAATCGCTGGTAGTGCGACTGGAAAGGTGTGGCCCCGTCCAAGGCTACCATTTGGGTTCTGTAGCTGTCGCCCTTGAAAGGGCATCTGAGAAGAGAAGTCAGAGAGGCTGTTTACAGGAGGCAGAGCAGGTGGGGGGAGTGTGGGGGCACTCACCCGTCTGACAGGATGGGCCACTGGGGCTGCTGGAAGGGGTTGGCACTGGGAGCGCCCCAGCACTGGTGCAGCAGCAGGACCAGGTTGGGGTCTGTCCTCTGCAGAAGCCGGACCTCCACATGGACTGGTTCTCGGAGCAGCCTCACGATGGGATAGTCATCCTCCCCATAGTACGAGCTGAAGGTCTCGTCTGCAGGGAGAGTGACTCATGAGCCAGGGCGGGCTGTGCATCAGGGAAGTGGGGGCCAGAAGAGAGCAGGGATAGCATAGCATACCTTTGGCAATCCGCAGCTCAAGCCGCAGGGGGCCGGGCTGGGTCATAGGAGCAGGCGATGGGGGTGGGAAAATGGATGCCTGAATGGGCAGGAAGTCACTGGCGTTGAAGACACAGCGCACATGAAGCCTGAAGTCCACGTGCAAGAGGGTGGGGGAGAAGACACAGAATCAGAGCATCCTGTTTACGTAATAAACTAGGCACCAACTCCGTGGGTGCAACAAATAGGGTACTGTCCAGCAGGGCAGATGGATGCTACTTAAGCAATACTCAGCATTTCCAAGGCAGGCTCAGGAAGCTCACCCTGCCCATTCCTCTGCCCACCTGGTCTCCCTGGGATGGCTCAAGCCTGTTATGCCAGGCCCTGCACCTGGTGGGAGAATACAGCAGGATAGAGATGGGCCCTCGGGGGGCTGGCACCTTGTTGGGTCTGCCCTGGCTACCCACAGCTGCCTGCTGTGCCGTTCGAGGCCCCTGGAGCCTGACAGTTGAGGCTGGTGAATGAGCCTAGGTGCTCTGCCTCCCGACAGACCTGGATTTGAGTCTTCTTAGCATTTACAGGCTTTGGGACCACAAGCAAGTCTTCTAACCTAAGCCTCAGTGTCCTCATTTGTAAAATGGCTGTGACTGCCTCCCTTTGAGGGCACTGAGACTGAGTGAGATCACAAGATAATGCACCTGTGTCTTCATTGTCCTTGTAGTTGCAGCTGGTTTGCCACAGCCTAAAGGCCACAGTGTCTAGCATCTTCCTCACTAGCCTAAGGGCCATGGTGGCCACTCCTCCACACTCTGGTGGGGCCAACACCCTCCTAGCACCCCAGAGGCCTGGTACCAAGGAGATGCTGAGTAGGTATAGGAGGCTCACCCCTGTTCTGAAGGCCTTGTGTCTGAGGAGCTCTCTGGCCTAGTCCTGCTGGCTACAGCTGTTTCCCCCTGACTTCTGCCTCCCTCTGAGAATCCCTAGGCACTCTGTTGACCTCTGGCTGACTCCCAGAGCTCTTACATCAGAGAGTCTAAAGGCATGACACAGACTTGTCCTCCACCACTTGGCCATAAGAACATATGGGTTTTTTTAAATTAAAATAAAAAATAGAAATGGGGTCTCGCTGTGTTGCCCAGGCTAGTCTTGAACTTCCAGCAATTCTCCCACCTAGGCCTCCCAAAGCGCTGGTATCATAGGCGTGAGCTACCACCTCTGTGCTACTTAGAGCTTTAAAGCCAAATACATTTGAACTGTGACACAGTCCCCTGCTCCCCAACCCTCACGGCAGGGCGGGAAGGGGAAGGAGATGCCCAGCAACCATGCAGTGTCAAGCACAAGATTTCTACAACCCATTGGCTCCGTCCCACAGGGTGAAGGTTAGGTGCTTTGCCCCTGGTCACACAGGTTCAGAGCCAGGCATGACAGACAGATTCCCTCGGGTCACCCCCACTGGCATCCTGGGCACCTGGGTTGGTTTTGCCTCTTGAGTCAGCAGGTCCAGGAGGCCCCTAACAATGAGGGGTTCCTCCCCCACCCAGTTCCTCTCCCACCACATCCTCAGAGAGGTATCTTCAGCTTCATCTGTGGCTTCTTAACCTGACATTAGGAGGGGCAACAGCCGTAGCCTCAGCCTCCTCCTGGGACCTGGAAGGGGACACTTTCAGTTGCTTTGAGCTTGGTTCTTGGAGAGACCAAGACAGGGCTCTCTCAGGACTCCAGCTCTCTCAGGACTGGCCCTGGGCTTCTAGCCAAGCCCTGCAGGCCAGGCATGGAAGGGCTCCACTTAACACTCATGTCTGCCCTGAGAGAGGGACATTTCCCCTGCCCAGCAGGGGAGGCTGGGAAGAGGTGGGCCCCTTGCCTAAGATCACATAGCCGGGTAACAGCAGAGCCTGGGTTTGAGCTGAGATGGCTCCGAAGCCTGTACTGAGCTCGCCTGTGCCCCTGACACCCTAGCACACAGCCACGCCTGTAGGAGGAGGGCTGCCCTTACTGGAAGGTGCTGTCCCGCGTGATGGAACCCTGTGGCCCCTTTTGGATGTGGATGCCAGACACCAGCCAGTTCTCATAGATGAGCTGGTCGCCAGCCACCTGTAGGAAGAGACAGCTGGGTGAGGCTTTCTGGTGGGGGACCAGGCCCCAGCCTGTGGTCCCGGCTCCTACCTGCATTGTGGTTCCACAGTGGGTGAGAGGGAAGTAGAAGACCACGAAAGCTTCCGTGTGCTGTGTTGGGGAGCAGCTGGTGGGGGCATAGGCCAGGTGGATGTTGGCCAGTGTGATCCTGTGTGTCAAGGCCATTTCTTGGGACACCACGAGGACGAAGTAGCCATCTCTGAAGCACTGGACAGTAGCTGGGACAAAGGCAGATGAGGGCCTTGGGGTTTGGTGTCCATCCAGCACAGAGACGGGATGGCTGGGTGACAGCCAGGCTTTAAGTGCCGGTCTAGGAGAATGGACGCTTACTCTCCACTTAGGCTGGTGTTGGCCCCAGCAAACCCTTTATGGACTGATTTTCTCATCCATGTGACAAATGAGTTGAACTACACTCTAAAAGTAGGTTCACCATATAATCTGTCATCCAAACCAGGGCGTTTCAGATCTGAAAGTCCAGATGTGTGTAAGGTAGATCTATTAATAGTTCCCTGGGACAGTTGTTATAAGGCCAGCTGGGACATGTGACCGCCCCATCTAAAGGTCTCCTCTGCCATCTGCTCTGGGAGTTGGGCTCTCCAGGAGGAGGATAGGAAGCAGTTTCCACCAGCTGGAGGAGACAGCTCTCCTTCCGCTTCAGAATCCAAGGGACCAGGATCTTGCTGGGGTGGGAGGTTGTACCTGTGTTGCCATAGTAACAGGGAACCTCTCTGGTGTTGTCATAGCAGCAGCCAGCCTGCTGACAGGCTTCTTTTGAAGTTCTTCTCACGATGCAGGGGAGGTGCCCTGAGGCCACCTGGCACTGCTCCTGGCTCAGGTGGGTACCTAGGGTTGGGACAGAGTGATGAGGCTGAAGGCACACAGTTTGCAAATCATGGCCCTGGAATTGAATCTTGGGAACCTGCTCCAGAGCTTGTGCTCTTAGCCAGCACAGTAAATGTCCTCCCTCAAAACTGAATATTACTGAAATTTCTAGAGAATATTTTCTGAGAATCAGGTGTTGCTGGCAATGGTTTCAATGAGTTTCTGCCTAAAGTTAGGAAACAAATTTACAAGACCTCTTCTAGCTTTAGTACACCTATACATGTTTAAAGCTGTTTTCCAAATACTACAAAGGAATAAAAGAATCATCTTTTTCTAAAAAAAGAAAAAAACAAAAAAAGAAATGGCTTAGAGCCCAGTAAAAGGCTGTTAGGCCACCCTGTACTCCAGAAGTCCCCAGACAGAGGGTAAGTACACTCAGATGTCCTGCGTACCTATGTAATCTCGTTTGTTCACATCCCAGTGTTCCAAGGTGCCCCAGTGGGGTTGAGCCAGGGTGGCGAGGGTAGGTCCAGGTCCAGGGGATGGTAAAGCAGGGGTTGGGTGGACAGAGCTGTGCCCTGGGTCCAGTGGGCTGGGAAAGGCATGGCCAGAGCCTTGGGAGGTATGGCCAGAGGTGGGGAGGAAGGAAAGGGTTTGTGGGGTTGAGACAGAGAACATGGCGGGTGGTGCCAGCTGGGAGTCCAGAGTCCGGGAGGGGTCAGGTTTGGGACAGATCAGAGTAGCGTCTTGTGCCACATCCACACGACCATTGGGCAGCACAGCCTCCATGAACACCCTCAGGTGGAAACGCCCATCCTGCAGGTGAGAGGCCATCATAGAGCAGCAAGGTGAGGCCACCTAGCATACCCAGGCAGGGGACGGGCCCACGAGAGCTGAGCTGGCCATTAGGCAGGGAGCTGGATTCATGGTGGATTCCAGAAAGTACCTTCCAGAGCTTAGTTTCCCTCACCCACCAGCTCAACAGATCTTCGGCTTTGGCTCCTTTCTGGTTCATGAGGGGCCTCTTCAGCCTGACATGACACTAGGACAAGCTTGCCCCTGTGCCAGAGCATGAACAACCCCTACCTTCTCCAGCACGTGGCAGCCTCTGTAATCGGCCGAGAAGACTGCAGGCTCCTGCGGCCTGGAGGTGACCCAGTGGTAGCAGATGGAGCAGTTGTTGACATCAAATCGGTTCCCAAATTCATCTGCAGTGGGGGAAGGGGAGGGGCCAGGGATGTTGAAGGGTGCAGGGAGAGGTTGCTGGGGTCTCGGAAGGAGTTCCCACTCAGCAGCCAGGAGACCTGGGTTCTTGCCTTAGCTTTGCTATTAGTTTGTTGTGTGGTCTTGGGCAAGCCCCCTCCCCTCTCTGCTCTCAGTTTCCACAGCTGTAAGGGGATGGGAGGGTCTTAGGATCTTTCTAGCTAGGGTTCCCTGCTCACAGCACACGGCAGCAGGCAGGCACGAAGATGAGGTGGAGAAGGGATACACAGGGTCTCAGGCACTGGCCTGAGTATTTCACATCACTTCTTTTAAGCTTAGTTATCCACATCCTGTGGCTGAGGCAGCTGAGGAAGGGAGGGTGCGTGAGCTTTCTTAGGTGCACACAATGAGGGGCAGAATGAGGATTTGAATCCTGGGCTTTGTAGAAAGATCTGAACCCATTTCCCAGGTTAACTGTGGCTGCTGCAGTTGCTTGGAGACACCCCCTAGGTGTCCACCCTGCTTGTTGCCCCAGAACAGCCTGGGCATTCCCTGGGTGTGGGCATGTCCCCATGCCCTTGTTCCATGAGCACGGCCAGGTTCATCTTCCCCACCTTGCAGATGAGGAAACAGAGGCTTATGAGTCAGGTCAGTTGTCCAAAATCATCCCGTTTAGAAGCTGCAGATCCAAACCCCAGTTCTAAACCCACACCAGGCCACGCCTACTAGGTCCTGCTGCTGGAAGTGGTTTATGGACCCTCAGCCTCAGTTTTGACTGAGCGTGGTTAGAGATGCAGAGCCTAGGCTGGGTGCAGTGGCTCACGCCTATAACCCCAGCACTTTGGGAGGCTGAGGCAGGTGGATCACCTGAGGTCAGGAGTTCGAGACCAGCCTGACCAATATCGTGAAACTCCATCTCTACTAAAAATACAAAAAGTAGCTGGGCGTGGTGGCACACACCTGTAGTCCCAGCTACTAAGAGGCTGAGGCAGGAGAATTGCTTGAACCTGGGTGGTGGAGGTTGCAGTGAGCTGAGATCGTGCCAACTGCACTCAAGCCTGGAGAACAGATTGAAAGAAGTGAGACTGTCTCAGAAAAAAAAAAAAAAAAGAAAAGAAATGCAGAGGCTTGGCCCTGCCCCAGGTCCACTGAATCAGAACCTGCACCTCAACAAGGTGGCCAGGTGTTTCCCATGCACACTAACGTGGGAGAAGCTGCCCTGGGTGATGATTCTCCTCCTTGCCCTTTTCTGTGGTGAGGGGGTGGGGGGCTGGACACCCCCAGGCTGGAGGGAGGCCTCTGTTCTTGCTCCTTCAGGGGAAGGGTCCCAGCTCCCTTCTGGCAGCAGCCCGTGGCCAGGGAGGCAGGGGCCAGGACTCTGCCAGCACTCACCCACCACCTTGAAGCGGAGAGTCTGGCCTGGCCTGGGGAACACCAGCAGCTGCATTCCCTTGATCCCACAGTCGTAGCTGTGCCGGAGGCCTGGGAGGCCAGGGTCGGGCTGGAGCCACCTACCCAGCCCCAGGGTGGCAACCAGCAGTAGCAGGGCCACAGGGTAACCCCAGGTCGTGGCTGAGCCTCCTGCCATGAGACGCCACAGACACACCCCCTACTCCCTCGCCACCAGAGCTGGGCCCAGGCCTTTTATGGAGGAGGTGGCAAGTGGGTGCCTGTAAGGGCAAAGGGGGCCCACCTGGAGGAGCACCCACCTGGCCACCAGGGGCTGTGGTGAAACTCCTGTTCCAAAGGCAGCGGGAGGCAGAAAGCTGCACGTGGCCCCTCACCCTGGCTTTCTGTCTCACAGCTGTGGCTTTGGAAGGGAGGAGGGAGCTTTCCAGAAAACTGAGGTTGCAGATGGGCTGTGGGAAGGGATCCAGGGCTAGGAGGTGGCACTGCAGACCTCAGGCCCTCCACTGTCTCCCTCTCACCCCAGCCTTTCTGCATTCCCTTCCTGCCCCAACAGGCTCTCCAGGTCCTCCTTCCTGCCTTGAGGCCTCAGGACCACTGGGAGCTGCCGGCCTGGTTAGTACAGTCACAGCTCCTCAGGCAGGGCTTTAGGGGCATTAGAGCAAGACCAGGAAGACACAGCCCTCAGAGCTGGCAGCGGAATGGGGACTGCAGGTGAGTAAACAGACCAGTAGCACCTCCAAGGGCTCTCCTGAGGATTCAGCCGGTCAGTATGATGATGACTATGACTAATAAAAAATAACAAGGACAACTAAATGTAATGTGGCATCTGGATGGGATCGTGGAACAGAAAAAGGCAGTAAAAGTGAAGAAAGTGGATTTTAGTTAATAATAATGTGTCCACATTTGTTTGTTCATTAATTGTAATAAATGTATCATACTCAAGTAAGATCAGTTATGGGGTAAACTGGGCCTGCGGTGTATGGGAACTGTCTGTACTATCTTCTCAGTTCTGTAAATCTAGAACAGTTCTAAGACATAAAAGTGGCTGGAAACAACAAGAATGGCCTGTGGTCTGCCATGATTACAGTGCCAGGTCTTGCTTGTGTTAGATCCTTATACCGCCTGACCATCCTCTGAGGAAGGGACTGTCACCAGCCCCACGTCCTGGCACTAATTCCTGCAAGTGATTAGCCTAGGGCCCAGCAGCGTTTGAGCTCAGCAAACATTAGAAAATGCAGCTATTATAATTAGCAGCTGCTGGAAGGGGAGAGCAAGAGGCTTGATAGCTAAGAGCCCGGTTCTGGTGAGGTTGCAGAGAAAAAGGAATGCTTATACGCTCTTGGTGGGGGTGTAAATTGGTTTGACCACTGTGGGAGTGTGGTGATTCCTCAAAGAGCTGAAAACAGAACTATCATTTGATGCAGAAATCGCATTACTGGGTATATATCCAAAGGAATATAAATTGTTCTATCATAAAGACACTGAACCTGCGTGCATATGTTCAGTGCAGCATGATTCACAATAGCCAAGACATGGAATCAAATGCCCATCAATGGTAGACTCAATAAAGAAAATCTGGTACATGCTGAGCACGGTGGCTCACGCCTGTAATCCCAGCACTTTGGGAGGCCGAGGCGGGCGGATCACGAGGTCAGGAGATCGAGACCATCCTGGCTAACATGGTGAAACCCTGTCTCTACTAAAAATACAAAAATTAGCTGGGTGTGGTGGCACGCACCTGTAGTCCCAGCTACTCAGGAGGCTGAGGCAGGAGAATCGCTTGAACCCAGGAGACGGAGGTTGCAGTGAGCCGAGATTGTGCTGTTGCACTCCAGCCTGGCCGACAGAGTGAGACTCTGTCTCAAAAAAAAAAAAAAAAAAAGAAAAAGAAAAAAAAAAAAGGAAAATGTGGTACACATACACCATGGAATACTATGCAGCCATAAAAAAGAATGAGATCACATCTCTTGCAAGAACATGGATGGAGCTGGAGGATATTATCCTTAGCAAACAAATGCAGGAACAGAAACCAATACCACATGTTCTCACTTATAACTGAAGGCTAAATGATGACAACATATGGACACATAGAGGGGAATGGCACACACTGGGGCCTATTGAAGGGTAGAGGGTAAGAGGAAGGAGAAGGGTGGAAATAATAACTATTGGGTGCTAGGCTTAGTATCTGGGTGATGAAATAATCTGTACAACAATCCCTCTGGACATGCATTTACCTATATAACAAACCTGCATAAGTAACCCTGAACCTAAAATAAAAGTTTAAACAAAAAAAGTTGGTTCTAATGGTGCCCCAACCACTTTCTTAGCTGTGACTCAGATGCATTATCTATTCTGAGCCTCAGGTTTCCTGTTTGTAAACTGGGGGTGATAATGCTTTCCTTGCCCACATGGTGGATAGGAAGACACAAAGAGACAAGTCATGGGTACCAGGTGCAGTAATGATTTAATGCTTGGCAATAATTCACTTCTACTGTGATTAAAGCTCAGCTGGGAAAGCTTGGTGGGGCGGGGTGGGAGTCCCTCTGGGGGCACAGTGGGAAGAGGCACCCAACACAGCATCGAGGATGGGCGACATGGAAGTGTTTTTGGAGGAAAGGGGTCCTGAGCAGAGGTGGGAGGAGGCGGGGAGGACAGGGATGGTGCAATGGGGATCTGGGGAGAGCAGAGCTGGAGGAGGAGGGAGGAAGCAGGTCACACAAAGGTCCAGGACAAGGACTCCAGGCAGGCTGAGGGTGCTGGCGAGGGAAGGACTAGGAGGGGAAGGAGAGGAGCCAGGCAGGAGCGGGGAGTGGGGTGGATTTTCCCTGAGGGACGATGTGGAAGTTTTAAACTTTTAATTTTGAAATTATTTCAGATTTGCAGAATTTCCATATAGCCTCCTCCAGATTCCTCAGATGTTCACTGTTCACTTTTTACATTTGCTGTAGCTCCCGCTTTCTCTCTCTGCATGTGTGCAGACATACACGCACGCACACGCACACACGCACACATTCTTCCATATCATTCAAGAGTCAGTTGCAGAAATGACAGATTCCCCTTTACCTCTAATTGCTTCAGTATACATTTCCTAAAAAAACAAATCACCCCTACAGTCAAATGATCAAAATCAGGAAACCAACAATGGTATAAACACAACGATCTAATCTGCAGACATTATTGTAAGAAATAAAGAGGAAAGCAACATGAAAGGGCGGTTCAACAGGCAACAGGGACAGGTTTATGTTGAGTAAACCTGAGAGGGGCGGCTGGCCGAGTTAGGTCAGAGCCCCACTCTCTTACAGATTAAGAGTTAAGGATTCAGGGCGGGGGAGTTTATCAGAGGCTTGGACTGCTCCTGTGTCTCTTTGCTGTGCGTATCTGGGAGGGAGAGTTGTGTGTCTGTTCCCATATATCTTTCTGCAGCTACAGGCATATCCCCAGAGTCTGCTTTTAGCTTCCCTATCTTAGTGCCCCTGAAGGAAAAGGAATGTGCTTATTAAGGCCCACTGTTTTACTGGGGCTCATTGTGTGAGGGTGAAGTTTGGCAGTTACCAAAGAGACCTTCCCTCCACCCCGCTCTGTGCCGGAGCTGTCTTATCTGTATTTTACTGTCTGCTCTTTCTGGCTGTTGTAGTTAGAAGAGAAGTGATTTCCTTGAAATGCATGAGGCTAGAAAGGGAGCTGGAGCTTAAAGTGGCAGTATTTGTCCGAGATGACGGTGCTCCTGCTCTGACAATTACTCAACATCTGCCGACTGTCCTAACTGTGACTTTCATGGCAAAGGAGTACAGTGGTTTTGGGAGTCTGCAGGATCCAATCCAGGCTCAGAGTCTCGCTGGCGTGCCTCTTGGCCTCCTCTGATCTGGGACCGCCCTTCTATCTTCTTTTGTCTTTCATACCCTTGACATTTTTTAGTACAGCCGGATGATTTTGCAGAATGGCCCTCAGTTTGGGTTTGTCTGGTGTTTTCTCCTGGTTACATTAGATTTAGTTGATGCATCTTGGCCTTGTATTAGTCCGTTTGGCTGCTGTAACAAAATACAGACTGAGTGGCTTAAATAAGTCTTTTTCTCACAGCTCTGGAGCCTGGATGTGCTAGGTCAAAGTGGTGGCAGGTCTGGTTGCTCCTGAGGCCTCTCTCTTTGGCCTGCAGACAACCGTCTTCTCACTGAGTCCTCACGTGGTCTTTCCCCTGTGCTGGTGCGTCCTTGGTGTCTCTTTGAATGGTCAAATTCCCTCTTCTTCTGGCTGGCACGGTGGCTCACGCCTGTAATCCTAGCACTTTGGGAGGCCGAGGTGGGCAGATCACTTGAGGTCAGGAGTTTGAGACCAGCCTGGCCAACATGGTGAAACCCCATCTCTACTAAAAATACAAACTAATTAGTTGGGTGTGGTGGTGCACACCTGCAATCCCAGCTCCTCAGGAGGCTGAGGTGGGAGAATCACTTGAACCTGGGAGGTGGAGGTTGCAGGGAGCCAAGACGGCACCACTGCACTCCAGTCTGGAAGACAGAGTGAAACTCCATCCCAAAAAACAAAAACAAATTTCCTCTTCTTCTAAGGACACCAGTCAGATTGGATTAGGGCCACCTTAAGGGGCTCAATCTTAAATCACATCTTTAAAAGCTCTATCTCCAAATACAGTCACATTCTGAGGGATGGGGGTGGAGGGTTAGGGATTTCGCATATGAATTTTGGGGGGATACAATTCAGCTTGTACAGAAGTGATGTTGTGTCCTTCTCAGTATCTCGAGGCACACCCCGCTGGCTTGTCCTGTTATTGCTGATGTGACTTTGATCACTTGGATAAGGTGGTGTCTGCCAGGTTTCTCCACCATAAAGTAATGATGTTTCTCTTTGTAATTCATGAGTATCTTACAGGGAGATACTTTGAGACTATGTAATCAATCCTGCTCCTCTTCAAATGTTCACTGGCTAGTGTGGTTGCCAAGTGGGTGGTGGTTCTCTAACTCTACCCTTCCTTCTGCATTTATTTGCTATCATAAGAGAGAACTTTTCCTAACGGGGGCTTTTAGGGGCCAGAGAGAGAATCAGCTGGAGTCTTTGAGAGGCCTGGATTTTGCCTGGTGCTCACTGTTTATGAGCACAAGGGCCCTGGGAAGTCACTTACCGGCTTTTTTCCTCTATCTGGAGAGTAAGGATGAGAATGATTATGGTGGGGATGCAATTACATAAGACACGGAGAGGTGTTTCCCCACTGGTCATGGACCCATGGGGAAAGTACGTCTCCCAAGGTGCTGGAAATGGGCAGGGAAAGAGAAGGGGGGCTTCCTCAGGGCCAAGGGCAGAACACCTTTGGGAAAAGGGTACCAGAGTATCCAAGAGAGAGAGAGAGCGCGCACGAGCGCCCTGAGCCCTCGGTTACGACTCTACGTTCTTGCAAAGACTCATGGACACCAAGAATTATCAGCCTGGGAGGATCCCAGCTCCTCTGCTCACCCACTGGAGACCTTGGAAAAGTCCCTTCCCTGCTCTGTGACTTGCTTTCCTCATCTATAAAATGGGGTTATAATAGCACCTAAATTGTAGGGTTGCTCTGAGGATTAAATGAGATAATCCATGTGAAGCAGGCAGAACAGGGTCTGCACATGGTCATCATTTGAACACGATAGCCATTACAACCACGATTATTTTTATTGATAAAGAGAGAGGGTCAGATGGAGGTGACTTGACTTGGAATCTTGGCTTTATCCACTTGGCTTCTGGTTTTTGGGTTTTTTTTTAGAGATGGGGTCTTGCTATATTGCCCAGGCTGGTCTCAAACTCCTGGGCTCAAGCAATCTGCCCGCCTCTGTCTCCCAAAGTGCTGGGATTACAGGCATGAGCCTCCACACCTGGCCACTTGGCCTGTTTGTAAACCTGTTTGTTCATTTCTTTCTTTCTGTTTTTAACCTATGAATTTTTTTTTAATGGAACTTCAGTTTCTTTTCTTTCTTTTTTTTTTTTTGTTTTGTTTTGAGACAGAGTCTCACTCTGTCGCCCAGGCTGGAGTGCAGTGGCGCGATCTCGGCTCACTGCAAGCTCCGCCTCCCGGTTCACACCATTCTCCAGCCTTAGCCTCCCGAGTAGCTGGGACTGCAGGCGCTGGCCACCATGCCCGGCTAATTTTTTATATTTTTAGTAGAGACGGGGTTTCACCGTGTTAGCCAGGATGGTCTCGATCTCCTGACCTTGCGATCCGCCCGCCTCAGCCTCCCAAAGTGCTGGGATTACAGGCGTGAGCCACCGCACCCAGTTGGAACTTGAGTTTCTTAATCTATAAAATGGAACTAAGAATACAGTCCACCTAAGTGGGGCGCCGTGTAAGTATCAGTTGCTTGCCCTGTCTCCTCTGTGAATAGAGCCTAGGGAAGGCACTGGAGGAGGATGGAGCCTCTCTAGGCTGGAAAGACAAAATCCCCTTTCAGGGGATCCATGCATGCCAGGAAACCAGCAGGAAGCAGGCTGCCTCACTCCGGGGCCTGCAGAGTAACCCAAGAGCAGCGCCAGCTGTGTGTGTATGTATGGACCGTGCTCACCGCAGAGATGCTCCCAGAAGGCCAGTGGGAGCGCATTTAACTGAAGACAGGCAGCCCTGCTTCCCCTGAGGGAACAAAGAACCTCAGAGAATCTCATCAGCTGCGAAGAGCTGGGCTCTGCTGCTGGACCACATGGCTCTGAACTCCAGCTCCTCTGCTCCCCAGCTGAGCAGGCTTGGTAGGGTTGCTTAAGCTCTCTGAGCCTCAGTTTTCCCCTTGGTGAGTGACGATGATAGTGGTACCTAACTCAGAGGGGTGCGTGAATATTTGATGAGCTCATCCATGAGCAAGTTTCAGCCTTACGCTGGCACATAGTGAGTGCCCCATAAGTGTTAGCTATTACTGTTTTCATTTTTTTTTTTTTTTTTTTTTTGAGATGGCGTCTCGCTCTGTCACCCAGGCTGGAGTGGAGTGGCAGGATCTCGGCTCACCATAACCTCTGCCTCCTGGGTTCAAGCGATTCTCCTGCCTCAGCCTCCTGAATAGCTGGTATTACAGGCGTGCACCATCACACCTGGCTAATTTTTGTATTTTTAGTAGAGATGGGGTTTTGCCTGTTGGCCAGGCTGGTCTCGAACTCCTGACCTCAAGTGATCTGTCCGCCTCATCCTCCCGAAGTGCTGGGATTGCAGGCATGAGCCACCGTACCCAGAAGCTATTATTGCTTTCACTGTGTTGAATGGTGGCCCTCAAAAGACATGTCCACAACCTAACCCCTGGAACCTGTGAATGTGGCCTTATTTGGATAAGAGGACTTTGCAGATGTAATCAATTTAAGAATCTCAAGATGAGAGCACCCTGGATGATCCAGATGAGCCCTAAGTCCAGTGACCAGTACTCTGTGAGAGACACATGAAAAGAGGGAGGGGGAAGGCCAGGTAAAGAGGAGGTAGAGATTGCAGTGATGCAGCCCTAAGCCAAGGGACGCCTGGAGCCACCAGAAGCTGGAGGGGCCAAAAAGTCTCCTTTTCTAGAGCTTTCGGAGGAAGTGCTGGCATCTGATTACAGACTCTGGCTTCCAGACTGTAAGAGAATAAGTCTCTGTTGTTTAAAGCTGCCACGTTTGTGGTAGTTTGTTCTGACAGCCCGAGGAAACAAATACACCACTGTTGTTTCTGCGACGATTGCCTGGCACATGTGTGGGCCTGAGCCCAGGCCAGGGCTGCCTCTGCCTGCTCTGCCTTCTTGTCTTCCTTCCTACTATAAAGCGATCAGTCCCCAAGGTTGTACCCACTGCAGGTGAAGACAGAGCCATGGAGAATTGCACCAGACCATGGGTAAGAAAGGTTCCAGAATGGGGCCGGACACAGTGGCTCAGGCCTGTAATCCCAGGACTTTGGGAGGCTGAGGCAGGCAGATCACCTGATGTCAGGAGTTTGAGACCAGCCAGGCTAACATGGTGAAACCCCTTCTCTACTAAAAATACAAAAATTAGCCGGGTGCGGTGGCGCACGCCTGCAGTCCCAGCTACTTGGGAGGCTGAGGCAAGAGAGTCGCTTCAACCCGGGAGGCGGAGGTTGCAGTGAGCCAAGATAGGGCCACTGCACTCCAGCCTGTGCAACAGAGCGAGACTCAGTCTCAAAAAAAAAAAAAAAAAAAAAAAAGTAAAGGTCTCAGAATGGGTCACCACAAGGGACTGGGGTCCTTTGAGGTCTGCACAGGGAAGCCAATTTTAGAGATTCATTCTGTTCAGCAAATATATGTTGGGACCCCTCTCATGTGTCAGGCCCTCTGCTTGCCTTTGGAGGTGAGAAGATAAAACAGGAATAAGTCTCTGTCTTCAGGTGGCTCATGAGGGTGGTGAACAGTTGTGTGAACAAGAGTTACCAGGGAAGACAGGGGGGCTGCAGGTCAAGTGAAGTGGAGATGTGGGAGAGGAGGGACAGCAAGTGGGTCTGAGAGAATCAGCAAAGGCTTCCCAGAGGAGGCAACCTCTAACCAGGGTTTTGAAGGATGAATAGGAGTTCACTGAGAGGCCAAGGGAAGAAAAGGCATTCCAGAGCAGAGCACAAACAGCATAAGCCAGGGCACAGAAACAGCCTGGTGGGCACAGAAACAGCCTGGTGTGTACAGAAAAAGCCTGGTGTGCACAGGACAGGAGGGGACAGTGGTGAGTGCTGGCTGATGACAGGATGCCACTAGGGAGTGGCAGCAATGCCAGGGGAGGCTTGGGTGGGACTGGATCACCGAGGGGCTTGTTGGCCATGCGAGGAGTCCTGTGGGTGATGGTGGCACCAGGGAACTCAACCTGGGCCTCCCCAAGGTATCATTTGGGGCCCTGCCATGCTGCTCCTCTACTGGGTGTGGGTAGCTCGAGGGCCTCCGAGCAAGGGGCTGGAGGATCCCAGGGCAGGCCTCACCCTGCTTCCTGCCCTGCATCTCACTTCCTGTTTGACTGACTTCTTTAAAGTGGCCAGAAAGGAACATAAAAAACCCACCTAGAGGGAGAAGAAAGCCCATGTGGGCTGGGCCTATGCTTGGGGGCTCCATCTGCCCCTCCTTCATTCCTTTGCTCCCTTGGCTGTATTTGTTAAACATTGATGCTGTAAGTATCCTCTGAGTATCTAGTGACATTGGTGGTCTCAGAAAGAGGTCCTGCAGGATGAGTCGTGGAGGGGAAGTGGCATTCCCAGCAGCACGTGCCAAGGCATGGAGGTGGGGAAAGAAAGGATGGGGTAGCTGTGGACATGAGGAAGGGGGTGCAGGGACTGGTGGTTGGTGCACTGGATCCTGAGAGGCCTTGAATGCTAGGTTGGGAATCTGGACAGCTCCCATGGGCAGCAGAGATGCAGCAGAGGTCCCGTGTGCCAGGAAGCGACAGGCTCAGATTCATCTCCTCCACGGCAGAAGGTGATGCTGAGGCAGCGAGGGACCCGACTTCCGCTCTTACTGCCTCTGATATTAAGTTCCAAGCCTTGGAGGAGGTTGTAATTTAGGGACTAGGGCCTGAGCCTGAGTGCAGCTGCATCTTTCTCCCAGTCCTGGGGGACACAAGCCATGGGATAAGGCAGGGCACGGCTCTTCTTCAGAAAATGCCTCTGGGCCCTGCTCATCTGGAACTTGTTTTGGTAACTTTAAGCTTAGTAGCTTTTTTTGTTTACTTAGTAATACATTTTCTTTAGAGAGAACACACACACTGGGTTTTCTTTAGAGAGGAACACACTCGCACTGGGGCTGGACATGAGTCACTACAGTGATTACAGGACTGGAAACAAGGACTGAGAAGGGGCAGATGAGTAAGGGTTTTTTAGCCAGAAAAGAAGCACCTCAGCAGGGTGGCCAGGAGAGGTTGTGCAGGATGTTCACTGTACAAGGATACCAGTGGAAGGGTCAAGGGTGGGCTGAGATCCAGAGGAAGGGCTGTGCCTTATCTCAAGCCTGATGCCCTGGTGCTGAGATGTGTCTGTGGGGTGGGGTGGTGGGGAAGGGGTGATTCTTTTTCTTAGTCCAAAGATAAATCTGGGCTCCAACCCCTGTCCTTTGAGGGTGGGACTGTGCAGAAGGAACACCATTTAAAGTTCATATTTTACTGCTGTGAAGTTACTTGCCCAAGATCACATAGCTGAGGAGTGGCAGTGCCAGATCCAGACACTGGTGGTCTGGCCCCAGAGTCCCTGGGCTTAACCACAGCCTGACACTCTCTGTGCGCAGACAAGGCACACGTGGCCTTGTCTGTGGTTCAGTGGGTTGGGTGTCCGGGGTGGGTGGAAAAGAGGGCACTTTCCCCATGCAGAATGGAATCATCCACCTATGTTCTCTGGAGGGCTGCAGGCATTTGTCTTTGGAAATCAAGCCTTCCCTGACCTGGAGGAGAGGGGACATTTTCCTATTGTTAATGATTTGGATCACCAAGGCTCTTACTGATCTGCCATATTGGGCTACAGTGAGATGTATTATCCCCATCACAAGGGCATAGCATTTTACTCATTTTCCACTCATGATGGTAGCCTCTCAGCAAGAGCGTATTATGCATTAGTCTCTGCGTTAAGACTAGGCCTAAATGGAAGATGCTTGTGCTGTCCATCTCATGGGAGGTGCCTTTGCCTCGATACAGGGATATTGAGTTCTTAAAATGTTTTAATGAGTATCCATTAGGTGCTGAGATGCTGAGGTTGAAGGGATGGTCCTGACCCCAGGAAGCTTGGTCAGCAAATGAGAGTAAGGAGTTAGGGAACAATGAAATGCAAACTTCTCTTATCCTAGGGCTTTGAGCCTGTGTGTTTTTTTGTTTGTTTGTTTTTGTTTTTTAGTTTAAATTTCCATTTTTTTTTTTTTGAGATGGAGTTTTTACTCTGTCACCCAGGTTGGAGTGCAGTGGTGTGATCTCGGCTCAATGCAACCTCCACCTCCTGGGTTTAAGCGATTCTCATGCCTCAGCCTCCCAAGTAGCTGGGGTTACAGGCATGTGCCACCACGCCTGGCTGAGTTTTGTATTTTTAGTACAGACAGGGGTTTTGCCACATTGGCCAGTCTGGTCTTGAACTCCTGACCTCAAGTGATCCATCCGCCTCGGCCTCCCAAAATTGAGCCTGTTTTAAATAAAAGCTATATGACCTTTGCCTTAGAGCCTATATTCATTTTTCCCTCAGAGGAGAAGGAAGCTGATTTTTATAAGCACTTACTGTGTGCCACGAGCTTTGTGCAATCCATCTCATTCAACCCTTACCACAGCCTGTAAGGCCGATGTTACTGCTCCCGTTCACAGATGACAACCCCAGGGCTCAGCAAACAGAAGTGACTGACCTCTTGGACTGCGTTCTTGCCACTGCCCCCACTACCCCACTGTACTTTCCTGGCCTTAGAGCCCTCGGGTCCCTCATGGACAGGCCCCCACACTGCCTGGGAAACTCAGAACAGCTGGAGGGGTTTCTTCTCTGAGGATTCTGGTGTCGGGAGATGGAAGCCCAGGAACAGTGGACAGATGGATGAGACATTCTCCTTCTCACGCACTTATCCTACACACTGGTCACTCTCAAAAGCACACCCCTAGTCACACTCGGGCTCACACTCTCTTGCACACATCGATTTTTTCACGTGCACTTGCACTGCCCTCTGGACTTCTGCAGTCTCCTTCATGAAGCGGGGATGGGTGGAGCAGGGGCTGCCGGCATTGATGGAAATTGATGATATTTGAACATCTGTGTGGCAACTCACTCTCCAGCTGTCCCCGCCTCCCCCAACCCCACCCCTAAACACACATGCACTGGGGCTGACAGCTATTTCCTCTCTCAGCCTCCCTCTCCCACCTCTGTCTGCCCGCTGCCTCTTGTCTAGCTGCTGTCAGGAGCTGACTGCCTCCAGGGCTGGAATCCTGTGCTCCCTCTGTGCCCAGGTAAGGAGGAGTGGCCCAGGGGTTGGGCAGCCTAGTGCCCTCTCTAGACCCACAGAAGAAGGCAAAGTTTTACCAGGTGAGAGGGCTGTTACCAGCTAGGATGGCAGAAGATTGAGTTTACCAAAGACTGGAGGGGACTTGGTGCTCAGAGGAGGGAAGGATTAGCTTCTCTTAGGCATTAACTAGATGTCAGATACGAGGGGAAACCACTCAACTGTCTGTCAATATTCACAAGCAGTCTGGGTGGGAAGATGACACCAGCACGCTTAGAGTAACTGGCCCAAGGTCACGCAGCCAGGAAGCTGAGGAGCTGGGATTCAAACCCAGGTCTTGGACTCCCACAGCTTGCACTCTCTGTCCCTTTTTTTTTTTTTTTTTCTTAACCTGCCAAAGCCGGACCTTAGCTGCTTGGCTCCTGAGAATCCTGGGAGGCTGGGGGCTGTCTCTATAGAGTTAGAAGGACTGATCTGGTGGTGCCCAAGGGTGTGGCAGGACTGTGCTCTCTGATCATCCCCATAGGACTTGGATCAGCAGCAGCTGGTCTGCAGGGAATGTTTCAGGGCAGACAGCGGGTGGTACTTGGCTATCTGCTGGGAGTGAAGTCCCAGCCCCACTGTTGCAGCTGAGGAACGCTGGGCAAGTTGTTGTTTCTTCTTCTGAAAAATGGGGTGTCATAGGTTCATTGCAAGAGTAACTGCTCTGCACATTCTAAAGCCTAGGAAGTATGACCATTCTCAGGAAGCACAGGCTCCTCTTCCATCTACCTGCAGGTCTCTAGCTCCAAGGGGCTCCTCCGCCAGCAGAATTCTAGTTTGATATTCCAGAACCCCACTCTACAAAGGACTGTGGTCTCTGGAAGGGAGTGGGTTTTCTCATCCTGGCCAACAGTGTTTTCCCTAGAAAGATGAGTACTGAAGACCATTGCTCCCCTCTCCCGCTTTTCTTCCTCCTCCTCCATCCTCTCTTCCTTGGAGTAGGGGTAGAGGAAAGAGCACAGGCTGAGCATGAAACTTTCTCCTCCACATGTTTGTGCTGTCTGGGTGGCTCTGGGCCAGTTATTTAACCACTTGAGGCTCAGTTTTCTCATCTGTAAAATAGGATGGAGTACTAGCACCATTTTTCTAGAGCCAGAAAGACAGCACCTATGTGAAGGACCTACCATAGTACCTGGAGTGTCATTGGTGCCCAGGACACCCTGAGTCCCTGTCCCCTGCTACTTGCCTCCTACCTCCTGCATGGAGCCTCATGGAATTTCCTCAGCCCTCACTGGTCTTGACCAGCCTCACATCAGATGGTCTTTCGGGCTTTCAATGAGGATGTAAGCATGCACGTCTTATTTGTTGGATGAGTGCATGATGGAGTAAGTGAATGAACAGGGGTGGGTTTCCTGGGGCGGAGAGAGCTGCTGTGGCTGCTCCTGAGAAGGGAGAGATCTTTTGGCCCCACTGGGCCTCCAGAGCCCCATGTGGGAGTTCCTCCTCCCCAGCTCTCCTGGCTCTTATCTTATTTCCTCTCCAACCATCAGAGGAGGGGCTGGTTCCACTGTTTATGGTCGGCACATCTAACCAGCCACCACTGAGTGCGGGGAGCTGCATGGAGGATCTGTAGAGAGGCAACATCTGGGGGCGCTGTGGATGCTGTGGGAAGGGGCAGCATCTCCATCGCCCAGGCCAGCAGAATCCTCTTGCCCTAATTGTGGGGCCTCCTTCACCCGCCAGTGCTCTGGGGATGGGAAAAAGGAGTCCTGTGTGGCCTGACCTTGTTCCTTTTTCTCTGTGTGATCTTAGACCATTTGCTCCATAATCATCACAATGACACTGATAAAGTGCTTGCTCTGTGCCAGGCCATGTTCTAAATGCTTTTATGTATTAAACTCACTTAATTCTCCCAATAACTCTATGAGCTAGGTGATGTTATGACTGACATCCAAGTTTCAGAGGCAGAAAAAGGCTCGGGAAGGTTAAATGACTTGCCCAAGCACAGCAATGCTGGGATATTATTCCCCCCACCCCCACCGCCCAATATATTCGTGGGTCACATTGGCATCTCCTGGGCAGGGTCCCACTCCGGGCCTCTCTCTTGGTTCCCCGGTGGCCTCTGCACTTCCAACTTAGGCGCCTCCTTCCCTCCACTGCAGAGCCCCACGATGTCGGCCAACGCCACACTGAAGCCACTCTGCCCCATCCTGGAGCAGATGAGCCGTCTCCAGAGCCACAGCAACACCAGCATCCGCTACATCGACCACGCGGCCGTGCTGCTGCACGGGCTGGCCTCGCTGCTGGGCCTGGTGGAGAATGGAGTCATCCTCTTCGTGGTGGGCTGCCGCATGCGCCAGACCGTGGTCACCACCTGGGTGCTGCACCTGGCGCTGTCCGACCTGTTGGCCTCTGCTTCCCTGCCCTTCTTCACCTACTTCTTGGCCGTGGGCCACTCGTGGGAGCTGGGCACCACCTTCTGCAAACTGCACTCCTCCATCTTCTTTCTCAACATGTTCGCCAGCGGCTTCCTGCTCAGCGCCATCAGCCTGGACCGCTGCCTGCAGGTGGTGCGGCCGGTGTGGGCGCAGAACCACCGCACCGTGGCCGCGGCGCACAAAGTCTGCCTGGTGCTTTGGGCACTAGCGGTGCTCAACACGGTGCCCTATTTCGTGTTCCGGGACACCATCTCGCGGCTGGACGGGCGCATTATGTGCTACTACAATGTGCTGCTCCTGAACCCGGGGCCTGACCGCGATGCCACGTGCAACTCGCGGCAGGTGGCCCTGGCCGTCAGCAAGTTCCTGCTGGCCTTCCTGGTGCCGCTGGCGATCATCGCCTCGAGCCACGCGGCCGTGAGCCTGCGGTTGCAGCACCGCGGCCGCCGGCGGCCAGGCCGCTTCGTGCGCCTGGTGGCGGCCGTCGTGGCCGCCTTCGCGCTCTGCTGGGGGCCCTACCACGTGTTCAGCCTGCTGGAGGCGCGGGCGCACGCAAACCCGGGGCTGCGGCCGCTCGTGTGGCGCGGGCTGCCCTTCGTCACCAGCCTGGCCTTCTTCAACAGCGTGGCCAACCCGGTGCTCTACGTGCTCACCTGCCCCGACATGCTGCGCAAGCTGCGGCGCTCGCTGCGCACGGTGCTGGAGAGCGTGCTGGTGGACGACAGCGAGCTGGGTGGCGCGGGAAGCAGCCGCCGCCGCCGCACCTCCTCCACCGCCCGCTCGGCCTCCCCTTTAGCTCTCTGCAGCCGCCCGGAGGAACCGCGGGGCCCCGCGCGTCTCCTCGGCTGGCTGCTGGGCAGCTGCGCAGCGTCCCCGCAGACGGGCCCCCTGAACCGGGCGCTGAGCAGCACCTCGAGTTAGAACCCGGCCCACGTAGGGCGGCACTCACACGCGAAAGTATCACCAGGGTGCCGCGGTTCAATTCGATATCCGGACTCCTGCCGCAGTGATCAAAGTCCGAGGGGCGGGACCCAGGCACCTGCATTTTAAAGCGCCCCGGGAGACTCTGAATCTTTTTCAGAAACAGTGAGTTAAAGCAGTGCTTCTCAAACCTTGATGTGCCTGTGAATCACCTAGGGGTCTTGTTAAGTGCAGTCTGATCCAGGAGGCCGGGGCCGGGTACTGAGAGTCTGCACTTAACAAGCTCCCAGGCCGAGAAGCCAGTGCGGCAGGTTCACAGGCGAGGCCTGGAGTAACACAAAGTGAAACTCATAATAGACTTCCCACTCTAGGGCAGTGGAGTCGGAAGGGCACACGGGGTGCGTCTCCCCGGAGTTCAGTTTTACCAGATGATGGGGGAGGGGGGAAGGAGTTTTATGTTAAACCATCCATGTATTTTTGGAGAAGAGAGAGGAAAGGTTTGAGAAGCACTGTTCCAGCCTGCCCTCTTCATTTAGCCAATGCTTACTGCGCTAGACGCTTCATCCCACAATCTTAAGGGGCAGCTTCTATTAGCCAGTCTTTACAGCTGAGCACATTCTGGCTCAGGGAGGTTAAGTGACTTGCCCAGTTTCAGGGCTAACGACCACAGGGTCTGCACTCTAACCCTAGGCATCACATGCTCAATGACTCTCTGGTGAGCGAGGACATTCTCTGACCTACTCGAGGGACTTAAGATGCTACCTTGTGACCCAGCACTGCCCAAAGTGCTTCCAAGGCAGAAGCAGCAGGGGATGGCGTGGTCAAGCACTCGGGAAACCTGGGGCTAATCAAATCCAATGGGGGAAATGACTAAAAGTCTTCGGTCGTTAGAAGTTGAATGGGCACAGCAACTCTAAGACTACAGCACACGTCATTTCTTAGCTAAGCGGACCAGCCTCCCTGTCGGCCTGGTGTTCTGTGGGATCCCTCTGGGCACTGGTAATCCCAAGATCTGTGCAGCCCCGCCTCCAGGCCACATGGGGCTGGGCAGCTACCATTTCCCTTTTGCGGATGGGAGGGGTAACTTGCACCTCTGACCTATCACTTCCACTGCACCCCGTCTCATTCCTCCACCTGCCGTGGACTTGGGGTCAGAGACTGCTGTGTTTGAGCTCTGCAGCCCAGGGACCGAAAAGTTGGTGTCAATGAATTTTGCTTGGTGGATGAAATGTCAGTGGAAGAAGCAGATGAGAAACTCTTGAGATCTTGGTCCTGTGTTTTTTCTGCCACCAAAGGCCAGGGTCACTGAAGGCCTGGCCCACAGCAGGTGCTGAGCAAAGGGAACAGTGAGGTGCCCAGCTAGCTGCAGAGCCACCCTGTGTTGACACCTCGCCCCTGCTCCCTCCCATCCCTTCCCCCTTTACTCATAGCACTTCCCCCATTGGACACGTGGTGCATTTTGCTTGTTTATTATGTTTTCTCTCCATCAGAATGAAAGCTCCTCGAGGGCAGGGACTTTGGTCTATTGTCTGTATTTGCCGGTGCCTAGGATTGTGCCTGTATGCAACAGGCACTCAATAAATATTTTTGCTGTAGACTGGACAGGCATGAGTTAGATTCTCTGGGGCTTCTGCAGAGACTGGTTTGGGAAAGTGGGTGCTAGGGAAAAGCTCTGCTCCCTGCAACCTCCCCATTTTAATCTTTCAGTATTGAAAAGTGGAGAGGAACCGGATTCAGTCTGCTGGGGACAGAGGCAGTGGGGTGTGGAGGTGCTCAGAGCAGCCTTTGGGAAGGTGTGGGGGAAGCTGGATTCCCAACTGTCAGCCTCCAGGCCTGGGATGGACCTAGGATGCTGAGAAAGGGCATACACTGCTGAGGGAGTCACCTGCCAGTCACCAGCTCACTGAGGAACCAGAAGAATGTACAGTTCTTGGTTTGAAGGCACTTGGAGAAGGAGAGGAAGGAGGGATGGGAGCTGAATCTCTTCCCGCCCCCATCTCTGCCAGGTCCCAGGCCCCCTCTGGGCTTCTGTCCCACACAGACCTGCCTGGAAGCCTTCAAAGGCCGAGGAGCCCCGGTCGGGGTGGGGGTCCCTGTTCTGGAGCCATGGGTTTGGAGTGCCAGCTCCAGCAGAGGCATCTGAGCAGCGGCCTGAGGTGCTGTGTCTGACATGGTTGTTGGCCATGGAAGGCCTCGGGCCGTCCTGAGCTCAGATCTTGGCTGCCGGCTGCTGGGGCGGCTGCTTCTGCAGCAGGGCCAGGGTGTCCCGCTTCTCAATGGAGCGCAGCTGCTTCTTCTTTGCCCGCTTGAGCTTGGCGGGGTTTCGGATCTGGGGGTGGTATGAGGGGAGGACATTAGTGCAGCTGCAGCCTCGGTCCAAATTCCCAGGGGAGAGGAAGGCCGCCCCACAGGGGCCTGAGATCGTAGCATGAGAGTGGGGGTACATGAGGCAGGGGTCGAGGCCCTGGTTTGCACCCCCAAGTGGGGCAGAAGGGCAGAGGGGGAAAACGAGACACTCACCACTTGGACGACCTCTGCCTTCCGCTCATTCTCCAGGCGGCGTTTCAGGTTCTCAGCCCGGCGCTGTTTCTTCTCCTGGAACATGTGGGAGAAGGGGATTTGAGTCGGGGAGCAGAGGCAGCCCTGGTCTCTCAGGCCCCAGAAGAGTGCGAGCGGGCAGAATTCCCAGGAGGAAGGGGAAAGGCCCTCTCTGCCAGGCTCCAGGTTGGTGATGTGTGGGTGGAGGGCTAGCAATCCTGTGCCACGGTCTAGTGCCAGGGGCCTGCTGTGGTGGAAGCTCCTGATAGCATGTTGAGAGGTGGGTATGGGACAGGCAACTGAGGACAGGGGCTGAGACACTGGGGGTGCCCACCTGGAGATTCACGCACATGCAGACAGTGACCCCTCATGCCACCCTCATCAACTGCCAAGGGAGAAAGGGGTGCTGGCCCTTCCCCCATTCCCACCCTCTCCGACAGTCTCCCCCTCTTCCCCTGGAGTCCTGCTGCTGCAGAATGCCAGGCTAGGGGTGAGGGCTGGGTCCCTGAGATTTTCACAGGTGTGGGGCTGGGCAGGGGCTGCACTGCACAGAAAAGGCTCTGGAGCTATCTGGGCTGGGTTTCAATCTGGATCCTGTTATTTCCTAAACAGGAGACCTTAGCTAAGTCTGTGCCTCAGCTTCTTCATCTTTAAAGTGACAGTGACCACAGTATCTACCTCGTAAGATAGTTTTGGGAAATCAATGAGGGAATGCACGTGCAGGACTTGGAGCAGCCCCTAGCTCCTTGGGCACACTGAGACTCTAGATGGAGTCTGTCTTGGGAGGGGAAGCCCAGTGCTCTCTAGCCATGCTGACTGTGTCCCTCAGCAAGGCCAGGGTGGGGACGTCAGCTCCAAGGCTGCTGCATGGTTAGGAGTCTCTGCTGGCTTTGGTGACTTGGGGTAGCAGGGGTGGCCCAGGCCCCTGGGGAGGAAGGAGAAGTGAGCCTTGGCCTCCTGTGGTCAGGGCAGGCCCGGGCTGGGGGCTGGGCAGGAGCACCTCCGCAGTGGACGGTGAGAAGTGAGACGGCAGCTCTGTCTTGCCCAAGAGGGAGCCAGGGCCACACAGGAAAAGAGATAAGGCCTCAGCATATGGTGGCGGACACACTGTTCCTCAGATGTCAGCTGTAAGCTGAGCTGGGGTGACTTAGAGCAGGGGACAGATGACTGAGTGACTGGCCCACCCCTTTTCTCAGTGGCCAGCCTGGGACCACGGACTATGGATGAGTTGTCTGAATCCCGTTCGGCACTCCTCCTACACGCCTGGGTCATTAGAGGAGTGGAGGAGGAATCTCCCACTGACTGCCCTGCCCTGGGGGGCAGGAGCTGACCAATGCCACTCCGCTTTCTCTGCATGCTGCCTGCTGAGTGCCCTCTTCCCCCCGCTTAAAAGTCCCTGGCAGATGTGGGTGAGGCTGTGACCCTTTACAGGGGCTTCCTGGCTCTGGGATGGGTGACAGGGGACAGAAGTGGAGGAAAGGTGCGGGGGCCATCCACGTTGCTGGTGTGTGGGCTGCTTCTTGGAGAATGACAGCAGCCATACCGGGGACATGGAGTTCAAATCTGCAAGCCCTTCCCAACTGAGTACGTCCCAGCAAAGGGCCCTCGACCCCATCTCACTGACTGCCCTACCACCCAGGACTTCCTCCCGGGCTTCTCCCCAAGGCCCGCTTCTGGTCCTCCCCCTCCGTCCCTGTCCCTGAGGCTCTTTCAGCAGCCCAGGCTAAACTGTATGGTCCCCTGGGCCTCCCTGCCCTGTAGTCCCAGATTGCACTTCTGCTTCTGGCCAGGTGCCCTTCCTCCCTCCGGCCTTCAGATTCAAGAACGTTTTTTAACCAAGTCGGCCTCCCCCAGGCACCCGTGGAGGCCCTCGCCTCAGGTCTGTACCAGTAGACACTAGCTTAGTCCTCTGAGCCCCAGCCTCAGCCTGGCTGGCCCCTCACCTGGCGGCGCCTCTCCTTCTCCTCCTCCAGGTGACGGGCAAAGTCCTTGGCCAGCTTCCTCTCCTGTCGTTCCTTCATCTTCCGCTGCCACGATGTGCGCAGGGGCTTGTCCTGAAGCATCTGGGAGAATCTGAAAGGGGGAGAGTGGGTGCATACAGGGTCTGTGGGGCAAGCGCCACCCATGCCCTGTCTCCTCTCGGCCGGAGGCTCTGGACCTTCTTCCCCAGAGCCCAGGCAGAACCACCTCCTTGCTGGCCTGACAGGCGGCCTTCCAGGGCTGCAGAAACTTGGGGCGGGAGGGAACCCTGATCGTGCTGGCTGCCATTTCTCAAGCCTTGGCTACATGCCTCTGAGGTGGGTACTCCTATCCTCTCCACTTACAGAGGAGCAGGCCAAGGCGCGGAGAGGTTAAATAGCTGCCTAAAGATACCTTGTGGCAGTCAGGACTTGAATCCTGTCAGCGACTGCAGAGTCCAGGCTACGCGGCCCCTGCTGTAAAGTTCTGTTGCTTCCGCCAAGTGCATTTGGCCCGGGTGTGAATGCCTCTGGAGGCGGGGCGCTCACCCCCTAGGGAGGTGGCCCATTCCATTTCAGAACAGTGTGAGTGGTTAAAGTTCTGGGTAATGATTCAGGATCTTCCCCGCCAAGACCGGATGCAGTGGTCATGCTTGTAATCCCAGCACTTTGGGAGGCCAAGGTGGGCAGACCACGTGAGTCCAGGAGTTGGAGACCAGCCGGGCAAACATGGCAAAACCTACTAAGCCTACTAAAACCTACTAAAGTTTCTACTAAAAATACAAAAATTAGCTGGGTGTGATGGTGTATGCCTATAGTCCCAGCTACTTGGGAGGCTGAGGTACAACAATTGCTTGAACCTGGGAGGTGGAGGTTGCAGTGAGCCGAGATCGCGCCACTGCACTCCAGCCTGGGTGACAGAGCAAGACTCTGTCTCAAAAAAAAAAAAGAAAAAAGAAAAAAGAAAAAGAATCTCTTCCCCCAGTTGGAGATGAAGTGGGCATCAGGGCTCTCAGGGAAATCTGAAAAGAGCAACGATGATTTTAGAGTTACAGGAGAACTGAGCTCATCTCTGTAAAAATGCATACTACAAGGATTTATGAATGGGATGATATGTCTAGGATGTACTTTAAAATATTTCAGGGAAAAAAAAATGCCAAAGATCAGCCGGGCGCAGTGGCTCACGCCTGTAATCCCAGCACTTTGGGAGGCTGAGGTGGGCCGATCACCTAAGGTCGGGAGTTCGAGACCAGCTTGACCAACATGGAGAAACCCTGTCTCTACTAAAAATACAAAATTAGCTGGGTGTGGTGGCACACACCTGTAATCCCAGCTACTTGGGAGGCTGAGGCAGGAGAATCGCTTGAACCCAGGAGGCGGAGGTTGCGGTGAGCCGAGATTGCTCCATTGCACTCTGGCCTGGGCAACAAGAATGAAACTCCGTCTCAAAACAAAAAAAAAGAAAAAAAGAAAAAAAAGCCAAGTATCAAAGATGAAGCTACACTAGTAAAATGCTGAGCTGTGTTGATGCTGATAATGGGGACTTGAGAGCTTTGCTCTTTCTTTGTATGCTTGAAAATTTCCATTCAAAAAAAGTAAAAACAAAATGCAAAGAAGTCTCTCGGTGGCCTCCACATGCTGAAATTAGGTCTTTCTCTTTTAAAGATTCAAGGCCCATTTTGGTGTCCCTTGGCCCTGCCGACTTCTGGCCCCAGCTCCCTGATTTCCTTCTCCCCTTCCCAAGGCCTTGCCACTGAAGGCCTGGCCTCCTAAGCACTAAGAATGGGGTGCCACATGGACTTCCCCCATAACTGTAAAGCTGGGCTTCCCAAGCTGGGGTACGAGAACCCTGAAGGGACAAGGTGTTGGGAGCCTAGAGACACACAGAACCACAAGACACAGTGCTGCATCTGTGTAGAGCAGGGCTGTCAAACAGAACGTTCTGTGATGGTGGAAACATTCCACATTGACACTGTCCAATAAGGTAGCCACTAGTCATGGGTGGCTGCTGAGCGCTAGAAATGTGGTTGGTGTTGATAGAGAAACTGAATCTTAAATTTTATTTAATTTTAATTAATTTAAATGTACATAGCCACATGTGGCTGGCGGCTAAGGTACTGAGGCAGGGCAGTTCCAGACCATTGGTTCTACCTGGGTATTGAGGAAACTCAGGCCTGGGTTCCAAGTCCAACCTGGGTGACCTGGAGCAAGGTAGCCTCTCTAAGTCTCAGCATCCTGTCCAGTGGAGATGAGAATCATTCCTAACCCAAAGGGTGGTGGGAGATTTAATCGACACACACACGTAATAGGTGCTCCATAAATGCTACTCCTCAGAGAAGGCAGACAGCATGCCCAAGGGCACTATGGAGAAAGTGGCGTTTGGCATGAGCACGAAGACAGGGCTGCAGCCAGGTCTCCCTCACCACATACACTTTCCCAGCTGCGGCTGTCTTCCTCCCTGCAGCAGGAGCTGCTTCCCACCCATCTCCAGGCTCACTTACTACCCACCGAAGCTGCTCCCTCAAAGATCCCAAACATCCATTCAGTGGCCCTGCTGGGCCCCTCGCCACAGACTTGCCTGCAGCTTCGGAAGCTGTTTTAGTTCTCTTGAGACAGCCTCCTTGTGGGTTTTCCTGCCTTCACCCCTGCCCGCCTATGTCTGTGTTCAGTAGCCAGGCTGATCTCACAAGTCAGGTCATTTCATTCCTTTGCTTGACACCCTTCCATGGCTCCCAAGCTCACTCAGGAAAGCCGGGAGTCCCTGTAAGGGTCACCAGGTCCTGCTGTCTCTCTGACCTCATCTCCTACTGTTCCCCTTCTCCCCCTCATTCCAGCAGCGAGACCTCTGGAAAGCCTCTCAAACGGGAGCTTGCTCCCGCCTCAATACCTCTGAACATCCCTTTCCTGTTGCCTGGATACTGTTTCCCCAGATCTCTGCCCGGCTCCCTCTGCTCAGACCTGTTTATCTGCAAGGCCATCTCTGAGCACTGTGGCAATACCCTGCCCTCCCTGTTATTCTCTGGTCCCCATCCTGGTTTATTTTTCTTTGAAGTCTTTATTACTGACATATCATGTGTGTACTTGTTCTTTATCTGTTTCCCACATTTAGAATGTTTGCTTCAGGAGAGCAGAGACTTTTTGTTCACAGACATGTTTACCCAAGATCTGAGCAACTGGTTGATGAATGAATGAACTACCTTCTGTCCTCAATTCATCCACTTGTTCAGCTTAGTGCCCTACCCTGCACTGGGCTCTGGGGCATCTAGTCATGATAGGTAAGTCCCCACTCTTACACTCTCACGGAGCCTCCGGTTTAAAGGAAAACAGGCAGTCAATAAGAATCACAAATAAATAAGCATTTGTGCAAATGGAGGTGTTACAAAAGAGAAGTACAGCACACAATGATAACATAAAGCATGGGGACTTAACCCTAGTTGGATAAGCCAGAGAGGCTTTTCAGAGGAGGTGACATTTGAACTGAGCCCTGAAACATGAGTGGGGGACTGGCCAGGGAAAGAGCCTTTCAAACAGTGGGAACAGCACGTGTGAAGGCGCTGAGGAAGGAGGGAGCGTCACACATGGGAGGAACATGGAGGGGACAACAGTGTGGAAGCTCTAGTGATGGAGGGGAGAGGAGGGTGGGCCTGCCGGCCTCATTAAGGAGTCTGGAGTGCATGCTCTGAGTGAGCAACAGTGAGTCAGGACGGGTCTGCAGTTGGGCAGGGAGCTGGAACCACACACCCTCTCTCCAGACTTCTTGGTCAAGTGATCTGTGGCCTCCTACTCTGCTCCAGCTGCTGATCCTGTGTCTTGTGTGGGCCCCTCCCTTCTCCCCACCTCTGCATGGGCCCAGCCCCCTCTAGCTCAGCAAGCCCATCTCCCCACCTGCAGCGTGAGTACCAGGACCCCAAGCTTCACCCGCTCAACTTGCTCATCACCCTCTTCCCACCTGAACCAGCCTCCTCCAGTTCCACATGGCCATCAACGGCCCTGCCATTCTCCTGTGACCCCCTGGGACAGGGCAGAGGGGTAGTGCCATCATCCACTTCTCCAACAGTTACAGTCACTCTAGCCTCAAAGTCTCTCCCATGGGAGACTTGCAGTAAATTACTCTGTAAGCCTCAGTTTCTTCTGTTTCATCAGGGGTGGGGGGATAATATCCACAGCCTAGGGTTTTAAGGATACAAGAAAAGGGCCTAGCACGAAGCCTGGCACAGAGTCAGCTTCTTCCTTAAAAACACCCTCCTTCCTCATGGTCCCTCACAGGCATACATCCCTGACTCTCCCCTGTGGTTCCCATTAGCTCGAATTGGAACTGAATCCCACACCTCTCCTTCATGGCAGCCTACACTCTTCCTTCTTCAGATGAGCTACTTCGTTCCTTCATTAAATAAGCATTCATTGGGCATTTACTATGCCCTTGGCACAGAAAGACAAGAAAGATCTCGTGCCTGCCCCTTAAGAAGGTCGCAATCCAATTCAAGGTGGATCTACAGGGATTGGGTAAAGGGGTTTTTTGCACACAGGCTTCGGAATCAGATCTGTGCTCAGGTCCTGTGCCTACCACTCATTTAGCCTTGGTTTCCTCACACAAAAAACAGGAATAATAACACCGCCTGCTTCACAGGGCTGACGTGCAGATTAAGCGTGATGACACATGCTGTTCCATGTTTGAAAGGCTGTTGACTGGTAAATCCTTATTAAGGCTGTTGACTGGTAAATCCTTATATAATCAGTGCTCAGTAATACTTTTTATCTTAAAGGCAAATAACTGTAATAGACTATATTGGATGAAGACCTCACTGCTTTGATCAAGTAATGGCTGGTTTACTTGCTTCTGCTTCTCTCACTAGAGAGGGCAGACAACGGTAAATGTCTGTTGAACGAATACAGACCTGAGGTGCTACAGGAGAGGCCCATAGGGACCCTGAGGAGGAAAGGCATCAGAGAAATTGATCTTTGAGGGCCTGGCCCCACCCTCTCCGGGATCCCAGGGCATTTTACCACATTCTGATTGTAATTACCTGTTTGCTAACATCCCCACTAACGTGAGCTCTCTCTAACCCTGGGGCTATTCTCCAGGCTGCAGCAGGGCAAAGGCGGGGTCCCAACACCATAGAGAACGCCACCCCTGTCCATGCTGTCCCCCACTTCACCTTTTCTTGGAGCGGTCCTTCCACACTCGCCCCGATTTGGGCTTCCCCTTCGGGATTACAGGAAGCTCCTCTTTATTCAACTTCTTGGACGCTGGGGCCTGGGATGAAGAACCTTTTCGCTTCTTTGCCCCGAAGCCGCCTGTCACCGTCTCCCCAGCTGGAGGTGGCTTGCTCGGCTCATGCTGACCCCGGGGGGAGCCAGGTGCCCTGGGTGTCAGCTCCAGTAGTGGCTGAGAGGGCTCCGGACCGGGAGCTTGCTGACCGGGGTAAGGCTCTGGTGATCCTGGGACCGGCGGTAGCTGATGCTGGGGGGCCCCCGGGGTCAGCTCCTCCTTATTCTGGGCCAACTCCGAGGCCAGTACTCCCTGGTCCTGAGAACACTTTGGTGCCTCCTCACTTGGCTTCGGCTGACATCGTGGGGATTCAGGACTGTACTCTGGCTGTCTTTGAGGCGACTCCAGGTGTAGGTCTTGCTGACGCTGGGGGGACGCTGCGCCTGGCTCTGGCTGCCCTTGGGGTGACTCCAAGCCTGCACCCTGCTGCAGACGGGGTGATCCTGGGCTTGTCTTCGGCGGCCTTTCGGGGGACCCCAGGCCAGCCCGCTGCACACTCGGAGGAGACCCGGGCTCCCTCGTTTCTTCTGGGTTCGACTCGAACTCCACAAGGGCCCGTCTCGTCCGCGAAACTGAGGTGAGGCTCTCGGGGGATTCGGGCCTTAGGCCTCCCAGCCGTCGGCTGCGCCTTAACGGTGTATCCATGGCTCAGCCGGTAAGTTTCCACACCCCTGCGCACGTGCAGCCCCCGCCGAAACCGGCGCCTTCCTATGACGTCAGGAGTCGCCGCGTCCGTGACGCACAGGAGGGGGGCTGTTGCTGAGGCGGCCATGTTGGTGAGGGGTGGAGAGGCGGGACCGGGGTTGGGGAGAGTGGGGCTCAGCATGCGCATGCGCAATTCGCGCGAGCGCAGTCAACATGTGATTGATGAGCCAGTCTTTTTCCTGGGATTCGCTTTTGCCTTTCTTGCAAAGTTTCCTGGGGAAAGAAGAGCGAGCAAGTAGAAAAGGGAAAGTGGGAGGACCCATTTCAGGGAGAGAACAGAGTCGAAAAAAGGTCCGAGGAGCCCATAGGCAAGGCCCAGTGGATGTTTTGCAGCCAACTCCGGTGCAGTTGGGCAGAGTCCTGCCCTCCTTGGGCCTGTTTTCTCATTTGTAATAGGGGTCATTTTGCACTAGCTTCGTGCATCCCAAATGATCCTGTCAGAGTCCTCCTCCCACCTACCTGAGGGACTGCTACCTGGGGGTCCTGGAGGTGGAAGATCGGTCTTTTCTGTGTTAATTGTTCACACTCTTGATTCTTCCGTCCTGTGCTTCCGTATATAATCCATAGCTCTCCCTCCCTTTTCAGCGTTTTCAACGTTTGTGAGGGAAGTTGAGGTACCAATAAGATGCACCACCTTTGTCCTGTGGCTCACCTGGGCCCTCGACCAGCTGCATATCCTCCCACGTCCCTCTTCTTCTACCCCAGTTCTAGAAACGGGTTGGATCATCTCCGATCTTCCTTTCAGCCCAGACAGTGGTTTTTGCTCGTGTGTGAACCTGCTTCGCCTCCCCTCCCTTCCCTTGCTATTCACCTGTAAATGTACTTTGCTTACTAAGCACTTTGGGACCTCACCAGTGAGCAGGTGTTGACTTCTGGACCTCCCAAGGCCTAGAGAAGACTCTCGGGATGTGGGGTTGGGGAATGTGGGGCTGTGGAGACTTTCGTGTGAGACCTAGGAGTGGGGCTTTGATTTACTTACAGCATGCTTCTTAGGAAGAACATCTTGGAAGTGGCCCAGTTGTGTAATTCTTGGAACTGCCTGGGGTTGGCCATTAAAGGTCCCAGGGCCCCGTCTGACATTCCAGTGGTTTCTTTTAGAAACCATTGTTTCTCCAGCTGCGGGCTTGTGAGAGGGCCTGGGAAATTGTCCAAGAATATCAGGGATCAGAGTGTCCTCATCTTCCTCATGTTCCTGAGTCAAGGAGACCCCTGCAGGGGGGCTTTGCCTGCCTCACTGCTCCTCTCCGGCCATGCAGCTGTCCACAGCAGAAGCAGCCGGGACACCTCCTTGCCCAGCTCTTCCACCCCCCAACTGTCAGAGGAGTGAGTTCCATTCAGTTCCTTAAATGCCCTGCCCCTGCCTGGAGACCCCAATGATCTGACACTCAGAACCAAGCCCGGCAGGTGTTGCCAGAGTGCTGGAGGAGACTGTATGCCCCTCTGCCCTGCTCCAGTCCCCCTTGGCTTGCCCTGCCTCCTAAGCTCTTGTCCCCAGCTGGAGGGATCACTCTCCAGTGCCGATTGGATCATATCCTAGTCTAGCCTGAAATACTTCAGAGGGTGATCTCAGGTTTTCACCAGAGAGAGGGAGATGTGTTTTAGAGGAGGCCTTTGGGTGGCCCCCAGACATTTGGAGGCACTTTGTCAACCTCAGCATCAGATGGGCTCTGGCCCAGAACCCCCTACTCCCACATGAGCTCAGTTTGTCATTGTCATTATACATGGTGTGCAGAGGCCCAGAGGAGACTCCTGAAATTTTCAGAAGCGCCTGGTGTGGCGATCGCTGTTGGGACCCTGTCTCCTTACACTCCTTTGCTTTCTTTTAAAAATTATTATTATTTTTGAGACAGGGTCTTGCTCTGTTGTCCAGGCTGGAGTGCAGTGGCACAATCACAGCTCACTGCAGCCTTGACCTCCCAGGCCCCAGGGATCCTCCCACCTGAGTAGCTGGCACCACAGGCTCATGCCACCATGCCTGGCTATTTTTTTTTTTTTGTAGAAACGGGGTCTCCCTGTGTTGCTCAGGCTGGTCTTGAACTCCTGGGCTCAAGTGATCCTCCTGCCTCGGCCTCCTGAAGTGTTGGGATTACAGGCGTGAGCCACTGTGCCTGGCCACTCCTTTGCTTTTATTGCAGCTTTCTACATCACAGCTTTCTTGCCTTTAGGTGGTAGGATACTGAGGGGCTTCTCTGTAGCCCCCAGAGGCCACCAACAGGATTGAACTTGCATTGCCCACAAAGGTAATCTGCTCATGGACCCTCTTTTGGCTTCATCCCTGTCTCACTTCCCCACTTTCTTATAGATGCTTGCTGAGGTCATTCTCAGAGCAGACAAATATTGTACTTAATCCTCTTCTCAGAGTTGGCTTCTGCAGAAACCTAGCCTGAAACATTGGTGCCAGCAATGATTGGTCCAGGCATTGTTTCAAGTACTCTCCAAGTACAAATCCATTTCTTAATGCTTCTCCCAACAATCCTGTGAGGCAGGTGCAGTTGTTATTACTCCCAGTTTACAGATAAAGAAACTGAGAGGCTGGGTGCGCTGGCTCACACCTGTAGTAATCCCAGTACTTTGGGAGGCCAAGGTGGGCGGATCACTGGAGGCCAGGAGTTCAAGACCAGCCTGGCCAACATGATGAAACCCCATCTCTACTAAAAGTACAAAAATTAGCTGGGTGTGGTGGCAGGCGCCTCGAGTCCCAGCTACTCAGGAGGCTGAGGCAGGGGAATTGCTTGAACCTGGGAGGTAGAGGTTGCAGTGAACCAAGATCGTGCCACTGCACAGCAACCTGGGTGGCAGAGCAAGACTCTGTCTCAAAAAAAAAAAAAAAAAAAGACTGAGGCACAGAGAGGCTGAGACACTTGTAAAGGTCACACAGCAAATAAGTGGTAGAGGCAAGATCCACACCTAGACTGTCTGATTCCAGAGCCACAACTCTTAACAGTAAATCTGCCTGTTATCCAGGCAAGGAATCAGGCATGGGAAGGCTAAGGTGCTTGCCCAAAATCAGACAGCGGCACATTCAGGAGCCAGGATTGTGGTTCCAGAGGTGGCATGCTTAGCTGCCTTGCAGCTGCCCCCACATGGGCCTTGCTCACCTATTCGTCACACTGATTCTGGTCTGTGTGCTGGGAGGAGGTGGGTACCACCTGGCACACACCATCGTGCAGAATGTGCCGAATCAGCAATACCAGTTTATTTATGTAACCTGAGATCTGCTGACTGATGGAAACCAAGCGCTGGCAGATGGATGGAAGATAGGATCAGGTGTTCTCCTCTGAGTCATTGACCTCCCCCCAGCTAAGGGGTGCTACAGTTGAGAGGGTCTGACAGTCCCCAGATGTCAGAGACCTGGGTCCCCATGGCTTTCTGTTCAACACCTAGCCTTGCCTGAAATACTTCAGAGGGTGATCTCAGGTTTTCACCAGAGAGAGGGAGATGTGTTTTAGAGGAGGCCTTTGGGTGGCCCCCAGACACTTGGAGACACTTTGTCAACCTCAGCATCAGGTGGGCTCTGGCCCAGAACCCCCTACTCCCACCTGAGCTCAGTTTGTCATTGTCATTATACATGGTGTGCAGAGGCCCAGAGGAGACTCCTGAAATTTTCAGAAGAGCCTGGTGTGGTGGTGTACTTGCAGAGTGCTTGAAACAATGCCTGGACCAATCATTGCTTGCCCCGGTGTTTCAGGCTGTGTTTCTCCAGAAGCCAACTCTGAGAGAAGGGCAGGGAAAGGGCCCCTGGCGGTCATCAGCAGCATTAACTGAGCACTTACCACGCGCCAGACCTCTTCTGGGTGCTCCTGTGCTCCCCAGAGCTCCGGTTCGGGAGGGTGATTTTCAGCAGGAGCACGGTACTTGATATGTATTTGTTGAATGAATGGATCCTCATTAGGACCTTACAGGGCTGGGGTGATCATCCTCATTGTACTGACCAGGAAATCCCACTCCCAGAGAGGCTGCGCTTCGGGGCCAGGGTGACACAAAAAGGGCGCAGGGTGAGGTCTGGAGCTCAGGGCTTCTTGACTCTAAGCCCTAAACCTCCACCTCCACCAGGCCTAGGACTGGGACATGGGGCTGACTCAGTCTGGGGTGTCATTGGCAACGAGGATGTTGCTGAGCATGGCAGGAGTGAAGGCAGGACCCAGATGGGCAGAGGTGCAACTGGGCCTCAGCTAATCTTCATTGTGCTACAAAGATCCAAGCTGCTCTGTCTTTTGCTCAAAGCTCTCTCAAGTATTTGAAGTCAGTTTTCTTGTAGCTTTTCCAGAATTGTCTTTTATCCAGGTTAAGCATCTCCTGTTCCTCCCATAACATGATAAGTCTTTGGGAAAGACACCAGTTCTCTACAATGCTTCCAGAATGTGGGGCCCAGAGCTCCTTGTGGCACTAAGGTTGACTGCCCCATGGACGGCTGAGTGGATTTGTCACCTCCCTACTCCATGATCTGTATCAGTGTGGTCAAGATCACATTCAAGCCACCCCATGGACATCTGATTGAAACCCTCAGTCTGGTTCCCGTGGCTGTCAGGCTCTCCTGCTCCCTACATCCCCTTGCTCTGATCTTGGACATGAACCGTTGGCTTTTTCGGATAGTGCAGGATTCTTCCTCTGTCCCTGTTGCATTTTGTTTTTACCTCTCTGGGAGCCCAACTCTCCTCTTTCAGTAGTTACCCCCACTTTCTCTTTTGCACGTGTGAAGAGCTGCTTCTAGGTACTTTGAATCAGGTGCCACTGAGAACGTGGAACACTACCAGGGTGATCGTGTGAGTTCTTACCGTGCATGCTTATCTCAGAGGCTCATCTATGCTGCGTGCTTCTAACAGCTCATTATCAGTTTCAGACCCTTGAGAGGAGGTGGGAAGAGACCTCAGGAGAGGGGTCAAGGGATGGGGGAGGATGGAGTGGTACTTGAAATCCCAGCTTGAGACCTCCCAGCTGCCCCTACGGGGCATTGCCAGGGTGCAGAGAAGCTGCCTGGCTGGGAGAGGCCCACTTTGCAAAGCTCTCATGTATCTGCCCCTGCTCAGGGCTGAGGAGAGCAGAGTTTATCTCCTGATCCTCTCACGGTATCTGCAGGTTCTGTTGAAACAGGAAGGGGCCAGACCTGCTACCCCAGGTCACCATGGGGAGGGGGAGGAGGAGACAAGACCTCCTCTCCCTCCTCAGGCCCCTGCCAGCCTCCATAGCATTTCTCCTGCTCCAAGGCAGGCCAAGAAGAGGTGGGGTGGGTTGGGTAATGAACACCTGAACCAGGTAGAAAGTCGTTAACTCAAGAAGGGGGCATGGCACCTCACCCCAGTGTGTCCAACAGTAGTGCTTTTCAAACGTCAGTGTTGGAATCATGGAGGGTATGTTAAAACACAGATTACTGGGCTCTGACCCCCCAAATTAAGATTCATGAATTTGCATTTCTTTCTTTCTTTTTTTTTTTTTTTGAGATGGAGTCTCACTCTGTCGCCCAGGCTGGAGTGCAGTGGTGTGATCTCGGCTCACTGCAACCTCTGCCTCCCGGGTTCAAGCGATTCTCCTGCCTTAGCCTCCCAAGTAGCTGGCACTCCAGGCATGCGCCACCATGCCAGCTAATTTTTGTAATTTTGGTAGAGACGGGGTTTCGCCGTGTTGGCCAGGATGGGTTCAAATTCCTGACCTCAGGTGATCCGCCCGCCTCGGCCTCCCAAAGTGCTGGGATTATAGGCGTGAGCCACCATGCCCAGACTGAATTCACATTTCTGACAAGCTCTCAGGTGATGCTGCTGCTACTGGTCCACAGACCACACTTTAAGGAGCAGTATCTGGTGGGAAGGAACGAGCAATGGAAGAAGAGCTTTCTTTCTTTGCCTTCTGTCTAGGGCAGGGGCTGAGTTCATCATACTATCATTCATTTGTACACCAAGTCTTTTTTGAATGTTTATGACAGGTGTCATGAAGAGGTACAACAGGGAAGAGGGCAATCATGGTCCCTGCCTTAGTGGATCTTACGGCATCTTGGGGGCACAGATAATAAACACCTGAATCTGAAAATTATCCTTTGAGGAAGGCTGAGCAAGAATTAATTCCCCCATTTTACAGGTGAGGAGATGGCATCTCAGAGAGGTTACCTGACTTGCTGAATGTTACCCACATGTTAAGTCACAGGACTTGAACTCAGGACTTCTCAACTCAGAATCTGGCCCCTATTCCCTGGCTATGAGCCATCTCAGCTTCATGGGGCTGCATTTAGATGGGAGAGCTATAGACCCCGTGCATATGTTGCCAGTGGGTGAAAGCTGCGGGCTTCATCCCTGTGTATGGAAGAAGAGCTTAGACAGACAGATGGGTAGGCACACATTTTTACATCCCATACATATGGACTCTCAGTTCCTAAGACCTGAAAAATCACAGTTTCATAGTGAGTCACTTCCCCTCCCTTCCTCTCTGTTCACTTATCCCTATTCTCTCATTTCCTCTAATATTTGGCTTCCTCTCTATTCACTTCTCCCTATTCTCTCATTTCCTCTAAAGCTCTAAGCCTTGCACAGTGCGAGATCTGCCTAAGTGATGGTCATCCCTTCCAATCAATATGGTGGCTTCATCTCAATGGCAACCCCTGGAAACCCTGCCTTGGTGACCAAGGAGGAGCATACCAGGAGCAAATTATGAGCAAATTATGAGATCAGCTTGGTTCCTGGTTTCTTGATTCCTTGCTTCCTGTTGACCACGTGATAGGGAAAATCTCTGCTTTCTCTACTGCTGAGTTTCTCTGACACTCTAGTGGTGATCAAAACCGGCCCCAAATCTGATTCAGCAGGCTCATACAATGCCAGGTTGGTGAGATGAGCCCTCCCCTGAATCAACAGTCTCCCTTCTCTGTTCTCATGGAGCAAACAGAACGTGAGCCCCCCAAGGACGGAGCAACTCCTGGACCCCACTGGATCAACAAGGCTCATTCTTCTGGATCTCCGATGCCATGGTGCATTCTTTCAAAGGGCAGTTATAGAAACAAGCAGATCATTTCCCCAAAAAGGCCCATTCCTGTGTTTACCAATTGAAAAGTATGTCACTTAGGGTAAGCTTTCAGGACATAAGAATGGTCAGCAGTCTTGATGAGAACACATTTTATTGCAGTTAATTAAACATCATAAAAATGGATCAGTTTCACTGGCAGTTTAAATGAGTGAGATTCTTTCCAGAGTAGCTACGAAGGCTTTGGCAGATATTACCCCATTTAATTCTCACAGTAACCCCATGAGGAAGTTAATATCGCTGCCCTATTTTTCAGAGGTGGAGAAACTTGCCCAGGGACAGGCAGCTGGTAAGTGGCACAGTGAGGGTTTAAATCTAGCACTCTGCTTCCAAAGTGTGTACAGTTTCACTCACACCGCTTTGTCTCTGTGTCTTAGGCACTTGACTAAATCAAGAATGAGTCTCCTCTCTAGCCCAGGCCTAATTTTTCTATTCTTTGAAAATAAGCCAGAAATTTCAGATCATTATGAATACCTTCTATACAGGGCAGGGGCTGATCAATTGAAGTGTTATTCTGCTGCTTTTTTTGTTCTCTGCTCCAAACCAAAGATTATACAACACTCAGATATTATCTTTTGCTTGAGTGGTTTTTGCTCTCTGCTTTCAAGATGACTCTGGGTAGATCGAGATATCCCACTTGTTTGGAAATTAGACACAGGTGGTGTAGGACATTGCGTTTTCCCAAGTTGGCCTCAAAAGTATCTCCTACCCGTATGTTTTTCTTACCATGTGACCTAGATGCCCCCTTCCCTCCAGTAGTGGGGTCTACAACCCCCCTGCACTTCAAACCTGCATGGATCTTTGTAATTGCCCTAGCCAAGTATGGCAGGCTGTTGCCATGTGACTTCTTCACGTTATTTTCAGAGACAGAGTCTTACTCTGTTGCCCAGCCTGGTGTGAACATAGCTCACTGTAGCCTCAAAATCCTGGGCTCAAGCGATCCTCCTGCCTTAGCCTCCTGAGTAACTGGGACTACAGGTGGACACTGCTACACTTGGATAATTATTATTATTATTATTATTTTGCAGAGGTCCTGCTATGGTCCTGCTATGTTACCCAAGGTGGTCTTGAACTCCTGGCCTCAAGCCATCCTCCTGCCTCGGCCTCCCAAAGTGCCAAGATTATAGGCATGAGCCACTGCACACCCAGCCTGCCGTGTGACATCTGAGGCTAGATTATAAGAATGCTATGAGCTTCCACCTGGCTTTCATGGACAGGATGCTAACTCTTGGAACTCACCTGCCATGTCGTGAGGAAGTCCAAATCATCCCACATGGAGAGGCCTGTGAAGGTGCTCTAGCTCACAGCCCAGCTGAGGTCCTGGCTGACAGCCTGCATCATCTGCCAGGTATGAGTGAAGATGCTTCCAGATGATTCTAGCTCCCACTCTCAACTTGGATTCTTCCCAGCAGAGGCTCCAGAAATCATAGAGCAGAGATCGCCTCTCCCTACTCTGCTTTGTCCAAGTTCTGGGCTATAAAATCTATGAGCATGGTAGCATGATTGTTTTACACCAGAAAGTTTTGGGGTAGTTTGTGACATAGCAACTGGTACAGAAATTATTTGCTAACAAGCAGGCATCTCTCTCAAGGGGGAAAGTCTTCTGGTTATCTTTGCACCCTTTTCTGGGGCAAATATGATTGGTAGGGATGATGCCCATCATAGCACCATTGCTTCATCAGAGGCCGTTTGGATCAATGAGCCCTTCCGTGTTCTTTAGTCACAATATGTTAATATATCTTACTTGTCCATTTCCCACTGACTAGAATATCAGTTCCCTATGATAAGTTTTTTCCCCTATTTTGTTTGTTCCTATATCCCCCAAACCCAAACTAGTACAGGTGCTCCTCACCTTATGATGGGGTTACCTCCCAATAAACCCGCCATAAAGTTGAAAAATCCTAAGTTGAACCATCTTAAGTTGAGGACCATCTGTGCTTGGTAGTTGCTCAATAAATAATTGTTGCAATAAAAAATTGTCGGATGAATGGTTATGAAACAAACATCTAGTGGGCAAAAGTTTTGATACTGATTTCTGGAGAGAATTTTGCTAACATTACCATGTTCTAGTTGTTATGATAATGTAAAATTACTTTCTGGATAAGGACAAGTTCACATTGTGGTGGTAATTTCTGGAGAATAATTGTTAAACGTTCCCACTTTTTCTTGAAATAACACAAAAGAATCATTAGGAAAGGTATAATGAGTGTTAGGGACACGTCAGGTCCATACTCAGGAGCTTGTTCAAGGAATTGGTACCTGGACACTCTCTAAAAGGATTTGATATCAGTCAACAAGGAAGAAGTGATTCGAGTAAACCTTCCTTTGTTGCCTGGCATATGCTGGGTATCATAGGGACCACAAAAAATGTAAGATGTAGATGCTGTCTTCAAACTGTGTTGAGTCTAGCTGGGGAGACATAAGATTGGAATCTATATACAGATAGCCCAGTAAGGCAAGCTAGGTCCAGTGGTGAAACTGATAGGGTTTCACCAGCTGAGGTCCCCAAGGGTGAGAGAATGTCAAAGAAGACTTCCTGGAGGAGGCAAGTTAAAGGGGATTATGGGTTGGGCAGGTGGACAGCTTCCTGATCCACTAATCAGAGGAACACTGAAACCACAGGGATCCATCAGAAATCTGCTGCCTGTTAACTCAGGTTTCCACCTGCAGCTTCTCACATAGCTGGTGGAAATGAAATTGGTGTCCCTTTTGCCAAAATAGACAATGCCCCTAAGTAGAAAGAAAAGCTACTCCTCCCCAGCACCAGCCTACCTCTGTGGGGGTATTTCTGCAATGTGCATTGCAAGTTGCTGCATCCACTGGCCAGTCTGGCTCTGAGATCAGCCAGCTGGCAGCCTCTGCAGTGGGCATGGCTGGGCAGCCTGAATTCTGAAACCAATTAATGCACTGCAAAGGACGGTTTACCAAGAAGGTATCTGCAAGCCTTAAAAAATATCTCCTAAAAAGTTGTCCACTTGTAGTCCCAGCTACTCGGGAGGCTGAGACTGGAGGATTGCTTGAGGCTATGAGTTTGAGGCTGTGGTGAGCTATGATTGCATCAATGCATACCAGCCTGGGCAACCAAGTGAAACACCGTTGCTGTAACCACAAGCGCCTGAAAACAAGCAATAAATATATCTAGAATAAGACTTGTTATTGCTTCTGCAGTAATTTCTGCTATTTACAAATGAGGGAGAGTGGGTGAGCAATGCTTTCCAGTTATGAGTCAGGGAAGAATCAGGAAAGACAATTCCAAAATCAGTTAGAGTCCTGTTGGTGCGTGTAATACATCTCCACTTTGAACATGAAGAAAGGGGGTTACGATTTGTATTAATGTGAAAATGGCTTCTTGCCATCCTCACTCAGTTGAAATGAGACATATTTGACTATCAATTTGGAAGACTGCCAAATTTTTAGCCTGCCCCAGGCATCCAAGTGTTTCTGATCCGTCCTCTAAGCAGGACTTGTGCCAGGCCACACAATCCTGTTGGTGATATAAGACTAAGAATTCATGTGGAATAACCTCGAAATGCCCCAAAGGCCATGAGTAGCTCCTGGAGTGAGGATAGCTCAGGGTAACCACAACTGGAGGAGCGGGTGTCAACGGAAGCCCAAAGGTACCAGCTTAGTGTCTCTGAACCATGACATTCCTGGCTGTTCCCTCCTTGACCAATTCTGTTCCATTCTGCAGATAAATATCTTTCTGAATGCAGCCTTGAGTGGAGCTGATCCTGCTGGTACCAGTAGCCTCAGCAGGTGCCCGCAAATATCTGAGACTGGTATCTGCCTGGCCAGGGCATTCATGAATTCTTTGCCCAGAGCAGGTGCTCAAGTTCAGTGCTCGATGCTACGCCGCCACCTGGTGGCCGTATGTTGCAAGTCTCTGGAGCTGCCTGCGTGTAGAGAGCCACTCTCCCAGGGTTTACAGGGATATAATTTATCCTCCAAACAGGAACATCTGTTTAGATGCGACACTGGTTGCAAACTAGGTCTATGCCACGGGGACATACGGTGACTGTTTTGGAGTCTCCCAGTTACTGGGATATGCATTCCGCCATAGGCTGTCATGTGACAGAGGTGGGAACCGGGAAGCGCTGCTCTGAATGTTTGTCAGTGGCTCGATAGTCCTCTTGCTCCTCCAGGGCGAGGTGTCTGGGTTGTGTCATTTCCTTCTGAATCAGTGCTATATGATTTGCTAATGTGAGGCCTTGGGCAAGGTATTCAATAAGGCAGCACTTTCAGGTGTCTTCTAGAAGCAGTCTCTATTCTAAGGTAGAGCTTTACATATTACATATATTAACTCATAGAGTCTTCACCACAACTCTATGAGGTGGGAATTAGCATTAGCCCCATTTTACATTTGAGGAAGTGGAGGTCCAGAGAGGTTAAGTAACTTGCCTAATATCACACAGCTAGGGAAGGAAAGAGCCGAGAGTCAAACCCAGACTGTCTGGCCCCTGCGTTGGCACTCTTGGCCATCATATCTTCTGGGACTCAGTTTTCTCATCTATACATAGACTATGTTCTTTCCAACATGTACATACTTATGATAAAGTTTAATTTATAAGTTAGGCTCAGTAAGAGATGAAAAATAATGGAATTAAAATATACTATAATAAAAGTTATATCACTTTGGGAGGCCGAGGTGGGCGGATCACTTGAGTTCAGGAGTTTGAGACCAACCTGGCCAACATAGCAAAACCCCGTCTCTACTAAAAATAATTTAAAAAGCCAGGCGTGGTGGCACGAGCCTGTAATTCCAGCTCCTTGGGAGTCTGAGTTAGGAGAATCACCTGAACCCGGGAAGTGGAGGTTGCAGTGAGCCGAGATCACACCACGGCACTCTAGCCTGGGCGACAGAGGGAGTCTCCATCTCAAAAAAAAAAAAAAAAGTTATGTAAATGTGGTCGCTCCAAATACAGTGTACTCAACTTTTTTTTTTTTTTTTTTTTTTGAGACAGAATCTCGCTCTGTTGCCCAGGCTGGAGTGCAGTGGCGTGATCTCGGCTCACTGGGAGCCTCTGCCTCCCAGGTTCAAGCGATTCTCATGCCTCAACCTCCCAAGTAACTGGGATTACAGGCATATGCCACCACACCCGGCTAATTTTTGTGTTTTTAGTAAAGATGGTGTTTCGCCGTATTAGCCAGGCTGGTCTTGAATTCCTGACCTCAGGTGATCCACCTGCCTTGGCCTCCCAAAGTGCTGGGATTACAGGCATGAGCCACTGCGTCCGGCCAGCTATTTCTGGATTGTGGTGGACCACGGATAACTGAAATCACAGAAAGTGGAACCTCACGTCAGGGGGGACTCCTGAATACATTCAGATTGCTTACTACCTGTATACTTGTCTGCACTGAAAATTTTTCCGAGAATTGCTTGGGTACCTTGGGTTGGGATGGAATACATTTTTCCCATTTGCATTCATGAAAGTATATTTCTTTTTTAGACAAAGTCTCACTTTATCACCTAGGCTGGAATGCAGTGGCGCGATCTTGGCTCACTGCAACCTCTGCCTCCCAGGTTCAAGCAATTCACGTGCCTCAGCCTTCTGAGTAGCTGGAATTACAGGCGTGCGCCACCATGCCTGGCTAACTTGTGTATTTTTTGTAGAGACGAGGTTTTGCCATGTAGGCCAGGCTGGTCTCGAATTCCTGACTTTAAGTGATCTGCCTGCCTCGGTCTCCCAAAGTGCTGGGATTACAAGCGTGAGCCACTGTGCCTGGCCGCATTCATGAAAATATTTTTATTTAACAGCTTCTCACTTAGCAGCAGGGTTTCCAGTAACAAATCCATTAAGTGGGGGAACAGGTGGATACTTGTCCATCCACACATACAGACGTGAGACACCTAGGGTCCCTGCTGTGCACACACACGGACAAGATATGCAACTTTAGTCACTAAATCCTGGTGGATGTGACCCAAGCCACATGTCAACTTTTTGTTGACAGCAAAACAGCGACATTGAGGGATGTTTCTTAGACAGAAAGAGCAGACCCATCTCCATGCTGGGGTGTGTATGAGGATGGGGGTAGTGACCTCTGGGGCTGGGTGTTACAAAGGGAAGGCCAACCCTGCAGCCAGGAGAAGGGGAAGATCGCAGAGCCCCAGAGGTCAGATGCTGGGAGGAGCTCAGCTCCCAGGATCAGCAGATGCCTTGAGTGCAGGCTGTGGCTGGGGGCTGTGGGGCCTGGTGGGTGGATCCTGGGAGTGGCTGCTGTGGCCGTGGGAAGTTCCTGAGCTGGGTTCAGGTACTGGAGTCGGGAGAAGAAGGAAGGGCCAAGGCCACTCGCCTTTAGTCAGCCCAGAAGCAGCCCATGTGACCCTGTGATCCTTTTAGGTTTTCCTTCTGTGCTTTCTCTGGCGATCCAGGCTTTCCTCTCTGCCCACAGCCCTCCACAGACCACGTGGTGGTAGCCTGAGCCCCCAGACCTTGTGCTTTGGGCTGAGTCCTTCTTGTAGCTCTGGTCTTCCCTGAGGAGAAGGTTGCCCGGGAGTCGTACCTGGATTCTGGGGATGGATGTGATCTCAGCCAGGTCACCTTAGTTCTCTGGGCCTCAGTTTCCTCATCTGTGACACGTGGTCAGTCTCTTCCCTGCCCCTTCAGGCCTGTCATGAGGGTCGGGGGAAGGAGCTTGTGGAAGCCCCTTGATGGAGGGAGCTGCTGTAACCACCGTCTCCCAGCGCATGTAAGGCTATAGTTGTCAGCCAGGATCCAGAAGCCTCACCGCTGCCCTTCCTTCCTGCAGCATCGGCTGCCACCACCAGAATCTGGCGGCACCATGCGGCACTTGTCCTAGTCAGTTCTACCTTGGTGCTGAGCTATAAGCTTTTGTAAACATCTTCTTCCCTAGCCACCTCCCTGTTCTCACATGTCCTTCAAGACAGCATCTCCCCAGTGTAGACCAAGTGGGGCTCAGCACGGCCATGGTACAGATGGTTTAGGATGGCAGGAGGGGTTCTGCCTGCCACTCCCCACACAGCCCTCTTGTTGTCCCTCCTCCCTCGGCTCCCCTGTCCAGGCTCTGGGGATCGAGTGAGGGCCTGCCTGTCCTGCAGAGACCTTGCCAACCCACTCACCAGCTGGGTGTAGCAGAAGGTGGCATGGAAGCCCAGGAAGGTAGACAAGAAGGCGATGCCTAGTGCCAGGATGGTGAAGAACAGCAGCAGCACCGAGAGACTCTTCCAGGGCACCTGCAAAACCAGGGTGCAAAGCCTGCAAAAACTGGGCAGTTTTACAGGCCAGCCAGTCCCGGAATCAGTCTGCAGATTCTGACCAAGGAGATGGATAAAAGAAGGGAAGCTTTCTAGAAGGGGAGTGACCTGTCATCTAGTGAGCACCTGTTACGTGCTTATTTTAATCTTAGTTGCCTTATTAGATAGCTACTCTGATTAGCCCCATTTCACAGAGGATGAAACAGAGGTTCAGAAAAATTGAGGTACTTGTCCAAAGCCACACAGCTGGTATGTGAAAGCTGGGATTCAGACCCATCCAATTCCAAGACCCATGTGGTCAACCATTCAGACTGACACCCATCAGCAAAAAAGTACAGAAAGGTCAAGTAAGAAAATACATGGAAAAGCATGTATTTGGCAGTAAGCTACTGGCGGCTGCCCTGAGAGGGCTTGAGGTCTGTAGAGACGGGAGAGGAGGAGATGGAGTCCGTAGGAGATTGTTGCTGTGAAAGGGAAGAGAGGGGAGACCACAGTCAGAGAGGGACACGGGGTCTCCGGGACTTGAGTTTCTGGACCAGAGGAGAGGGAGAGGCATGGATGGAGGAGAGAGCAGCTAGGGAAGGTGAACACAGTGGACTAGGGTCGTGGGGGCCTAGGAGGAATGATTTGTCCTCTACTGATAAGGAAAGCACAGAGAGGGGCTGGGTGAAGATCAGTTTCACGTGAGGTCACGGGCAGGAAGTTGAGTCTTGGGGCCGTTCAGGGACCCCAGGCTACAGGGGAAGGTCGGGGATTCTGGGGCAGCTGGGTCACTGAAGTGGTCAAAGTGTGGGCAGCAGTGGGCAGTGTGTCCCTCGCCCCTGCATGGTGTGTCAGACCCACCTGAAGAGAGTGTTTCTCCTTTCCTCTCTTTCCCTAGGATGAGAGCAGAGGAAACTCCTCCCCCAGTATTCCCAGCCCCATTTTTGCCACGTCCAGGTCCCTGGTAGCAATCTCATGACATAATCACATGTCTTTGAAAAGATGTGACCTCAATGGCCACAGCCAGAAGGCAGGACTCACTGATAAATCTTAGGTATTATTATGCTGGCAGTCCTCCTAATGCACCCTTGACCTCTATGCTCTTACAGGGGAACGTCCTTGGTAGGAGGCAAGCAGCTGGAATATCTTCCTCCAAGCAAATGATTATTATTTTTTTTAAGAAACAGGGGCTCACTCTGTTACCCAGGCTGGAGTGCAGTGGCATGATTATAACTCACCGCAGCCTTGAACTCATGGGCTCAAGCAATCCTCCCACTTCAGCCTTCCAAGTAGCTGGGACTACAGGCCTGCACCAACATACCTGGCTAATTTTTTTCAAAAAAATATTTTTGGTTGAGAGTGGGCCTCACCATGTTTCTCAGGCTAGTCTCAAACTCCTGGGTTCAAGCGATCCTCCCGCCTTGGCCTCCTAAAGAGCCACCACATCAGCATTAACACAGGAAAAACTAGTCCAGAGGGAAGTACCTGGGGCTGTCAAATCCTGGTGGAGTTCTGCCTCAGGGAATCTGGAGGTAATTGCTAAACACTTAAACCCTACTCCCAAAAGCTGGGTGTCATGGTACCTGCCTGGAGTCCCAGCCACTCAGGAGGCTTAGGCAGGAGAATCGCTGGAGCCCAGGAGTTTGAGGACAGCATGAGCAAGTTAGCGAGGCTCTGTCTGTATTTAAAGAAAAAAAAAATCCCACTCCCCATTTTAACTTTGACAATAGAGGATAAGAAAATATCTCTTGGTGGTGGTTTCTAGGATTAAATGGTGCCCAAAGAGTGGATGCTTATTCTCTGGGCCTGAGACACTGATCTGGGTATAGTTGTTGCTGGCAGCCAGCTCAACCATGAAGGCACACACCCCGAGGCTGGCACACAGTGAGCTGACCAGGTTTGGCCCTGTGCTGACCTTCACCTGCTAAGGAGACCGGAGCCCGAGTTACTACCCAGCGGGAAGGGGAGAGTGCTGGCTCACATGCCCTCTGTGTTGCGGGCTTCCTTTGCACGCTTTTGATCCTGGAGGAACCACTGACTTGCCCTAGGAGCCAGGAACCAGTGACCAAGGTGACAGCATCTCTGCTCCACCTGCTGGAGCCCATGGGCCACAGAGGCTATGTCAGCCTTAATAGCCAGGAGATGGATTTGTTGCAGGAGCACAGACAGCAACATGTGTGGCCACTTCTTCCTGCAAAGTCCATGGCAGACAACATCCATCAATCCTCAGAACCCACCAGGGCCGCATCGATAGAAAAGCTATTTGCCATCTTTTGTGGGTTGAATTGTATCCCCCCAAAAGATATGTTGAAGTCTTAACCCTGGTACCTGTGAATGGGATCTATTTGGAAATAGGGTCTTTGCAGATGTAATCGAGTTAAGATGAGGTCATAATGGATTATGACTGGTGTCCTTAGAAGAAGGGAAGGGACACAGGGAGAACAGCCCCTGATGACAGAGGCAGAGACTGGCAGGATGTGTCTACGAGCCAAGGAACACCAAGAGTTGCCAGCAACCACTGGAAGCTGGGACGAGGCCAGAAAGCATTATCCCCAAGAGCCTTCAGAGAGAACTCGATCCTGCCAGCACCTTGACTTTGGGCTTCCAGCCTCCAGAATCATAGACTACAGGTTTCTGTTTTCTTTCTTTTTTTTTTTTTTCTTGAGATGGAGTCTCACTCTTGCCCAGGCACGATCTAAGCTTACTGCAACCTCTGCCTCCTGGGCTTAAGCAATTCTCCTGCCTCAGTCTCCCGAGTAGCTGGGATTACAGGCAACTGCCACCACGCCTGGCTAATTTTTGTATTTTTAGTAGAGGCGGGGTTTCATCATGTTGGCCAGGCTGGTCTCGAACTCCTGACCTCAAGTGATCCGCCTGCCTCGGCCTCCCAAAGTGCTGGGATTACAGGCATGAGCTACCAGGCCCGGCCATGTTTCTGTTGTTTTAAGCTACCTGGTGTGTGGTAATTGGTTACAGCAGCCCTAGGATTCTAGTTTCCTAGGTTCAAAACAGACGGCTCTGGTGGGGATGGAGTCCCCTTTCTGGAGGTCGAACCAGGAGGTCCAGCAAGTTTAATGCCATTTGGGTCTGCATGCAACCTATCCGATTAGGGGTGACTTGCTGAGGTCCAGGCTGTATTAAAGGCATGGAGGAGCTGTGGTAAAGGAGAGGAGACTAGAAACAGACTCAAATTAGATACAGGAAGCTTCTATAGGACAGGAGGATGGTCAGGAGCTCAGACCTGCCAGTGAGTAGGATTGCGGACAAAGGCCCACTCCCTACTCGCCCACCATCCTGTGGAAAGGCCCCACAAGCATCCACTTTCATATAAGGTCTTCCAGGATAAGCTGTGCCCAGAGGCAGAAGAAATGTCTATGAAACTCACCCGGGGAACTGTGCAGTTTGCTGAGATGACCAGGGTGGTTGCTCCTGAAACTAAGAACTGCACAGAGAGGCAGGGAGATTGATGGTCTCAGGGAGCCCAGAGGCACCTGCCTCCTGGAAACCCTAATGCAGGGAAGGTTTGCCATGAGCATTTATGGCTTGGCACAGTGGGCCATGTACCAAGTGTCATGCGCGTCCGTGTGAAGAGAGTCCATCAAACAGGCTTTGTGTGAGCAACAAGGCTGTTTATTTCACCCAGGTGCAGGTGGGCTGAGTCCGAAAAAGGAGTCAGTAAAGGGTGGTGGGATTATCATTAGTTCTTACAGGTTTGGGATAGGCGAACAAAGTACCTTCTTAAGGGTACTTTGAATATTACAAAGTACCTTCTTAAGGGTACTTTGAATATTACAAAGTACCTTCTTAAGGGTACTTTGAATATTACAAAGTACCTTCTTAAGGGTACTTTGAATATTACAAAGTACCTTCTTAAGGGTACTTTGAATATTACAAAGTGGTACTTTGAATATTACAAAGTACCTTCTTAAGGGCAGGGGAGAATATATTGTGTCAGTTAGGGTGGGGCAGGAACAAATCACAATGGTGGAATGTCATCAGTTAAGACTATTTTCACTTCTTTTGTGGATCTTCAGTTGCTTCAGGCCATCTGGATGTATACATGCAGGTCACAGGGAAAATGATGGCTTAGCTTGGGCTCAGAGGCCTGACAACAGGGAGTAATGGGGCTTATGGGAACAGAGAAAGGCATCTAGTCCTCCCCACTGGGCTCTGCATAGGTTGGTGAGATAGGATTTTAGAAGGGGGCCACTAAAGATTCCTAGGTACCTGCCGGGCATGGTGGCTCATGCCTGTAATCCCAGCACATTGGGAGGCCAAGGCAGGCAGATCACCTGAGGTCAGGAGTTTAAGACCAGCCTGGCCAACGTGGCGAAACCCTGTCTCTACTAAAAATACAAAAATTAGCCGGGAATGCCCGAAAGATTCCTAGGTAACTGGTCCAGTACTTTTCAAACTTGACAGAGGACATGAGCGCCTAGGGATCTTGTTAAGCTGCAGACTGACTCAGCCCGTGTACGGTGGGGCTTAAATTCTGCATTTATTTATTTATTTATTTATTTATTTTTATTTTTAATTTTTTTTTTGAGATGGAGTCTCCCTCTTGCTCTGTCGCCAGGCTGGAGTGCAGTGGCGCAATCTCGTCTCACTGCAACCTCTGCCTCCCAGGTTCAAGCGATTCTCCTGCCTCAGCCTCCTAAGTAGCTGAGACTACAGGTCTGTGTCACCATGCCCAGCTAATTTTTATATTTTTAGTAGAGATGGAGTTTCTCCATGTTGGCCAGGATGGTCTTGATCTCTTGACCTCGTGATCCTGCCCGCCTCGGCCTGCCAAAGTGCTGGGATTACAGGCGTGAGTCACCATGCCTGGCCTGCATTTTTTTTTTTAAGAGACAGGGTCTTGCTCTCTGGCCCAGGCTGGAATGCAGTGGCACCATCATAGCTCACTGCAGCCTCCAACTCCTGGGCTCAAGTGAACCTCCTGCCTCAGCCTCCTGAGTAGCTGGGACTACAGGTATGTACCACCATACCCAGCTAGTTTTCCTTTTTAATTTTTTTTTCCTTTTTTATATCTTGTTGCATATCAACATTTTTTATTTTTAGTAGAGACAAGGTCGTGCTATGTTGCTCAGGTGTTCTCAAACTCCTTGCCTCAAGAGATCCTCCCCTCAGCCTCCCAAAGCTCTGGGATTGCAGGCTTGAGCCACTGGAGCTGGCCTGAGACTCTGCATTTCTAACAAGCTCCCAGGTGATGCCAAAGATGCTGGTCTCTGGCCCATGCTTGGAGGTGGGAGGGACTAGTCTCTCATTTTGAAGATGGAGAAACTAAGACTGAGAGAAGGAGGCAACCTGCCTAAGTCACAGGGCTGCTAAGTGATAGATCTGGATCTAGAAATCAAGTCCCAGGGGCTTTTGTTTCATTGTAGTGGCTGAGCGCCTTGACTTGAGTGTTACCCTCGGGGTAAGTCCCCAGGGACACCACCTTTCTCCTTCCTCGGCTGCATATATTGGGGCAGAGGCCCTTTGCCACGACTCCCCCCACCACACGCTGTGAACCAGCTTCAGCTCTTTAGCTGGCCGCCTCAACAGCCCAGTGCCTCCCCTGGGCCATCCAATCCCATGTGGGGTGGGCCTGGAACTTCCCCTCGAGCTCAGAACAGTTCCACCCCCTGCAGCTTCACTCCCACTTCACAGACTCAAACTCCCTCCCAAGGGTGCAGGGAGGATCTGCAGTCCTGGTCTTTGCAGTCCTCTCTGTCTCTGGGCCACCACCAAGTGGGATCTCCAGGGTCCTCAGGAGCACTCCTCCTGCCAGCGGGTACAAGTAAGTGGTGGGGAACTCGGTGGAGCTCGAGGAGGCAGCCAGGATGCGGCCCGCCCCCCAACCTGCCAGCCACCAGTTGCCAGCAGCTGATAATGATCTGCAGGGCCTGGGGGTGGAGGGGGGAGGGCGCAGAGCTAAAGCCTTGGGCTTTCGGGGTTGGGGCTGTGTCTCCCAGGACTTGAGTGGCTGGGCAGGTCTCTGTGCACATGTCTCTGCCGAAAAGGATCTTAGACAAACTCCCCATCCACCTCCTTCCTTGGCAGCCAAGAAAACAGAGGCCTGGAGAGAATAAGAACCTTGCCAACTTCCCCAGCCAGTGAGGGCAGGCGCAGAACCAGGCCTCTTCGTCCCAGGGGCACCGCAGGATTGCAGAACCCTAGAAAGCTTGGGTGAGGGCCATCTCAGGCATCAAGCCCAACACATTGGTTACCTCCAAGGTGCTGGCCCTGAGTGCACCGAGCTTGCTCTGTGCACCAAGTCATTTAGCTCTCACCACACCCATGAATGGAGCAGCACCCTGCTCATGGCATTCTAGGGACGAAGCTGGGGTCTCAGAGTGGGATCGGAGCCTGCCTCTGCCCATGTTCCCTAAGCCTCCATACCGCACATGCAAGCCTGTCCTTCCAGGGCACAGGGTTGACTCAGCCTAGGCTGAAGCCCAGAAGTTTGCGATCATTTGTCTCAAATAGGCTTCTCTGACCTGAGAGCAGCACTTTGACCTCACCCTCAACACTCCACCTCTCTGTCACCCAAGAGGAGTAGCTTCTCCCAGCAGGCTCCGCTCCTCCCATCGTTTCGTGCTCAACGGCAAGGTAAAAGAGACCTCATTTTCAAAACTGGGACCCAGAGCCACACATGCAGAGAACGGAGGAGCTAGGATTCCAGTGCCTGGCTGGGCCCATACTCTCTGCTCAGCTGCCCACATTGACATCAGCGGGAGACAGGCACAGACTTCTGCCCACACGTGCTGGTCTCACCACTGACCAAGACCCAATCAGCTACAATGAGGAGAGCCTTGATGCAGGGGTGCGGCATCAGAAAAGGAAAGCTCCCGGTTCACCCCAGAGTTGCCTTAGAGCGATGGTACCCAGCTCCTGGGGCCTGGCAAGGGGGACATAGGTTTGCTCTCGTATCCTGGATTCAAGCAGTGCTTTCCAGGGCAGTGGCAGCCCCAGCCCTTTGCTGCTAATTTTCAGGGCTGGAGGCCAGGAAGGAAAACCCCAGCAGCTCTGTCTTGCCTCCCTGCTGCTCCACAGTCCCTCCACTGGTATGTACCCTTGGCCCCATAAATTCTACTGACTGCATCACTGTTGGGATTGGCAGTGGCTGCACAGGTCTGTGGAGACTGGGTGATCCACTTACTCCCAAGATGGTTGGCTGTCCCCGGAAAAAGAGCTTCTCTCTGCTGGGGTGGGCATTGCCCAGGGTCTCAGCCTACCAGGATGGCTCCTCTGGGCTCTGCCATGGCACCCCTGAGTTTTCAGAAGGAGGGAGCCTCACTAATTGCTGCTGCCCTGTCAGCTGGCTTCAGAAGGCAGGTGGGCTGTGGGCTGGGCTGCCTCATGTCTCCTGGAGGGAGCTGGAGCCTGGGTCTTGCTTTTGACATTTCAGACACCTGCAGCACACACAACTGGGGTCCCAGGATGAGGAAGAACATTCACAGGCAGATCCCCATTTCCTGGGTCTCAGTTTTCCCATCTGAAAAGTGAAGCTACGTCACCAGGAGGAGTGATTGGTAAAACATGAATTGTGTGTAATTCTTAGCAGCTAAAAGCAAAGGTCAGGATGTCCACAGAGAGCAACGTGGTGGCTCTTAGACACAGGCTGAGAGGGGGAAAAAAAGAACCAAAATGAGACAAAACAATACCATACACACAAGTTAAATATGTGTACACTAATATCCTGTAACACAACATGCATTAAAACGTGCTGAAGTTGTTACCTGGGGCTGGAAGGCTGTGGGGAATGGAGGTAAAAGGGAGTTAATGAGACAGAGGTAAGGGAAGAAGTTTGGACCTGGTGACAACCACTACAACCTCATGCTTACCAGCATGCATTTATAATGTGGTAAGCCCAATCTCCATTTCACTCTTATGCAAACTGAGGACCAGAGAGGTTAAGTAACTTGCTTGGATGACACGGTTAATAAATAGTGGAGCTGGGATCTAAATCCAAGACAGCTGGCTAGAAAACCTGGGTTTTTTTCCTGCTTTACGATACATCCCCACTTATCTCCCAGGCCATTCCCTTCTAGTCCGCCAGGCTAGTTAATAACACCACCAACTCCACAGCCTACACCTGTCTGTATGGCTTGTTACCACTTACCTGGAGTCTTCACACATGGTCCTGTGCTTAATTACTAAGCCTCCTGTGTGATGAGGCCTGGGAGCAACCCTCCAGTTGGCTCAGGTCAGACAGACTGTAAATAGTCGGGCCTATATTGGAACCCATGGCTTCTGACTCCTGTCCAGTGTTCATCCCACTGCCTCCCTAAGCAAAAGTGAGAGACATTAAAAGAAAAATAAAAAGCAACACAAAAACAAAAAACCGAAAACATGCCTCCAATTCTAAGCAAACCCAGGAACAGAGAGCTGGGAGGTCCCTGGGATCCTAAGGCCTGAAGCTCTTGACCTTCACCTGGTCATGGGGCTCTCTGTCCAGCAGCCTGGACACATCTTCACCTCTCCTGATATCACTCCTTCTCTGCCTCAACCTGTGCTCTCACTGCCCTCCAAACATGCTTCACTGAGGTCATTGCTGAGCCTTTGCACAAGGCGTGTCTATGCCCTGCAACCCATTCCTTTTCCTTCTTTCTCCACCTGGTGTTTCCCAATCTTGCTTGATCATAAGAATCATCTGAGCACTTGCTGAAAATACAGTGACTTGGGCCTCACGTTTGGCCTTCTGAATCAGACTCTCTAGGGCAGGGGCCTGGGAATCTCCACGTTTAACATACCCCAGGTGACCCTTTCGATCAGGCCAGTTTGCAGGATACTGGCCCATCCAAACCCTCCCATCCTTCAGGCCCTGGTGGGTTTCAGTGGTGCCTGTGAGGTCTTCTGGCTGCGTAGCCCTCTGTGTTGATGATACAACCCCACACCCAAGCAGGTTCGTTAACCTCCCTGAGCTTTCATTTGCTCATCTCAAAAAGGGGGCAGAGGAATCCCTATTCCATGGGATCTTGTGAGATTAAATGGGATACTACATGCAAAGTGCCCGTGCAGTTCCCAGCACGTGGAGGTGGCTGCATCCATGTTAGCTTTTTCTTTCCTGCCAGACACAAATCAGCTGCAGAAATAATGGACTAGGGCCCTCTTGAGGCTTAAAACTGTGCTCACCCCTTGGGTCCTATAGACCTGTCTCAAACAGCTTGAGATGAGTCCTCGAGATGAGGCCGTCTGAGATGCCCACCTGTCCTCTGTGGAAATATGGGTACACCTCTCTGAAAAGCCTGTGTGTTTCTTTTGTAAGTGGGTATCTGCTAATCCTGACATCTGTCCAGGGCCATGTCTGAACCTCGGCAGTGGATTGGTGGGGCTGGCATGCTGGGAAGGCACCCCGAGCCTCAGGCTCATGGCTTCATGGAGCCCGTTGCAAAAGCCCTGCTCCTCCTGGCAGGTCAGCCCTGTTGCCACTTTCTCACTACTCCCTTAACTCTTTCTGGATATTTTTGGAGGAGTTATTTTTCTAGACTTCTCTGTCACCTGTTTGGGCCATGACAGTGGGGTAGAGCAACCATCAGGAAAAGCTGGTGGGTGATGCTATTGTGGGGATAGAGACCCCTACAGGTGATAGAGTTGGCAGAAGGAACTGGGAACATTCCTGACCATTCAGCAGGAGTTGGCAGGAGACTGCCAGTAGATGGAGGACTGTCTGGAGAGGGAGGAGACCCGGCTGCTTCTACTAACGGTACTGTGTGACCTTGGCAAGTCCTTTCCTATCTCGGGCCCCCACTTCCTCATCTGTGAAATGGAAGCATTAGACCCGATCATGATCCCCAAAGTCATTTCTGATTCTGACATTCTTAGTTTCATGGTTGGGATCAACTATACATTTCTACTATAATTTTTAAAAATTTAAACAGAAAAATAGCATCCATTGTCCAAACATGTGTGACTTCTGTGTCTAATACTTCTGAGGTCCTGCCTGGGCTCTGCCGATATTACCATATAATCCACATTTTCGGCAAGGCTCGGGGTCTCACTTGAGTTACCCACGGATTGTGCTGCACGACAGCTGCACTGGAATTCCAGTAAGTGTGCTTCCTTATGACAAGCCGTTCGACTTTCTGATCCTCAGCTTCCTCTTCTGTGTAAAGGGGGTGGTATTGTCATGGCCAGTCCACTGTAGGTGCTGGATAAATTCCTGCTGTTTCCTTTCTGCCCATTCAAGTTGGGGAGCAGGAGCCTGAGCCCAGCCCCAGCCATGTGGCTGCTCTTTCCTTAAGGGTCCTCCCCAGACACAAGCCGAGAGGAGGGCAAAGTTAGCAGATTTTTTTTTTTAAGAGATGAGTCTTGTTATGTTGCCCAGGCTGGACTTGAACTCCTAGGCTCAAGGAAGGAATCCTCCCGCCACAGCCTCCTGGGTAACTGGGACTACAGGTGTGCACCACCACGCCCATACAGATGTTTTATTCCAACACATATTAAGTGCCAGGATTACAAAGTTAGAAAAATCCCCACTAGTCTCCCAGTCTAGCAGAATTAACACAAATAACAGAAACTGACCCCATTCAGCTTCAAAAGGAAAAGGTTGGCTAACCAAGGACATAGTCTAAGGAAATTAGTCCCCAAAGATGATTAATCAATGGGATGGAGGATCCAGAAGGGTGTCAGGACACAGCTGAGCACTGCCAGGAGAAACTGCCATGTGAGTGCCACATGTCCAGTGTGAGGACATGGACCAGTGTTTGGGGGGACCTAAAGGTTCTTCATTGATCAAGCTTCACAAAGAATAACAAGTTTTCGGGATCTCCTACCTGTGCCATCCTAGGAATAAAGGCAGGGAGATAAGCCCCAGTCTTTGACCTCCAAGAGAAACAATAACAGGTCTGAGGTTCAAGTCCTGGCTCTGCCACTAACATTCTGTGTGATAGGCCAGTTGCTGCCTTCCCCAGGTCTCAGTTTCTCCATCTGTAAAATGAGAGTGATGGGCTAGAATGACTGGTAGATTGCATCCACCTGTTAGGAGTCATGCTTGTATGATGCTGTGACTGTTCTGGTCTTCTAAGGGAAGGAGTTGGAAAGTTATTTTATTGATTTGAGTCTACTCATGTTTTCAAATAAAAACATCTAAGACTATCAATGTCCCTCAAAGAACTGCTTTAGCTGCATCCCACAGATTTGTATATGTTATATTTTCATTTTCTTTCAGCTTATTCATTTTGTAGATGTGGGAACTTATAGCCAGAGAGGAGAAGTTTCCCTTCCCATTGTACCTCCCCAACATCTCCCCCTCCATCCCCAAGGCCACACACAGTGGGCAAACGGCAGGGCAAAACACTTGACTGGCCGTCTCACTTCTACTCATTTATTTTTTTGGACAATATTTGATGAGAATTCCACTTTTAAAATATAGATTTTGACTATTTGAACAAACTGTTGAAATCAAGCATACTCAAAGGTACATTGTGTTCCAGATTTGACTATTGGAATCCATTAATGTGTTTACTTGGGATTTTTTTTTTTTTTTTTTTGGTTATTCTTTTTTATTTTTTTTTAATTTATTTTTTTATTGATAATTCTTGGGTGTTTCTCACAGAGGGGGATTTGGCAGGGTCATGGGACAATAGTGGAGGGAAGGTCAGCAGATAAACAAGTGAACAAAGGTCTCTGGTTTTCCTAGGCAGAGGACCCTGCGGCCTTCCGCAGTGTTTGTGTCCCTGATTACTTGAGATTAGGGAGTGGTGATGACTCTTAAGGAGCATGCTGCCTTCAAGCATCTGTTTAACAAAGCACATCTTGCACCACCCTTAATCCATTTAACCCTGAGTGGACACAGCACATGTTTCAGAGAGCACAGGGTTGGGGGTAAGGTCACAGATCAACAGGATCCCAAGGCAGAAGAATTTTTCTTAGTGCAGAACAAAATGAAAAGTCTCCCATGTCTACTTCTTTCTACACAGACATGGCAACCATCCGATTTCTCAACCTTTTCCCCACCTTTCCCGCCTTTCTATTCCACAAAGCCGCCATTGTCATCCTGGCCCGTTCTCAATGAGCTGTTGGGCACACCTCCCAGACGGGGTGGTGGCCGGGCAGAGGGGCTCCTCTTTTCCCAGTAGGGGCGGCCGGGCAGAGGCGCCCCTCACCTCCCGGACGGGGCGGCTGGCCGGGCAGAGGGGCTCTTCACTTCCCAGTAGGGGCCGCCGGGCAGAGGCGCCCCTCACCTCCCAGACGGGGCGGCTGGCCGGGCGGGGGGCTGACCCCCCCACCTCCCTCCCGGACGGGGCGGCTGGCCGGGTGGGGGGCTGACCCCCCCACCTCCCTCCCGGACGGGGCGGCTGGCCGGGCGGGGGGCTGACCCCCCCACCTCCCTCCCGGACGGGGCGGCTGGCTGGGCGGGGGGGCTGACCCTCCCACCTCCCTCCCGGACGGGGTGGCTGGCCGGGCTGAGGGGCTCCTCACTTCCCAGTAGGGGCGGCCGGGCAGAGGCGCCCCTCACCTCCCGGACGGGGCGGCTGGCCGGGCGGGGGGCTGACGCCCCCCACCTCCCTCCCAGACAGGGTGGCTGCCGGGCAGAGACGCTCCTCACTTCCCAGATGGGGTGGCTGCTGGGCGGAGAGGCTCCTCACTTCTCAGACGGGGCAGCTGCCGGGCAGAGGGGCTCCTCACTTCTCAGACGGGGTGGTTGCCAGGCAGAGGGTCTCCTCACTTCTCAGACGGGGCGGCCGGGCAGAGACGCTCCTCACCTCCCAGACGGGGTTGCGGCCGGGCAGAGGTGCTCCTCACATCCCAGATGGGGCGGCAGGGCAGAGGCGCTCCCCACATCTCAGACGATGGGCGGCCGGGCAGAGACGCTCCTCACTTCCTAGATGTGATGGCGGCTGGGAAGAGGCGCTCCTCACTTCCTAGATGGGATGGCGGCTGGGCGGAAACACTCCTCACTTTCCAGACTGGGCAGCCAGGCAGAGGGGCTCCTCACATCCCAGACGATGGGCAGCCAGGCAGAGACACTCCTCACTTCCCAGACGGGGTGGCGGCCGGGCAGAGGCTGCAATCTTGGCACTTTGGGAGGCCAAGGCAGGTGGCTGGGAGGTGTAGGTTGTAGCGAGCCGAGATCACGCCACTGCACTCCAGCCTGGGCACCATTGAGCACTGAGTGAACGAGACTCCGTCTGCAATCCCGGCACCTCGGGAGGCCGAGGCTGGCGGATCACTCGCAGTTAGGGGATGGAGACCCGCCCGGCCAACACAGCGAAACCCCGTCTCCACCAAAACCAGTCAGGCGTGGCGGCGCGTGCCTGCAATCACAGGCACTCGGCAGGCTGAGTCAGGAGAATCAGGCAGGGAGGTTGCGGTGAGCCGAGATGGCAGCAGTACAGTCCAGCTTCGGCTCGGCATCAGAGGGAGACCGTGGAAAGAGAGGGAGACCGTGGGGAGAGGCAGAGGGAGAGGGAGAGGGAGAGCTAAAGCCTATCAATAGCTAAATATGTCAAAAAAACATTCTGGCCTTTGTTTGGTGAGAATTCATGTCACGGTAGGAGGAAATCTGAAAGTTAGGAATCAAAGTTTGCATGCATTTTAAGGGTGTGCTACTGATATGCACAGGGAGTGGGTTTGCTAATGCCATCCCAGCCACTGATGCAGCTGGACTGGGTACTTGGGATGTTTGTTCATCCCATATCTGCTGTCTTTGACTTAAAATTTCTCCTGCCAACTATGTTTTATGGAATAGCACTGCAAGATTGTCAGACAAGCTGGTAAAAACTATTATCATTTGCAACTACTTGTCTTTTTGATTTAGGCCTTTGCTGACACTATGCAATCAGATCAAATTCAGAAGAGGATGAGTGGATGCAGCTACTACACTCCTTGGTTTCAAATTTTGTGCTAATTGAAACTGCCTCATTGCTCTCATTGATTTTCTTTGTAACAGATAAATGCTATTAAATTGAATTGCAAAATATATAATAAAATACCACCATTACTTGCATTACCTACCATAAGATTTTGCTTTTATAAAGTTCTGCCACTACAAAAATTATCTGGGCGAGGTGGTGGGCACCTGTAATCCCAGCTACTCGGGAGGCTGAGGCAGGAGAATTGCTGGAACCTGGGAGGCAGAGGTCACAGTGAGCCGAGATCATGCCACTGCACTCCAGCCTGGGTGACAGAGCAAGACTCCATCTCAGGAAAAAAAAAAAAGTTTTGCCGCTAAACATTGAAGACTCTTGCCTAATTTTTCTGCCTTTCCAGATGCTGACACAGCTGCAGTGCTTCTTGGTCACTGTGTACCCACAGATGCTTGGGGTGGCATGCATGCAGCCTGAGGGATAGTTCCAGTTCTTCCTTTTAGTCACCTTCTAATTCTCAGGCTGGTCATTTCCATCAGCCTCAGCTTCCTTGGCTGCATAAAGAGGAAGTAGACTACAGTAACTTCAGCTGATGCCTGAAGTACCTGCTGGCTGGGACAGTCTAGGACTCTTTAAGTTGGAGCTCAGGGCATTAATGCACAGGGTGGTGTTAATGCTGTGAAGGTAGCTGATGATAGGAGACAGCTAGATGGAGCAGGAATGGAGAGGCTGGTCTTCACAGAGGCAGAGGGAAGAATTTGCAGGTGATTTGAGCAGCTAGTGTACTGCCATCTAGGTCACTGTTATGGTTTGGGTTATGTTATGGTTGGGTCACTGTTATGAGATATGGGTGTCCCCACCCATATCTCATATTGAATTGTAGTTCCCATAATCCTCACGTGTCATGGGAGGGAGCAGTTGGAGATAATTGAATCATGGGGGTGGGGGAGGTTTCCCTCTTCCTATTCTCGTGATAGTGAGTTCTCATGAGATCTGATGGTTTTATAAGGGGCTTTTCCCCCTTTTGTAATGGACTTCACTCTTGCCTGCCACCATGTAAGACGTGACTTTGCTCCTCCTTTGCCTTCTACCACAATTGTGAGGCCTCTCCAACCATGTGGAACTGTGAGTCTTTTTCTTTATATTAAACCTCTTTTTCTTTATAAATTACCCAGTCTCTCGTATGTCTTTATTAACAGCGTGAGAACAGACTATTACAGTCACCATGTTAGGGTCTGTGCTGCACATTCTCCAGGTGTCCCTCCAGGATCACTCTCCCTACTTCTCCATCCTCCCTATGCCCAGGACTGGAGGTGGATGATGCATATAAATTGCATCATCCTCCCCTCTCCTTTTTTTCAGCCAGGGTCTCATTATGTTGCCTAGCTGGAGTGCAGTGACTATTCACAGGTGTGATCATAGTGCACTGCAGCCTCCACCTCCTGGGCTCAAGCAGTCCTCTCACCTCAGCCTCCAGAATAGCTGGCACTATAGGTGTGCTCCACCACATCCGGCCCCTACCTTCTTAATTTCTATCAATTCTATGCACCCCCTAACTAAGGGCACCCCCCTGGCCCATGCTACAGTAAAAATAGAGAAGGGTAAATCTCTACCCCATGTCTTGGTGCATGTTCAGATGGGGATGCCCAGTGACCAGAGAGGACAGCGAGATGGCTGGAGTGTTCCAAGAGCACTGGTATGGAGGAAGCCAGGAAGGAGAGAGTTTCAAGGAGAATTAAGATGTTAATTTGGAAATTCAGTTACGTGGTCAACAATACTTTGCCATTCTTTGGGGATTCTAATTCATACCCAGACCATGACAGAGATTTGGTGAGAGCTGTGGCCATTGCCAGTTCCACCCAACGTGTTGTTTCTCCAAGATTATGTGCAAAGGCGTGGTGGAGAAAATCTTAATTCAGTTTAACTGGCCAAGCCCTTAATTTGTGTTTTATTATAAAAGACAATAGAAGATGTCACTGTGCTGAAGGAGCTTGTGGTTGAGTAGGGAAGATATGCATACACCAAAGGGCAATTGTCTGTGGTCCTTGGAATTTGACCTTTCTGCTTCTTGGGTCTTGCCCATTTATTTTTTTATTTTTTGGAACTAAGGGACAAGCCCTTTCTAGTTGATGGCCACTCACTGTTGTCTTGCACCCACTTTATAACTCATTTATGCCACTAATCTGAGCCCTGAAGGGCTGTGAGTGTAAAAGCCTTAAAACTGGATGGTAAAAAAGCTGGGCGTGGTGGCTCATGCCTGTAATCTCAGCTACTCGGGAGACTGAGGAGGGAGAATCACTTGACCTAGGAGGTGGAAGTTGCAGTGAGCCGAGATTGCGCCATTGCACTCCAGCCTGGGGGACAGAGCGAGACTCCATCTCAAAACAAACTAACAACAAAAACCTGGACAGCACACATGACAGCCAGGCCACAACAAGGCACCACACACACAACAAGGTGTGTATTGAGGATAAGAAGGAAGGATGAGGAGGGGGATGGGGCGGGATGGGGGCTTCCAGATTTCCAAGCAGAAGAACCAGACAGAGGGGAGTGGAGACCTAGGACATTTGGAGGTGGCGGTGCGGGGTGGATGCCAGGTTTTGGGTGTGGCTGGAGCAAGAGATTTCTGAAAAGGAGAGGAGGCTGGTGGGGTTCTCTACTGGCTGCAGAGGCCACTACTGAAGGTACACATGGATAATACACATGCTCTTCCAGGCTTTTCTCTTTGCCCCACCCAGAAAGCAGCCATGCCTCTGGGGCAGGTGGGTTGGCTGCATCGCGTACGGCTCTCTGGACTCACAGGGGAGTCAGACTCCGAGATAAATGAGGCTGCCGAGGAGCCCTGGCTCCCTTCTTCCTTCCCTTCCTCTCTTCAGAGCCCGCGAAGCCACATTCTCCCACAGATGGGGGGTAGGGGATCTGTTGTTCTCTGGGAGCTCCTCTTGGAGGAGTCTTGCAGGATTTTTGGTGGCAATGAGGCCTGGGGAAGAAAGTGAGTGGAGGCAGCCACGTGGATATCCAAGGAAGCCGTGTCCTGGGAAGGCCTGGTGGGTGGTGGGGGCAGGCAGGCAGAGGCTGTGGCTCACCGAGGGGCAGAGCATGTGGGGTTGGGAGTGGGAGGACCGTGTTGCCCTGCCGCACCCATGGGCCAGAGACCTCGCACAGCCCCCTTGGGCTCAGGCATTTGCTTCCTCCTCTAGCACAAAAGTAACAGGCCATAATCAGCTCACAGACAGGGCCTGCTCCCTTCGCAATGGGAGTTTCCCCGAGCATTGCCCTGGAGTCAGGAGCAGGTGCCAGGAAGTCTCTGCGGCAAAGAAACATCCGCCTTTCCTGCTCGTTGGAGGGGCAGAGGCCAGGAGAAAAATCAGCTGTGCTTTTTTTCACCTTTGTGCTCCAGCCTCTAGGCTCACTGCCTCCCCTTCCTGGAGAGAACAGAGAAATCTGTCAAGGTCTGAGGTCTAGGTTTTTCTTGTCTGAGTGAGTGAGGAGACAACTGGGGAGGTAATGTCATCTTTGAGTCTCAAGGGCTGCCCTACTTATGTTTCCAAGGTAGGTATTCTGGGGAAGATTTGGCCCATCAAAAAAATAAAATGGAGTTGTCTGAAGGGGGCTGAGGGAGAAGAGAAGACAGATGGGAGCTTGGCTAGGAAATACAGACTGGCCCTTTCTAGGGGAGGTGGGAGGCCTGGAAACCTGAGGGGTGGTGGGTGCGGGTTCACAAATGGTGGCGCGCAGGGATGGATCACTCTGCACCCGGACTCCAGGGCAGTGGGGAGGGGCTCACTGGCAGGCCCAGCCCACCCCACCCTGAGGGTGTGAGGGGCATACCCAGGGTGGTCAGCAGCATTGTGTAGCCAAAAGGGCAACAGAGCCCACCATGGATGTGGTCCTTCCTCCTCCCCACTATTATAAGGACAAAGCCCTGGAGTTTCCGTAGAACCCATTGGAGCCAGGCAGAACGCAACAATGACTGAGAAAAGCAGGCGGGTGGGGTTCACAGCCAGGTTTCGCTCAGTTAAGAAAGGTAGAGACATGGAAGGTTTATTTGCCTGTGGTGCCCTTTTAATTCCATGGTGGAGCGTCATGTGCCTCAGCCCATGGTTTCCGTGTGAAATCATCCTGAGAAGGCGGGGAAGTTACTTTATTTGATAGGTGCCTGACAACATTGCTCTGAATAAAGAGGGTGATGATGCAGCGGGACACACACACCTCCCACGCATACACAGGCGCACACCCATGCACACGCCACTCCTGTGTACAGGCACAGACACTCGCACACACTCTTGGGCTGTCTTCTCTCATCTTGGAATCATCCTCACCCCCATGGCTTCTCTTGCTTCCCATGACCACACCTCCCTCTGTCACTAGTTTTTTCTCGGCCCTCTCTTCCCTCCGTCCCTCACCTTCCTGCATCCTTTTGTAGCCAGGCTGGCTCCTCACCTCGTGTGGACTGGCTTGGCTTTGATGGCCAGGGAGGCTTCATGCAGACAGGTCCTTTGTGTGGCCCTGTGTGAGCCCCCTCACCTGGGCAAGTCCCTTACAGCCCTGACCCAGCTCTACCACTCACCTGCTGTGCCACCTTAGGCAAGGCACTTGACCTCTCTGAGGGCGAGAACTGCTGGCCAGAGCAGGGCAGGGGACTCACTGTGGGAAAGGTGAAGGGCAGGATTAAACGGGCAAGAAGTTCCTCAAATACTGGAGCCTGGAGTGTGGTTTGCACAGTGGTTTGCACTGGAGCTGATGAACCAGTGGGGCAATTGCTGGCTCCCATCCAGGTGGGAAATTATCCAGACTTTCTATACTGTGGTCCTAGACAGATCTTCCCAGGACACAAACCAATGGCTCCCTATGGCCTACAGCACAATCTGGACTCTGGGGCCTCATCCTAGCACAGGGTTCCCCAGCCTCAGCAGTACTGGCATTTGGGGCTGGCTGCTTCTCTGTTGTAGGGCTGCCCTTAGCATATAGGATGTCTAGCAGCGACCTCGCCCTCTACCCAAGATGCCAGTAGCATCCCCATCCCTGTCATTACAACGAAAAATGTCTCCAGACGTTGCCAATTAGAACCACTGCTTTAGACTAAATAAATGGGAGCTGTTGGAGGTGGGGGCAGGTTGGGAGGGGGCTGGGGATTTTAAAGGCTTCCCAGATGGTTCTGATCCACGTGGGACCTCTGAGCTGGCCCCACTGCTGCTGCATCCCTACTAGTCTCTGCCTTGCCCAGCAACCCAGTCACGTCAACTTCGAGCAGACCCCAGACAAGACGTGGAACCTCTGAGGAGGTTCAACCGTCACGCTCTGTCCCCCTTACCTCCTGCCCTGCCCAAGATGTTGGGGTAGAAAAAAGTAAGGTTTAAATAGCTAGGGCATTCCCACCAGCTTCCTCTCTGTGAGCTGATGCCCGGAGTGAGTCTATGTGGGAGAGGGAATGTGGTGTTCCCGCAGTTGGTCTGTGTTGTGTTATTAAACTATTTGGGAAATTTAAGAGATCTTCAAGGGCAACTTTGACCCTCCATAATTTTTCTTTTCTTTTTTCTTTTTCTTTTTTTTTTTTTTAGGTGGAGTCTTTGTCGCCCAGTCTGGAGTGCAGTGACGCGATCTCAGCTCACTGCAACCTCCGCCTTCTGGGTTCAAGCAATTCTCCTGCCTCAGCCTCCCAAGTAGCTGGGACCACAGGCGTGCACCACCATGACCAATTAATTTTTGTATTTTTAGTAGAGACGGGGTTTCGCCAAGTTGGCCAGGGTGGTCTCAAACTCCTGACCTGAGGTGATCGCCCGCCTTGGCCTCCCAAAGTGCTGGGATTACAGGTGTGAGCCACTGCGCCTGGCCATCCCCTGCATGATTTTTATCTTGTCCACCGGCTTGGGATACTAATCTCTGTGTAATGGGAATTTCCTGTGTTTGGAGGCTACACTTGCTCCCTGCTTCTCTCATCTCATGCCTTTGTCCATGCTTGCCCTGCGCCTGGAATATCATTCTTCCCCCTGGGACTCAGCTCAGGCATCTAATCCTCCTACAGCACTTCCCTGGCTGCCCCAGCCCAGGCCGAATGTGGCTTGCTCCTCTGTGTTCCTATGACGCCTGGCCCAGGGCCTCCTAATTTCACTGTGTTGTCTTGTGTTGATTTTTTCACTCCCTGGAGCCATCTTGCAGAAGGGCCTTTTCACTTCTGTTTCAGAGACAGAAGAGCCTGGACTTTGTCGTTGATCAGACGAAGGCTTGAGTCCTGTTTCTGCCACCATGAAGCTGCGTTAAGCAGCCTCTCTAGGCCTCCATATCTTTATCTGCAAAATAGAGACAACCACAGCCCTTTTCTGAGAAGATCCTTGAGGATGACCGGGCCTGGTGGCTCATGCCTATAATATCCCAGCACTTTGGGAGGTTGAGGTGGGTGGATCACTCAAGGTCAGGAGTTCGAGACCAGTCTGACCAACACGGTGAAACCCTATCTCTACTAAAAATACAAAAATTAGCTGGGAGTGGTGGTGCGTGCCTGTAATCCCAGATACCCAGAAGGCTGAGGCAGGAGAATCGCTTGAAACCAGGAAGAGGAGGTTGTAGTGAGCCGAGGTCATGCCACTGCACTCCAGCCTGGGCAACAGAGTGAGACTCTGTTTCAAAAAAAAAGAGAAAGATCCCTGAGGATGAAGAGATGCTGATAAACTGCTCAGCCACTTCTGGCACAAATAAACTGACAAACGGAGGCGGCATTGCAGAGCGGCCACGAGTCATAAGTTCAGGTTCTGGCATCCAATGGAGTGTGATTCCTCGTTCTACCACTTTCTTGCTACGTGACTTTCAGGAAATTACTTAACTCCTCTGGGCCTGAGTCTCCTAATCCATAAACTGCTTTTTGTGAGGACTTCTTGCAAAAGTGCTTAGAATGGTGTCTGGCATAGAGTAAGCACTCAGTAAAGGTTAGCTATTGGAGTGGAATAAAATTTAACATGGGGATGTTTGACGACTACCAGCCTCCAGGCTGCCAAAGATAATTCTGTGATTGCCAGTCCTGTCCACTTGTTCTACAACTTCTCTTGCCTCTGTGTGCCTGTGATGATCTTTTGATGTGTCAGTTTGGCTGGGCTACATCCCCAGCAATTCGACCAAGCATTAATCTAGGTGTTAATACCTGTGAAAGTAGGCCGGGCACGGTGGCTTACGCCAGTAACCGCAGCACTTTGGGAGGCTGAGGCAGGTGGATCACAAGGTCAGGAATTTGAGACCAGCCTGACCAACATGGTGAAACCCCATCTCTACTAAAAATACAAAAAATTAGCCGGACGTGGAGGCACGCGCCTGTAATCTCAGCTACTCAGGAGGCTGAGGCAGGAGAATCGCTTGAACCCTGGAGGCGGAGGTTGCAGTGAGCCAAGATCCTACCACTGCACTCCAGCCTGGGTGACAGAGTGAGACTCTGTGTCAAAAAAAAAAAAAACAAAAAAACCTGTGAAAGTATTTTGTAGGTGTGATTGAATCCACAATGAGTTGACTGTAAGTAAGGGAGATTTTCCTAGATAATCTGGGTGGGCCTGATTCCGTTGAAAAGCTTAAAGAATAGAACTGAGGTTCCCCTGATGAAGTTATTCCCCCTGTGGACAGCAGCTCCAGCTCTGCCTTCCCGAGTGTCTGCTCTGCCAATTGTACACTTGCGCCTGCAGCTCCCCCTAATCGTATAAGCCAATTCCTTGCAATGAATCTTAGTCTATATGTCTCACTGTTTCTGTTTCTATGGGGGAACCCTAACTGATAAGAGCATCCAGCACCTGGCAGGGGCCTGACACACCATGGGGACAATCTGCTTCTGAACGGATGCAAGGCAATCGGACTGTTTGGAAGGAAGTGAGGAGGTGGGGAGGAAGTGATCACAGCCATGAGGGGTGGTGAGGGGCAGGCTAAGGGTTTTGACCTGGGAAGAGCTAAGTCTTTGTGCAGAAGAAATGACAGGGCCAGGACAGCTCAGACACCTGCAGGCCTCTTCTCACACAGCCTCTCCTTCTGGCCATGCCCTGTATTCCAGATTAGGTCTCCATCACATTCTCTCATAACGCCTCTCAATTTCCCTTTATGGTAGTTATACATTCGCAGGTGTGATCGTTGGATTAGTGCCTGTCTCTCCCACCAGAGTCCGAGCTCTGAGAGGCTGGGGTTTGCTCATGGTGGTTTGCCCCTGGACATAGCATTGTAGGGACTCAGTCTTTACCTGTGGAATGAATGAAGAGTAAATGAGTGCAATGCCGTCCTGCCTCTGTGACCTGCCTTAAGGTCATGGAGACGGAGAAGGAAGAGGGTGTGGCTTTGAAGTTTCTTTTAGGCTCCCAGGGTCGGGCTGGGGTTAGAGTTTGCAGAATTATCTCATAGTCTAGGGGAGATGATAAATTTGGGAGCCAGGAAGTCAGGGTGCTGGATGCAGATAGGAGTTGGCCGTGTTCCTGCTCTCAGGCTCCTAGGAAAGCAGGTGGGGCAGGCTGGGGAAGTGTGGTGGTAGCTCAGGACCGGGGTTCTAGCCTCATGTCCATCAAAGGTCTGCTGGATAACTTCACTAAGCTTCATCTGGGCCAAGTTTCTCCATCTGTCTCATGATGGGTTAGTTGAGATGATCCGCAAAGATTCTTCCAACACCAGAGTTCAATGAGATTAGGAAGTAGAATTCTAGGTTCAAGGGCCGCAGTAAATTTTTAATCTCAACTGCAGAGTGCAAACCCTTGCACCTCCCTTCTGCAAACAGAGTGGAGTGAAGAGATCTACTTGCCTTGTTTTCCAGACTTCAGTCCTTCAAGCTCTAACTTCATGACTTTATTTTTTAATATTTTTATTAATTTATTTATTTGTTTTTATTGAGACAGAGTTTCGCTCTTGGTGCCCAGGCTGGAGTGCAATGGCTCAATCTGGGCTCACCGCAACCTCCGCCTCCTGGGTTCAAGCGATTCTCCTGCCTCAGCCTCTCGAGTAGCTGGGATTACAGGCATGCGCCACCACACCCGGCTAATTATTTTGTATTTTTAGTAGAGACGGGGTTTCACCATGTTGGCCAGGTTGGTCTCGAACTGCTGACCTCAGGTGATCCACACACCTCTGCCTCCCAAAGTGCTGGGATTACATGTGTGAGTTACCACACCCGGCCTAACTTCATGACTCTAAAACATTTGTGTTTTGTGTCGCTATTTGTTTAGTAAGTTTCCTTAAGTGGCCTCTTTTTTAAATCAATGATTTTTAGTATGGGCAGACTTATGCAAGCATCATTACAATTAATATTAGAACATTTTTGTCACTCCTTCAGAAAACCCCATATCCACTATCACTGTTTTAACTTACATATGTATATTATAAAAGAGCACTTGATAGCACTACCATAAATAGAAATTCAGTATCACTTGCCATAAATGGAAGATACGCATAAAAGTAAACCCAATGGGCATTCTGGCTAATACAGTGAAACCCTGTCTCTACTAAAAATACAAAAAATTAGCCGGGTGCGGTGGCGGGTGCCTATAGTCCCAGCTTCTCGGGAGGCTGAGGCAGGATAATGGTGTGAACCCGGGAGGCAGAGCTTGCAGTAAGCCGAGATCGTGCCACTGCACTCCAGCCTGGGTGACAGAGTGAGACTCTGTCTCAAAAAAAAAACAAAAAAACAAACAAAAAACCAAAACAAAACAGCACAAAAAAAACCAAAAACCAAAAAAAAAAAAAAAAACCCAATGGGAACAAAACTGTGTTGTCGAATTCTGGCTCTATACGATTGCCTGCTGCACGCTGGGCTTGCTGTCTTAGTAAAAGGAAGGAAGAACAAGTGTTAGGTGTTAAAGATATAGCTGTCCCAGGCTGGGTGTGGTGGCTCACGCCGGTAGTCCCAGCACTTTGGGAGGCCGAGGCGGGCGGATCATGAGGTCGGGAGATCGAGACCATCCTGGCTACCACGGTGAAACCCCGTTTCTACTAAAAATACAAAAAATCAGCCAGGCGTGGTGGCACGCGCCTGTAGTCCCAGCTACTCGGGAGGCTGAGGCAGGAGAATTGCGTGAACCCGGGAGGCAGAGCTTGCAGTGAGCCGAGATGGCGCCACTGCACTCCAGCCTGGGTGACAGAGTGAGACTCTGTCTCAAAAAACAAACAAACAAACAAACAAACAAAAAAGATATAGCTGTCCCAAACCAAGATTTTGTCCTTAAATAAATCTAAGAGATTGAAAAAGAAGTAATCCCTAACAGGTTTCCCCTCAGCGTCTCACATTTTGGGGACCACTAAGGTTGGGCTTTCATATCCATGGTCTCTTCGGAGCCTCACTATAACTCTGTGAGGGAGGGATTATCATTCCCATTTTACAGATGAGAAAACTGAGGCTTGGGGAAGTTAGCTGTTTTACCTGAGTTCCACAGAAAGTGGTTGAGGAAGTTCTTAGTTCCAGGTGCTCTTTCTCCCTGAGAGCTGCTGCCCCCCACTCCTGCCCTAGAAAGGGTGAACACAGCCTGCCCCTCCCCAGGCTCAGGAATACTGTGGCAGTATCTTTGTTAGGGAATGAAAGGATCTGCCTATGGGGACCCAGGGCCCTGAGCCTTCTGGTTTATTTACCTCAAGGCCATTGAACTGACATCTCTAAGTTAGAGCATCCTGAGGCCAGATGTTGGCCGTGACATCGTCCTTTTGTCTCACGGTAGAAACCTCGAGTGCTAGAGCTGGCCAGGAACAAAACCATCATCTGGTTCAGTGTCCCCTAAACTTTATCCAGACTTGTGAAGTCCCTGTACATTGTGATGGGCTTCATCATCATATGACTCCTCCAGATATATTTCCAACGACTCTGCATTTTGCGTGGCCCAGGATAAAAAAAGACTCTGAGTAAAAAGAAAAAAAAATGGAGTTCGAGTCATTGGTTTTAATACAGTGTTATAAAGCTAGGGTTTAATACATGTGAAAATTTTCTATAGTATATGTTCAGATATTACAGAAAGACACACTTCAACATTTTCCTACTTGACATGTGATGCCATTTGGTTCATCTTCTGCAAAGAAACTTTGTAGGAGAAGGAAGAAATGAAAAATGACGCTGGCCATGGAGAGACATGACAGTTCCTTGGGACCAGCCGCTAATCGAGGGATGAGCTGGCCCCGAGTACCCCGGGTTGGGTGCAGGGTGAAGGTCACACCATCACCTCTGGAGTGTTCTCCCCAACTGTGCTTACCCTGCATTGAACCAAGATTCGAGGGTCTTCTAGATGTGACTACCAGGCTACAGGAAAGAGGGAGGGTGGAGGAGCAGGGGAAAGACACCTTGAAGAAACCATCAACATTCTGCAAGACAACTGGTCTCAAAAGTCATGAAAAAGCTGAGAGGGCTTTTCTAGATTAAAAGAAAATAAAGTGATGTAACAATCAAATCTAATGTGTGAAACGTGGCCAGATCCAGCTTAAAAAAACACAATAAAGACATTTTTGGCCTAGTGGGGGATATTTGAATACGGACAGGGTATTAGGATTATAGAATTATTTTTAATTTTCCTAGTGTGATAATAGTATTATGATTACATACGAGGATGTGCTTATTCTTAGGAAATAATGCAGGTAGAAGAATTTAGAGAGGAAAAGTCATGATGTCTGCAACTTACAAATGGTTCAATGAAAAAGTATATATACAAATGTATGTCTATCTATGTCTACTATATACATGGTCTATATACACACATACGTATATATAAAGAGACATATATATGTGGAGAAGGAGGGAAAGCAAATATGCAAAATGTTAACACTGTAATCTCAGGGGAGCTATAAGGGTGTCAATTGTACTATTAAGTTTTCTGTATGTTTGAATTTTTCATCATGAGTAAAAATGATAGTAGGCTTCATTTAGGGCTGAATCCATATCAAAATCAGCTGGTGTGGCAGTTCACACTTCTAATTTCAGCACTTTGGGAGGCCGAGGCGACAGGATTGCTTGAGACCAGGAGTTTGAAGAACCAGCCTGGGCAACATATCGAGAGCTCTGCTAAAAATTAAAAAATTAGCTGGGCGTGGTGGTGCACACCTGTAGTCCCAGCTACTCAGGAGGCTGAGATGGGAGGACTGCTTGGGCCCAGGAGTTCAAGCTGGCAGCGGGCTATGGCTGTGCCACTGCACTCCAACCTGGGTGACAGAGCAAAATCCTGCCTCAAAACATTGAAAAAAAAAAGGCTGGGCATGGTGGCTCACGCCTGTAATCCCAGCACTTTGGGAGGCTGAGGTGGGCAGATCATGAGGTCAGAAGTTCGAGATCAGCGTGACCAACATGGTGAAACCTTGTCTCTACTAAAAATACAAAAATTAGCCGAGTGTGGTGGCATGCGCCTGTAGTCCCAGCTACTCAGGAGGCTGAGGCAGGAGAATCGCTTGGACATGGGAGGCGGAGGTTGCAGTGAGCAGAGATCGTGCCATTGCACTCTAGCCTGGGCGACACAGTGAGACTCCATCTCAAAAGAGAAAAAAAATTGAAAAAAAAAAGTCAAAATACAGACTAAAATTTAACCACAGTATTAACAATAGTCAAAGATTGCTTTCTGTTTCTAGCCTGGTGTTAGAAATTCTGCATACTGTGTAGAAGATACCAGCCATTCTAGCAGGTCGCGGTATTGATGAGCCACTCAGGGACTGGGCTGTGGCCATGCTCCGCCGAGACCAGCTAACCCTGCCCGGGCTTCCACCACGCACCTGCGGAGGCAGTGCCCTTTCAAAGGGAACATTGACAAGTCTTCCACTGACTGATTTTTGAAAAATAGAAGTCGAACCAGAAGCCGTTTCAACCTTTATTGATGTAAACCATCAATGTAGCACAATTGCTTGTTTTACAAATGGAGAAACTGGGACCTAGTGAGGGGAAGGGACTGAGTCAAACCCGCACAGTAAGTGATTGGCAGAGCTAGCCTAGAGTTTGCACCCATGTCTTTAGACAACCAAGCTAAGGTTTTCTCCATCACCCCCTTTCATGTTTTGAAAGATTGGGTTTCAGCCAGGGGTGGTGGCTCATGCCTGTAATCCTAGCACTTTGGGAGGCCAAGGTGGGTGGATTATGAGGTCAGAAGTTTGAGACCATCATGGCTAACGTGGTGAAACCCTGTCTCTACTAAAAATACAAAAAGTAGCCAGGCGTGGTGGCGGTCGCCTGTAATCCCAGCTACTCGGGAGGCTGAGGCAGGAGAATTGCTTGAACTCGGGAGGCAGAGGTTGCAGTGAGCCGAGATTGCACCACAGCACTCCAGCCTGGGTGACAGAGTGAGACTCCGTCTCAAAAAAAAAAAAAAAAAAAAAAAAAAAGAAAGACTGGGTTGTCCTAAACATTTGCATGGCTCTCTCTGCCGCTGTCTCAGAACCTAATGCCTTACACTTTACAATCTATTTTAAAGCCAGCTGCAATCTATAGAAGGTTAGAAGCAGCAGATCAGAAGTGGAGAAGAGAGGTGCTATGGCCAAGCTAGTGACCACAGCCAGAAGTGGCAGCGAAAGAGATGACAAAGAGGGAGAATTCAAAGAACCTCAAACCCCAGGGATATTCTGTGCAAGGGCAAATGATACTGAGAGCATCCCTTCACACAGGGATTTTATAAGGCAGTAGAGAGCAGACTGCTATCTCGGACAACTTCAAAACCTGGGCTGGGCACAGTGGCTCACGCCTGTAATCCCAGCACTTTGGGAGGCTGAGGCAGGTGGATCACCTGAGGTCAGGAGTTTGAGACCAGGCTGACCAATATGGTGCAATCCTGTCTCTACTAAAAATATAAAAATTAGCTGGGCGTGGTGGCGTGTGCCTATAGTCCCAGCTACTTGGGAGGCTGAGATAGGAGAATCACTTGAACCAGGGAGGCGGAGATTGCAGTGAGCTGAGATAGTGCCACTGTACTCTGGGCTGGGCAACAGAGCGAGACTCCATCTCAACAAAACAAAAGAAAACAAAACAAAGCGAAACAAAACAAAACAATCTGGGCCACCACAGATATCGAGCCATCAACTATGTAAGAAATGGCTTATCTGAGAGGACAGCGTTCCCAGGAGCTGTGAGGGCTGACTTTGCTGTATAGACCATCGCTCTAGCCTTTTGTATGTGCAAATCTCATCTTCCCAGTGAAAGTGCAACTTTGGGAGAGCAGGGGCTATGCTCCAACCAAGTTTGGGCATTGTCAGGCAGTGGCTCTTCAGTTTGCAGTCTGGGTCCAGATCGCAGCTCCGTCAGTGACTATCCATGTGTCCGGGGCAACTTGCTTAACTTCTCTGAGCCTGCATGAAATGGAGATATTAATAGCAACAGCAGCTAGGTCACAGATCGATGGGAGGATTAAATGACATTGAGATTAAATAGCATTTACTTGGCTCAGAGTCAGTGGCCCAGTAAAGATTCAAAGAGTGAGCTCTGCAAATACCTGGGGGAAGAGAATCCAGGTGGAGGAAGGGCAAGGGTGATGGCTCAGAGGCAGGGGTGTCCCTGGGGTGTCTGTGGAACCTCAAGGAAGCCATGGTGGCTGGGGCAGAGCTAGCAAGAGGAAGGGAAGCAGTGGGTGAGACCACGGGGTTGGAGGGGAAAATTGCGTTTTATTTCACATGTTTGTTATTTTTGGGGTTTGCTTCTGTTTATGGAAAGATACTGATTTCCTATATCTTGCTGCTACAAAGTGCCCCTTTAAAATAATATAGAAAAAAGAATCAGTGTGGAAAAAAAACCAGAATACATTGCAGCTCACAAATAAGCAAAAGTCCTGAAGACTATTCCTCAGATGACTGAAATTAGGAAAATGAGGAAGGCAGGTCCCTCTCCCTCACATTATTTACTTAGCACAAGTAGGTTTGAAATTCCGAGGCTGAAGTTTTACTGGCAACCTCGATGTCACAACTGTGAACCTTGAATTCTCCTGATCTCAGAGCTTTCAAGCTGGGAGACTCCTGGATCATGTCATCCTTGCACCTCCACTTTACAGATGGAGACACTGAGGTCCAGGAGGGCAAAAAGATTCATGCAGAGGGTCTAGTTCAGAGGGAAGAACTGTACACAGTTTCTATGGGACTCAACTCCCCAGCTGCCCTCAGCCCAAATCCAGGGATTCAGACACACAGGCTCCCTCAGAGATGTCTTAGTAGGTTGAGGCAAGGGAAGCCCCTGCCTGTGCCGCTCTGGAGACCTTCCTTCCTGGCTGCCCTTATATCCCCCTGTGCATCCACCATTGATCAGAGAAGGCAGGCAAGGGAGGCCAGAGGGCATGGGGGGCACCAGGGGGCTGCAGGCCCAGGGGTTTGCTCTGGAGGCTGGCAGGGAAGGCGATGGGTCCTGGTTGCGCCCAGGTTCAGCTGAGGTAGTTCTGGTCAACCAAGTCAGGTGCTGAGATGTTCCTGGGGGGCCCTGGGAGTTCCTCTAGTGCCTGAGGGGATAGGACCATTGCTGCCTTGGCTACCACTCCCAGGCCAGGCAGTTCTAGCTGCAGCACTGTTAGCCCCTTGCCCCTTACAGCTCCCCTGGGAACTGGTTTCTATCTATGCCAGGGAGAAGGGGCCAAGCGTGGGTTCTGAAGGTCTGGGGAGCCAGGGCCAAACCTCTTCACCTCTGATGTTGCTTGTGTTGTGCGTCGCCTTGAATCACACTCTGGTAGGATGGCGGGGGCTCCACCGGCAGGCCTTTGAGATGCAATGGTGTATTCGGAACAAGGCATGCATCATCATTCTGCGAAAGAAAAGTCGCCGCCCCTGCTGCTCACAGCTGTGGAGCGACTGGCTGCTTCCGAAACACTTCTCTGCTAGTTCACTTCTGAAGACTCAAGTTCTCCATGAATGTGGGGAAACTGAGGCTTGAGAGACGAAGCGACTTCCATAGACCAGTGTGTGACTCCCTCCACCCTCCCTGTTCTTGAAAAGGGAGTAGGGGGAGGCCCACATGGGAGTCACTGGATGGGGCTCTGGTTCCCGTCCCGCTACCAGTGTCCTGGTGACCAGGTGCAAGTCACTCACCCTGTTGGGTTTCCTGAGGGGGGCTGGGCCATGACCCAAGTCCCTTCTAGCCAGGATACACTCTAGGGGCAGGTCTAATGCCAACAGTGTCTGCCAATGATTGCTGCCACACCTCCATCCCTGATTAGTGATGAGGGTGGCACCAACTCAGTGCTGGAGAGCCTGTCCCTGGCACCATCCTTACCGATGGGGAGGGCACAGGGCCCATTGGGGAACCTGGCATGGCCACTTACTGGCTGTGAGACCATGGGAAGTCACGTAACTCTTCTAAGGTTCATTTTTTCCTCTTTAAAATGGAAAAGCAGAACCTGCGTCCCAGAATGGCCGTGAGATTCAAGGACATCTTAGCTAGTGCAGTAGGGAGAAGCACGGCCCCCAGAAGACACCCATGTTCTAATCTCTGGTCACACGGCAGAGAGGAATTAAGGTTGCAGATGGAATTAAGGTTTCCAATCAGCTTTGAGATTGGGAGATTCTCCTGGATTATCTCTCTGGGCCCAGTATGATGATAAGGGTCCTTAAAGGTAGAAGAGGGAGACAGGGTTATTGGAGGATGTTGTGATGCTGGCTTTGAAGGTGGAAGAAGGAGCCACAAGCCAAGGAATGCAGGCAGCCTCTAGAAGCTGGAAAAGGCAAGGAAAGAGATTCTTTTTGATGCCCCCGGAAGGGATGCAGTCCTGGCGACACACCTTGATTTGAGCCCTTGAGACTCATTTCAAACCGCTGACCTCCAGAGCTGTAGGGTAATACAGGTGTCATTTTAAGCCACCAAATTTGTGATAATTTACTACAACATCAATAGAAAATGAATACAGCCACCTGCAGCACTAGCACAGTGCCTGGAACACAGCAAAGGTCAATAAATAGGAACAATTATTGCTCATAGCTGCAGCTAGGTATGGGGCCCCAGTTTTCCCCATCCTTAAAAGTGGGGTTGGCCTCAGTGACTCAAGACCCCCATCTGGCTTTCTGATGTCTTAATGAGAAGACTTCCTGTCAGGCAGCTAGGAATTAACAAAGACACCTTCTCTGCTTGATGTTAAATGAAACTCAGAGGCCATCAACTTATATATGCATTATGTGAACACTTGGTGTGTGATGAGGTCACTAACATGAAAATCAGTGTCAAACTTGAAGAATTATGGGGGATTTGGCACTTTTTTAAATAATGTTCTAAAGTTGAGATTGTAATATGATTTTTTTTTCTTTAAAGAAATGAGCCTTAGAGATCACTTCTGGTCAGGGTCTTTATTTTTTATTTATTTTTTTTCTTTTATAAAACATCCTTATCCTGAACTGTTCAGGATCTTTGGGGTGAGCAGAGACTTGCCTTCTATTTTAAAATATATCTAGCCCTATGCCATCCCCATGGGTAGACAAGGGCAAGACTGTGGGTTGGACATAGCTCAGGCTGAGTCCTGGATTTCCTAATTGGCTGCTTCGCCTTGAGAAGTGATGTGACCTCTCTGGACCTCAGCTTGCTAGTCTGTAGTATGAGAATGTAAGTACCTCAAAGGGTTGTTGAGGGCTGGGCATGATGGCTGATGCCTGTAATCCCAGCACTTTGGGAGGCCATGGGTGGTGGATCACTTGAGGTCAGGAGTTTGAGACCAGCCTGGCCAGGATGGCAAAACCTCATCTATACTTAAAAAAATACAAAAATTAGCCAGGTATGGTGGCACATGCCTGTAGTCCCAGCTACTTGGGAGGCTGAGGTAGGAGAATTGCTTGAACCCGGGAGGCGGAGGTTGCAGTGGGCCGAGATCGTGCCACTGTACTCCAGCCTGGGTGACAGAGTGAGACTCAGTCTCAAAAGAAAAAGGGTTATTGAGAAGATAAAGTTAAATACAGCTATATTTATCTGTATATCTGCACGTCTATATCCATCCATACATCATCCATCCATCCATCCATCAATGGATGCATCGATTGATGCTTAATAGAGTCCCTGCAATTCCTTAAATGCCCAATCTTTGATGACTCTGTCACTTGTTTCCACTACAGCCAAACTCCACACACACCATAGCTTCCCCAGGCCTTCTCTGTCCTGTCTCCAAGCCAGTGCTCGTGCTCTTCTTGCTCTGCTGAAAGTCTCTCTTCCACCTATGCCTGTGGGTCCGAATCCTGCCCGGTCATCATGGGCCTCTGTGATGCAATTTCCCCAGGGCCTTCAGAGCTGGCAGCACAGTAGCCTCTTGTTCTGGGCACCCATGGAGTTTCCTCTCTGGCAGCCTCACCCTTTTCTCCTTGGATTGGCCTCCTCTCTTGCCCCCGTGCCTTGGCTCCCCTACTGGATCGTGGGCTGTCACTTAGTGAACGCTCAGCAACGTGAGGAATGAATGAAACACGCTCCTCTTGTAACCCCCACATATCTTTCCTTTCTGAGCTCTCTGCTGCCTCATGCCCCCATTTTTTGTCTTCCTGGGAAGACAAGCCCTTGTCTTACCTTTGCAGATGGGCAGTCCCCTCTCCAGGCTGTGACAGCTGTGGGCACTGGCAGGAAGAGCTCTAGGACAGTGAAGCAGAGCAAGGCCAGCTCCAGCCTCTGGATGTGGACCTGAGAGGGTAGAGGGAAGGAAGGCAGGGTGAGGCCTCGCTGGGTGTCTGCACGCATCACGTGGGCTTAGCCAGGCAGGGGTCCTTGCTAAGATCCACAGCAGAGGGCAGGTGGGGTTTCAGCTCCCAGGTGTGCGTGGGGAAGGCAGGGTGGGTCTCTGTGGGACGGGGACTTGGTCTGTCTTGGTCACTGCCCTACACTCAATGCCTGGCACATATGGGTCTTTGGTGAGTATTGGCCTAACGTTTGAGGGCTGGAGAATCTCATGGGTCCCTGGTAAGAATGAAGGTAGCCTTAGGGTCATCTGATCCAAGCCTATTTGACAGATGGGGGTACCTAGTCCCAGAGTGAGGGAGCATGTTTTACAGCAGAGGAGGGGAAGAGCCGTGCAGCTGGGAGTCATCTCATAGTATCACATGCATTTGATGGGGAAGCATATGTATATGTGTGTGTGTGCACGCACATGTGTGTCCATGCATGCTCGCACATGCATGTGATGTGCATGTGTATGCACGTGTGTGTATGTGCTGGGAGGAGATAAGGAATAACAAACCACTATGGTCAGAACCCTTGTGGGCATGGTGGCTCACGCCTGTAATCCCAGCACTTTGGGAGGCTGAGGCGGGAGGATCACTAGAGGTCAGGAGTTCGAGACCTGCCTGGCCGACATGGTGAAACCCCATCTCTACTAAAAATACAAAAATTAGCCTGGCGTGGTGGTGGCTGTGGTGGGTGCCTGTAATCCTAGCTACTCGAGAGGCTGAGGCAGGAGAATTGCTTGAATCTGGGAGGCGGAGGTTACAGTGAGCCTCGATTGTGCCACTGCACTCCAGCCTGGGTGACAAGAGTGAGACTCCGTTCCCCCGCCCCTTCCAAAAAAAAAGAAAAAAGAATTCTTGGAGCCTGGCCCAGAGGCACCCAGTGGTCTGCCTTCTGCTTCAGAGGCAGCAGTGATATGGTGAAAAGAGCACCAGGCTTGGAGTCAAAGACCCACTAATCTAGCCTCTCTGGACCTCCGTGTTCACTCCCAGAAGATGAGGGTAACAAAGTGGACTTGGCCAGCTTTGCAAGGCTGATGGGAGGCTCCCGGATCACAGGGGCCACCAGGCACACCATGCTTAGAGCCCTGGCTGGGAAATCAGCAGTTTTAGGCTGTGGTCCTGGATTTGCCGTCAAGTTGCTGCTTGACCTCAGGCAGGCTCCTCCCCGTCTCTGGCCCCATTTCCCAATCTATAAAAGTGGACTTGGATTCAGTGATGCTGACCAGTCAGCAGCCCAGCACCCACCTTTCCACCACACCTTGTAGGGGACAGAAACAGGTTGGCAAAGGGCCCAGCAGCCCACACCTGGGCTCCAGGAGGGGCTTTCTGTGAGCTGGAAACCTCCTGTTGGCCAAATCCAAGGCAGCACCTTCGCTGAAGTCAGAGGGCCCTCCAGGCCTGGGTACTCACCGTGGAGTTGGGGTACATTCTCCAGATCGGGGACTCAAATGGGCTCTCCAGAAAGAGATCCTTGGAGATGACGAAGAGGCCAGACAGCACGCAAAAGAGGCTGATGAGGTTTGTCATCAGGCACAACATCTTCTATAGGTGAAAAATAAAGGTAACAGCTGTCCAAAGGGTGGAGACCTGGGGCTAGGTCCTCCCCTCATGCTTGCCAGTAGCTTCCTCTGTAGCCTCAGGAGAGACTCTGCCTGTCACTGGGCCCAAGGCCCCCTCTGCCTGTCACTGGCCCCTCAGCCCCTCACACAGGATTGAGCTGAGCTGCTCCTGTGTGACCACTGAGGAGGGTCCAGCTGGCCCTTGCCTTCTATGGGACAAATTGGGAGAACCCAAGAGCTGCCTTCAGATCCAAGAGCTTTGCAATAAAGGATGCCCTATTGCCATTTCCTGCTCAAAGCCAGCCCCGACCATCCTACATCAGCTATGCCAAGTGTCAGGGATTCGACACCCAGGTGACCCCTCATCCAGCCCCTTCCCCACCAGAAAGGTCAGGAGGAGCTCTGAAAGTGCCCTATCCTCACATGTCCCAGTACCAGCCCATTTTCTCCGCCCACCTGCCATGGTTCCTGAAATGCCTGTATTCATCGTCCTCTCGGGTTAAGCATCATTCCAAGAGCCTCTTGCCAAGTGCAAATCCTCCTAGTGAGGAAAGACTATGCACATATGGAATCTGTAGCCTTTTATACTGGAATGGGTTTCTTTACAGTAAGAGTGTCCTTATGCTCAGGTATACAAAGCAAGAGGCCTGTGGTTCTAAAAGGGGCTCAGCCCAGGAGGGTGAGGTCTGGGGAATGGGCACGTCTTTGTCAAGCATCTCCTGCCTCTGCTGGGTAAACTGCACAACCATCCTTCTATTCTGTATGCCCTCTGAGAAAGTAGGGAGCAACCACAGCCTAGCCAGGCTGAGGGACACAAATAGGGAAGGACCTGGCTTGGGCTTCGGGGGCAGAAGGAGGGGAGGTGGGAAGACCTGGGTGTGAGCTGTGATTTGCAGGGATGTTCCTTCCATCATCCATCCACCTCCACCCATCCAGTCTTGTGCTAGGTGTCTACTCTGTGCCTACTTGGGCCACCTTGGGCTATCACTATGCTCGGGCACATTCTGCCCAGAAATAATTTAGTGTACAGTAGAGACAGGTAAGTCCACAGAGTTGTGGGAGAATGGAAGGCAGCCATGGAGGTCAGGGAAGATCTCCGGGAGGACAAGACATACAGGTTGTCTTGAGTGGTCAGGAGTAAGTCAAAGATGGGAGCCATGTGTGCAGGGGAGAGGGCAAGGTGTTTGGGCAGTGGCCAGCACGGGCAGAAAAGGGAGGACCACCGTTCCATCTGCCTGGCTCTTAGAGAGGAGAAGTAGATGCAAATCCAGCTGGAGGCTGGGGCTTGCAGGCTATGTGGTGATTAAGATTAAGACACAGTAGATTTGAGAGGAAGCAAAGTTGTGTCCTAGATGGATGGGTCAGGGTGCCTGGGAGCCATTTCCTTCTCTGCCTCACTGCACTGGAAAGAGAGAAGCTTCAGATGGTGCTTCCTTTCCTCCCACAGCCAAGTCTGTCAGCCTGTCTGCATCTGGACCCTTCTGCTTGGACATCCTCTGCTGTCCTGAAGGCAAGAGCCTGCTCTTAGCAAGTCCTGGAGAAGTGCCCTCACAATCACCCCTACAGACAGATGCCCTTAACAAAGTTATGCCATGCTCAGATGGAAGAGAATGATCTCAGTGTGCCCACTCACCAGGTAAGTTTTAGAAAAGGTCTTCATTGTTATCGCCAAGATCCCTGAAATGAGAAACTGCAGGACAGATTTGAAAGTCAAAGGAGAGAAGCTGGGGTTCCTCAAAACCCACAAATTCCCACCCCCACCCCTATTCTCCAAGAAAATCAACCCTTGGCGGCCAGTGGGGCAGGGAATACTATTCCTCCAGCAAAGTGAGCTCCTCTTGCCTGCCATGTGGCCCATCCAAGAAGCTGCCCCACCTCACATCTTCCCATGTGCACAAACCTCCATACCTCCTCCCATCTCTACACCTTGGACCAAGCTGTGCCCTGCACTTAGAACTCCCTCCTAGACCCTCCTGCTTCCCTCATTTTACAAACCCAAACCATCGCTGGGATCAGTGGCACTATCCCCTCCACCCCGACTGTTTCTCTTTTCTTGAATCTTGCAGTTGGGAGGATATGAGTTCTTGCTTCCAAGGTCTCTGGGAGCACCTCTGCAATCATTCTTTCCAATGTGCACTGAGCACCTACTATGGGCTAGTCCCTGGGAGCACAGGGTGAATAAGCACTGCATGTGTGGAAAGTTCTATCACTGTGCAGTGAAAGCCCCATCCTGTGGGCAGTGAGAACAGTGGACTGATGTGAAAGGGGGATTGGGATACTTGCCCAAGACAGTGCCGTGGAGCTTGGACTTAGTGCATAGGCAGGACTCCACCTGGGAGTCAGGAATGGGGTGGGCTCCCTGGAGACCTGAAGGAATGTAGAGCTTCTGGGAAATGGTGCATGCACTGGTCCAGTGTCATCTCCCATCCTGGCTGATGGCCTTGGGAGGACAGGAGCCACACCTTACACCCTGTGTGTTTTTGTAGCTCAACCCCAACAGGGCACCTGTAGCTGGATCCAGAGGCAGCCTGGCTGCTCAGAAGGCTGGGGAAGAATGAAGCTGTCCCTGGGTCTTACTCACCCTCCTCTTTGCCAAATGCACATATTCAATTATGGGAGAATGGATAGCCTCCAAGTGCTCTCTTGGGACTCAGAATTGACAGGGGCTCCCTGGAAGGAGCTATTTCCATTGTGACTAAGATAAAAGAAGCAGAGCTAGGAACACTGGAGAAAGGGCCTCGCTTCTGCCGCACTCCTATTAGCTCTCTCTATCCCACCCTGCATCCTGTCCCAAATGCCAGGGCCTCCCAGGCCTGCCTTGCAGACTCCCACACCCGGTCTGTGTTTTGCCTTCTACTCACAGAGGCAGCCCCCCAGAATGGATACCAAGACTTCAGCACCACCAGGTGAAGGTTCTTGACTATAGAGGCCAGGTAGCCCCCAAAGACCAGGTGCAGCAGAGCGATGGTGATGTGGAAGGCCTGGGTGGGGAAGAGAGAATGGCTGGGGTGAGGGCATCGGTCACTGGCTCTAATTGAGGCCACTAGTGCCCTGGACCTACTGGCTGTGGTGAGTCCCTTCTGTCCTCTTAGGGATCCCAGAGACCAGGCTCTCTAAGAAGGACCACTCCCCAGGATTTCCTGCAGAAAGAGCTGAAGCTGCCAAGGGCCCCATGGGTGGGAGCTATCTATCCTGGAGCTGGCAGCCTTCTGCCATTCTCCCCAGGACAGGGCCCTGTCCAAACCTCACAAGGCAGTAGTAGGTGTGGGCAGATTCTCTCCAATCTTCAAGGCCTTTTCCAGTTCAGATGAATGTTCAGCAGGAAAGCTGGAGCCTTTCTCTTTTCCCTTTCTTCCCTTGGGGCCCCCCAGCATCCTCCTCATATCCCCCTCTCCTCTGCCTCCCACTGCTGGGACCCTGGGAAGTGGATGCTCACCCCCAGCTCCTTAAGAAGGCTGCTCTTCTTCTGGGACTTCTCGTGCTGGTGTGGAGCCAGGAGCTTGGGCTGGGTCGTGTTCTGGGGTGCACTTGTCTGCCAGGGCTGGACTGGGCTGAGGACTTGCCATGATGGGAGCCCCCTAGCACAACGGCTGGGAATAACTGTGGCTTCTGCTTTCATTGATGCTGGATGGGGGCCCTGGCTGCAGGACGGGGAGGAAGGCCGTCAGAACCCGTCTCATTTCTGAGGCTTGTGCCTGGGTGAGCCTCTGCCAATCACCTCTGTTTAAGGGACCAGATCTTTCCAGAACTGTGGTTGCCCTGTCTGGCAGCCCCTGGTCTTGGTCTTGATTTGACCTGGAATAATCTGGCCCCTGGAGATGGGAGTAATTGCTGCTCACAGCCTTTCTGGGGTTGCAAAGACACAGCTCCTTTTGGGGCAGAAAAATGAGGACCAGGCAAACTTCACAACCAGTGGAAGACAGAGCTCACCCAAAGTGGCCAGACTGCAGTTTGGAAGAGTTGGGAGGTGCGAGAGGTGCAGGTCAATGGAGGGGCTTTGTAAACAGTCTCCATCCACTGGTCCAAGAAGAGTGACTGAAGGCAGGTGGGAAATAATTGTCCTACCTCCTGTGGTGGTGCCCATGCCTCCTGGAGAGAAGGGAAGAAAATATCTTCCACCGAGGACTTTTTATGAGCCAACACTGAGTCAGGAAGTCCATATTTAACGATGCTAACATTTACAAATACTTTCTCTGCTCCAGGCACTGAGATAAACCTTCTACGTGCATTACCTGATTTTGTCCTCATTCCAACCCTATGAGGTAAATACCGTCCTCACTCTCATTTTGCAGATGAGGCTCAGAAAGGTTAAGCCACTTGCCCATGGTCACACAACCAGTAAGTGACTTGGACTTGAAGCATGGCAGGCTGGCTCCAGAGCCTGGGGCTTAAGTCCTTCATGCACTGTTGGCTCAACAATTGGAAATGAATGTTCTGGATGTTCTCATGGGCACAAAAAGGAGTTGGGGAAAAAAGTTAGAAGGGGGCTGGACACACGACCTGCAGACAGGGCCTGGTATAGTGTATACTGACGCCGTGGGATGCACTAGGGCTTGGGGGCTGCCTGGGACTTGGTGAGAAAATCCAACGTAGTCTTTCTGTCCCAGGAAGTGGACAGCTGGGCGGGGAAGAAAGGGAGCTGGCTTGCAGGGATTGAGGTCAGAGATGGTTTCTCCATGGGGATGGGGCTAATGAGCAAATCCTTGAGAGAGAGAGGCTGCTCTCAGACTGTATCCTGGATGAATGAAAAGGGAGGGCCATTCCTCTCACTTTTAAGTCTGACTTGTGGATCCAGGAAGTTCCATTGAGCATCCACATTTTCCACAGGGATGCAGGGAAAGAGTTTTGGGAAGTTTGGAGGGACAAATAGCCCAGGTGACTATATCCTGGATTGGGTAGAGGGGAAAGGAAGGGACATTATCAAGAGCCAAAGAGCCAGATGGGGCCTCACAGTTGGGTGAGCACTGTATGCCGGGCACTGTGCCAGGAGGCAGTTTTGCCTGGCAACCTCCCTTAATACTCAGGAAGTCAGCACCATTGCATAGAAGAGGAAACCAAGGTTCAGAGAGGTTGCCTGCCTTGGCCATGGTCACACAGTGAGGAAGTGCCTGGAATTGGAACCACGCATGGTCTTACTCCATCGCCAGTGCTCTGGGCCTGGGCTGCTGGGTAGGACCCCCTGATTGATATCTCCATGGTCCTGCAGTGACGACCGCTGATTTAGTGGGGTGAGTGGGCAGAGGGTCTCCCTCTTTCCTGGGCTTCAGAAGCTGAGCTCATAGACACAGTGCTGTATGATTCTTTTTGTGACTCTGCCCAGCTATGCATGGGAACTGTCCCTCTGGGAACTGTCCCTTGGGAAGGTTCCCAAGCCTTCAGAAGTCCGTCTGACACAGCTAGCTGGACTAAGGGATGTATTCGGTGGCAGAGGCCTGAACCAGGTTAGCCACTGGCTTCACCTAGACTCTGCACACCTGGGAGGACAATACCTGGACCCAGGCCTGGACTCCACTGCAAAGAACAGAAGAAGAGGGACTTCTTAGTAGAGCTGCCTTGGATGGAACTGCTTGTCCACGGAGATAGTGAGTGCCTGGGCACTGGAGCTGTACCTCCACCTAGACATTCACTTGTGAGAGCTGTGGCAGTAGGAATGGTTCAAATATCCAACAGGGAGTTGGACTCAAGAATCCAGAATAACCTTTCTCAAAGTATGTTCCATGGAACATTGGTCCTGATGTATCTGCAGTAAAAGGGTTCCATGGTCAAATAAGTTTGAGAAACCATGGTTAGCCTCTTCTCCCTTTTTCTCATATTAAAGACTCTGAGATTTTCTACAAGTGGCACACTCTGTTTTAGTATTAAGGGCATTTCCCAAACTTAATTGGCCATATAATCTTTATTATTTATTTATTTATTTATTTATTTATTTCTATTTTTGAGACGGAGTTTCGCTCTTGTCACCCAGGCTGGAGTGTAGTGGCGTAATCTTGGCTCACCGCAACCTCCGCCTCCCGGGTTCAAGTGATTCTCCTGCCTCAGCCTCCTGAGTAACTGGGATTACAGGCACCTGCCACCACGCCCTGCTAATTTTGTATTTTTAGTAGAGATGGGGTTTCTTCATGTTGGTCAGGCTGGTCTCAAACTCCCGACCTCAGGTGATCCGCCTACCTTGGCCTCCGAAAGTGCTAGGATTACAGATGTGAGCCACTGCGCCCGGCTGGCCATAGGATCTTTTTTTTCTCATTGTCTAACGGTTCTATGCAATTGGTATTCTGTGGGGTCTGCTTTTGGGCAAAGTGGCCTTGAAGGTTTCAATTTCTGGTCCTGGGCTCTGGTTTTTGGCCTTTTCTCTGCTTTTGGTTTGCTCACGTGCATATCACAGTGGGAATGGGAATTGAGTGATGATCTCTAAGGTCCCTTCCAACTTTAAATATAATACTTCTCTCACGGGATAGAGAGCCGCTACAAGGAATTTTATACAACCAGGAGAGGAAGGAGTTGCAGAGGGCAGACCTTAGTCATCATGGGGAAAAGTTTGTTATGACTCTCTCGTACGCCTTTCCAAGACAAAGAGCATGAACTCTGATTCCTTAGAACACTTATTCCCAGCTGTCCTGGCCCACTTCCAGGACCTGTGCAGGGCTGCTAGGAGGTGACAGTGTGCTGACAGAGAGGGGGCAGGCAGCAGGCTGTTTGGTGCATAAAGGAACTTTTTTAGCCTTTCCCCGCCCAACCCCAGCCCCCTCAGCCAGCTCAGGACCACGGACCCAGCCAGCTTGGTATCCCACGGGAAACCCACTGCCACTAGGGCCTCAGCGCTCTGCACAGGGCCACGGGATGCCTGGGTCCCACACATATTCTCGTTGTTCCTTCAGTTCTGGGAGTGGAGGGAGGACAGGGACAGAGCTGGGCAGGACCCTCCAGAACCCCCCAGCAAAGCAGCAGAGTGGGCACGGCCCTGAGCGCTGGAAGTTGTCAGCTAGAATGGGTGCTCCGTGCAAAGTCCTGGCTCTGCTCCCCGGAGCTTTGACCTTGGGCCGGTTTTTTACATCTCAGCATCTGAGTCTCCCCTCACCTTCTCATGGGGAGTGCCACTGCCTGTCCCTAGGGGGTAGGTGGTGAGGAGTAGCTGAAACAATGCCTGCAACTGACAGGGACTGGCGTATAGCAATAAATGTCAGCCACAGTTGCCACTGGCCTGTTGCGTGTCTAGAATCCCACCAGTGAGGCTCCACCTTGTCCTCGTCTGGTTCTCGGTTAAGACATGGTACACCCCATCCCTATCATCTGGAGTGGTGAGTTTATTGCCTCCATCTGCATCCTGCTTACAGGGGGAGAGGGCTGTGAGAGCGAGGCTCCACCTTGTCCTCGTCTGGTTCTTGGTTAAGACATGATACACCCTGTCCCTATCATCTGGAGTGGTGAGTTTATTGCCTCCATCCCCATCCTGCTTACAGGGGGAGAGGGCCGTGAGAGCTCTGGGGCCCTGGGGTGGGGGTAGGGGGTCGTGAGGGAAGAAAGGCACTGAGTGTATTGAGCTAGTGATCTGAGATCCAACACTGTCATTCGTGGATTTGTTTGTGGAGTTTCTGCACTGGACACTGCAGGGACCGAGGCAGGAGTGAGTAAGATGTGTCCATGGGAGGTCTGTGGCTGAGCAGGCAGAGGAAACGTGGCATGAATAATATGACCCTCATCAGACTGTGCAGTGGAGCCCTAGAGGACAGAGAGAGCTTCTCAGGGTGTGTGTGTGTGTGTGTGTGTGCGTGTGTGTGTGTGTGCATGTGTGTGCATGCATGTGCATGCATGTCAAGGACAGAAAGGCAGGAATTGAGAGGTGCTGAGTGACAAGAGTGTCACAACATGTGACAGGCAGGCTGGTGTTGGGGGTGGGGTGCCTTAGAGGATCAGCGTTTCAGTGAATGCCAGTTAGAAAACCACCTACGACTGTACTGAACCAGCCTCCTCCTGGTGCTTCCAGACAGTGTGCCTGGTGTAAAGAGAGCTCACCCACCAGCAGCTGGAAGGCCTGCAGGAAACAGAGGCCTCCGTCCAAGGAGGGAGTCAAGAATCTGGATTCTAGTCCTGCCCCCTCGTGGCCCTCGACAAGTCCCTTCTCCTCCCTGGGGCTCTGTTTTCTTGAACTGGTCTCTCTGTGTGTATGCATTTCCAGACTGCAAGAAAAGTGTCTGGGGCTCCTCCAGCAATAAGGGTCAGTAACTGGCAGCAGGATGGGGCTCCGCAGGGGAGAGGCCGACGGTGCCCCCTACTTCCCAGATCCCCTCTGCTGGGTGGGCCACCCATTCTCCAGCTGGTATAATTGTTCATTGCTAAAGGCTCACATCTCCTCCCTTCTGGGAGTTTAAGTAACACCGCTCCAACCCTACAGCCAACAACTGATTGGCTAGGGGTATAAGAGGCCGGTCCCCTGGCTTCAAGGGGGGACCAGGTCTGTACACCTGAGCAACCCCCCAACTCCACATGGAAACACAAAATCACTCCCCTCTGTTCCTGCCATGGGGGGACCACTCACCCCAGGACCTGGGACTGCAGCTCTGAGCTTCCAGCTGTGCTTTGCCCTCTTGCGCTGCCGGAGCTCCCCAGAGACAGCGCTGGGAAATCAGCACATCTTTACAACATTCGACTTTGGATCTTCTCCCTCCTGGACCCACGCCCTGCTTCATGCCCCGGTTGCATGGAAGCTGTCAAAGTCCTTCCCCCTCCCGCCAAACCCCGGCAGGTGAAAATCTTAGTGCCCTTCTTTATGTCTCTCCTTGACAGTTGTAAATTTCCTTTGGCAAGGGAAATGTTGATAATTTAATCTGTTTTCAGGGCATGACTGATGGAGTGAAAGTGGTTGTAATCGTCTTAGATCCTGGGAGTGGAGTAAGAAGTTGAACCTTTTGAAAGAGTTCTTTTAATTCTGGAAAATTTCAAGCACTCACAAAAGTAGAGAGAATGGTTCCATGACACCCCTGTGCCCATTCGCGAGCTACAGCCACCATCAGCAGCTCTTGGCCAATCTTATTCTCCCCCAGAAGTAAGCAAAACTCAGATATCTTCCCATTTTATTTGTAAGCATTTTAGTATTTATCTCTAAAAGATATGGACTCTTTAAAAAAAAAGTGTGACCACATGATCAGAACAAAAAAATTAAAACCGAGTCCTGGTGCTCACTGAGGTCTATTTACGCTCAGAGTTTAACCCTGCAGCCCCACAGAGCTCTGTTGAACATTTGGAAACTAGTCTTTTAAAGGGCCGGGCGGTGGCTCATGCCTGCAATCCCAGCTCTTTGGGAGACCAAAGTGGGAGGATCACTTGAGCCAAGAGCTTGAGACCAGCCTGGGCAACATAGCGAGACCTCATCTCTACAAAAATTCAAAAATTCAAAAATGAGCCAGGTGTCTTGGTCCCTGTCTATGGTTCCAGCTGCTCGAGAGGCTGAGGTGGGAGCATCACTTGAGTCCAGTGAGCTGTGATCACACCACTGCACCTCAGTCCGGGCAACACAGTGTGACCCTGTCTCAAAAAAAAAAAAAAAAAAAAAAGAGGAAAGGAAAAAAGAAACTACTTTCATAGAGCAGTGGTCCCCAACCGTTCTGGCACTGGGGACCAGTTTCGTGGAAGACAATTTTTCCATGGGCCGGGGTGGGGATGGGGGATGGTTCTGGGATGAAATTAGTCCACCTCAGATCATCAGGCATTCGATTCTCATGAGGGTACCACTTAGATCCCTTGCATGTGCAATTCATAATAGGGCCCGTTCTGCTTTGAGAATCTATTGCTGCGGCTGATCTGACAGGAGGCGGCACTCAGGTGGTAGGTCATGCTTGCCTGTTGCCCCTCACCTTCTGCTGTGAGGCCTGGTTCCTAACAGGCCACAGACTGGTATAGCTCCATGGCCTGGGGGTTGGGGACCCCTGTTGTGGGGGACAAGCTTAACCCTAGGAGTCAGAAAAACCTGTTCTTATCTAGTTTTTGGTACTTACCGGGTATCAAATAACTAGTCGGAGCTTCAGTTTCTGATTATCTCACAAATGTCTTGTTACTTTTGATTTGTTCAAATCAGGATCCAGGATCCAGGCATGGCCCACAAATTGCATCTGACAGAATCAGTTGCCACATCTTGTGCCCTGATCTTTCCATGAGCACGGTGCTGCTCTGGGAAGTGTGAAGGTCTTCCGTGAGGCTGTTCTGGTGGAGGAGGTGTGGAGTGGGCTCCAGTGACCCCCAGATCCCATGACCCCCAGATCCAGTGACCCCAGATCCAGCGACCCCCAGGTACCACAACCCCCAGATCCAGGGACCCCCAGATCCCACAACCCTCAGATCCTGTGACCCCCAGATCCCATGACCCCCAGATCCCACAACCCCCAGATCCCGTGACCCCCAGATCCTGTGACTCCCAGATCCTATGACCCCAGATCCAGTGACCCCCCCGATCCAGTGACCCCCAGATCCAGCAACCCCCAGATCCCACGACCCCCAGATCCAACAAACCCCAGATCCAGCAACCTCCAGATCCCACAACTCCCAGATCCAGCAACCCCCAGATCCCACAACTCCCAGATCCAGCAACCCCCAGATCCCACAACCCCCAGATCCAACAACCCTCAGATCCCACAACTCCCAGATCCAGCAACCCCCAGATCCTGTGACCCCCAGATCCAGCGACCCCCAGATCCAGCGACCCCTAGATCCCGCCTTGGGCTCTTCCTTTTCCATCTGGCTTCTCTCTCCACATCGCTCTGCTGAGGGTGGACAGGGAAGCGCGAGGCAGAGCCAGCGGCTGTACAGATAGTCCCTGATGCCAGGACTGACTGACTTTGACTTGCTGAGCACAGCATAGCACTTCAGAGCTGACTCTGCATCTGGGATGCCTGAGTTCAAATCTTGATTCTACCTCTTAATGTTGTGTGACCTTGGGCAAGTTATTTGACTTTGGTGGGCCTCAGTTTTCCCCTCTATAAAATGGGGATAATAGTACCCATCAAGTTGCTGGAGGGTTAAATGAGTTAGAATATGTAAAATGCTTAAAAGCAGCGCCTCACACGTGTCAGTGGCCGTGCCTAATTATTTTAGTTGCTGTGTGCTTCCGGGGTCGCTCGTGCTCAGCTGTCATGCATGTTCAATGTGGCATAGACTTCGATGTCACACACACAATCAGGCAAAAGGCCACTCACCCCTCTCAGACCTGCTGGACTATGCAGGCTTCCCCTGAGGGGTAGGGGGCCAGGCTGAGCAGCAGCCAGTAGCTTTGAGAGAGACCTGTTTCTTCTGAAGGCACTTGCCTGCCCACTGTAATGCTGAGACACGTGAGGCCAATAATCACTGTCATTGGTTGCCTTGCACCCGTTCATCACCCACGACTTTAGCTCCTCAAACATGGGGTGAGTGTTTTTCCAGGACCAGTGCTTTTTTGCTGAGTAGGAAGACAGCCCCCCACCCCCCTGATACCCTTGTTCATTAACTGATCCGTTCATTGATAAAACAGCTAATGAGCACTTACTTGGGCCAGGCGCTGTGTGACATGCTGGGGATCCAGGAGTGGGCAAGAGGCTGCCCCTGGCCTTGAGGAGCTCAGAATTTGTGGTAGTCAGAGCAATGGCACCTCAACAATGTCCACATCCCTAGAATCTGTGAATACGTTACCTTATGCAGTGAAAAGGGCTTTGCAGATGATTAAGTCAAAGTTGTTGATAGGGATAGATTATTCAGTGGGCCCAATGTATTCCCAAGCGGGAGGCAAGAGGGTCAGAGTGAGTGGAAGAGCTTGGCAGGTGGAGGCCAAGGTCCCAAGCCAAGCAAGGCAGGTGGCCTCTAGAAGCTGGAAAAGGCAAGGAAGCGGGGCCTCCCTGGAGCCTCCAGAAGGAACTCAGCCCTGCCGACACCTGGATTTTAGGACCTCTGACCTCAGAACTGTCTAATAATAAGTCTGTGTTATGTTAGGCCACTAAGTTCATGGTAATTTGTTACAGCAGCAATAGGGAAAGAATATGAAGTCCATTGAATAAGATGAACAGGGAGACAGGTAACTGTGCTGTGGACGGGTGAGTGATGTGATACTGAGATGTGGGTGTGGCGAGAGCCTGGAGGAGTTCCCCTAATCTAGAAGGGGTTGGGGGATGAGGCCAGATAAGGCTTCCTGGAGGAAGTGGTATCTAAATGAAGGTCTGAAGTGGGGTTGGGAGCTAAGCAGGACAAATAGGAGGGTTGGAAGCAGGCAGAGAGCAGCCTTCCAGGCAGATGGAGCTCACGGAGACTCAGGATGGCTCGGGGTCAAGTGTAAGTGGAGGGTGAGGAGGGATGGGGCTGGAGAGGTGAACTGCTACATCTCCAGGGCTTTGTAAGTGTTGCTAGAGCATTTGGACTTTAGCCCAAGGGCAAAGGAGAGCCTGAATAAGTTTAGGCAGAACAGTAACATGATGACTTTGTACTTTAGAAAAATCCCTCTGGCTGTCATCTAGTCAAGAGATGCATGGGGCAGGCTCAGAGCTGGGGACGTGGCAGGAGGCTGACGCCTGATGTAGGTGAAGGGTGACGTGGTTCAAAGGTGGTGTGGTTCAAAGATGCAGGTGAAAAGTGATGTGGCTCAAAGGAGGAGGATAAGGAGAGTGGACTCAGTTGAGAAACCAGAGCAAGGAGAATCAGTGGAGGATGATTCTGTGTGGCTTAGAGAGAGGGGAAACCAAGAATGATGCTTGGGTTCAGTCTTGGGTGGCCCAAAGTCTATAGGGACGTCAACTGACATCAGGAACACAGGAGGGGAAATGGCTTGAGTTGGAAGAGAAGATGTAAATTCCTTTTTGTGAGACAAGAAAGTAGATGCTGAGGCTGTCTCAGCAAAAGAGATCTGGGTGGAAGACAGTGATTTGAAAACTGTCAGGATGGTGATAGATGGCTAATGTGAGCTCCATGAGAACAGAGATCTTGGCTAATGTCTGGTGTCTCCAGAGCTTACACAGCACACACCCAATCAGCACTTGCTGAATAAAAGATGAAATGAACCTGAAGTGGTGGATGAGATCATGTAGAGAGTAGGTAGTGTACACAGAGGAAATCTATGGGTAGGCAACATTTAAGAAATGGAGAGAGCTATTATTAAAACAAGGATTTTTAAAAGCCTATTGATTTTGGTGACAAGGTCAATGCAATAACCTTACAGAGAGTGATTTCAATGGGTTGAGTGACAGTGAGGAAAATAAAGGAGAGGAGAAAAATTAACCTGCAGCTGAAGGGTTTTAGGGGGTATAGATAGGGCTTTTTAAACTGGGAGAAAATTAAATACATTGAATTTGCATTTTCAAAATTACAAATTTAAATGAGCAGAACTGTAACTGAGGCAGACAAATTCTAAGGCGGTCCCAATAACCCTTCCCTTTGAGTGTGGGTAGCACCTGTGACTTGCTTCTAACCAGTAACCTATTGCAAAGGTGATGGGGTGGCACTTCCATAATTATGTTGTTATATAAATCTTCATCCTGCTAGTCAACTTGCTATAGGGATCACTCCCCAGCTGGTTTCAAACAAGTAAATGTCCATGTTATGAGGCTCCCTTGGCAAGGAGCTTAGCACAGCCTCTAGGGGCTGAGGGTAATGACAGTCAGAAAGAAGCTATGGCCCTCAGTCCCAGAGTTTCAAGAAAATGAATTCTGCCATCAACCTGAGTGAGCTTGGAAGTGGATTCTTCACCAGTTGAGTCTCCAGATAAGAGTGCAGCCCAGCCGCCATCTTGAGTGCAGCTTTGTGAAGCCCTAACCAGGGGACCCAACCAAGATGCACCTGTATCTGACCACAGAAATCGTGAGGTAATATATATGTGTGTGGCTTTAAGCCATTAAGTGTGTGGTCATTTATTGTGCAGAAATAGATAGCTAATATAGTAACTTTTTAATTTATTTTTTTCCCACTTAAAAAAATGGAGGCAACAACATACAGTAAAGTGCACAGGTGTGTCCAATTTGGTTAATTTTTATCTATGTATACACTCATGCAGCCATAACTCAGATCAAGATATGAAGATCTGCACTGCCCCAGGAGGCTACCTCACACTCCCCTCCCCTGCTGCTCCCAAGGGCCAACAACTGTGCTGACTTCTACTACCATTAGTGTATCTAAACCGTTCTTGAAATTCCTATCACTGGAATAACCCAGGATGTGCTCTTTTCTATTTGTCTTCTTTCACGTAGACATTCATTCGTGTGTTAGATGTATTGGTAGTTTGTTCTTTTTATTTATTCCTTTTTAACGAATATAGAACAGTTTATTTACCTCTATGGTTGATGGACATTTCAGTGGTTTCAAGTTTTTGCCTATGATAAATAAAGCTGTCATCAAAATCTCTTGTCCATGTCTTTTAGTGATTTCTGTTGGGTCCATATCCAGGAATAAAATTGTTGGGTTATACTGAATGTGTATGTTTAGCTTTAGTAGATATTGCCAAACATTTTTTTCCAAAGTGGTTGTATTAATTTTTACTCCCACCAGCAATGTATAAGAAGACTAGCTTCCCAAGCTAATCAACACTTCTATAGTCAGTCTTTTAAATTTTTAGCCATTCTAGTGTGTTGCGGTATCTCATTGTAGTTTTAATTTCTATTTCTCTAAGGACTAATGATGTTGAGCACATTTATTGGCCACTTCTATATCTTCTTTTGTGACATGTCTGCTCAAGTTCTTTGCCCATTTTAAATTGAGCTCTCTTTTATGTATTTATTTATTTAATTTTATTTATTTATTTTTTTGAGACAAGAGTCTCACTCTGTTGTCCAGGATGGAGCACAGTGGCACAATCTCAGTTCACTACAACCTCTGCCCCCCAGGTTCAAGTGATTCTCTTGCCTCAGCCTCCCAGGTAGTTGGGATTACAGGCACATGCCACCATGCCCAGCTAATTTTTGTATTTTCAATAGAGACGAGGTTTCACCATGTTGGCTAGGCTGGTCTTGAACTCCTGACCTCAGGCGATCCAGCCACCTTGGCCTCTCAAAGTGCTGGGATTACAGGCATGATGAGCCAGTGCACCTGGCCTACTTATTATTTTTAGGAGTTATTTATATGTTCTGCACATGAGACCTGTGTCAGATATGATGCATTTCAAAATTCTCTCCCAGTATATGTTTTGCATTTTCACACTTACAATGTGATTTTTGATAAACAGAGCTCTTAATTTTTAATAAACTCCAATTTCTTTTATGGTTTTTATGTCTTTTGTGGTTAGTGTTTTTTGCATTTCTAGTTTAGTAAATCTTTGCTTATCCCCAAATAATATTTTCCTATGTTTTCTCTTAGAAGCTTGCTTTGTTATAAAATTTAGATCTGTGACTCATCCTGAATTAATTTTTATGTACGGTGTGAGGTAGGAATTAAGGTGCATTTTTTTCTATGCCAATATCTAATTGCTTCAGCACCATTGATTAAAAAGAACGTCATTTATCCACTTAATTATGGGTGTCTTTGCCATAGATCAAAGGACTGTATGTGAGGGTCTGTTTCTGAGCTCTCTATTTTATTCCATTGGTCTTTTTGTCTATTTTTGGGCTAAAACTATGCTGTCTAAATTATTGCTAAGTAGTAAATCTTGAAATCAGGTTGTTTAAATCCTCCAACTTTGTCTTTAAGTTTTCTTGTATTTTTAAAGATCCTTTGAATTTCCATATGAATTTTAGAATTGACTTGTCAATTTCCCCAAAATAAACTGCTAAAATTTTGAATGGAATCATATTGAATTTATAGATAAATTTTGAAAATCAATGCCATTTTAACAAACTTGAGCTTCTCAGTTCATGAACATAGGATATCATTTCATTGACTTAGATCTTTGTTAATTTCTCTTAGTAACATTTTGTAGTTCTCAGCGTTCTTTTTCACAGAAATTATATCTCTACCTCCCATTTACTCTCAGTAGTGGTAGAAAACTTAATTTTGCCAATTGAGGATAACTCAGTCACTTCCAATGACTTCCAGTCCATAAGCCCTTAGCCCTCATCTGTCCTTGCTAGCCTCTGCTGAGGTATAGTTTGTCCTTGCTGTTCTCTCAGTGGTGGCCACTGTCCCCACTCTTATTTGCTGCTCATATTTGTTATAAAGTTATAGTCTCACGTAATCCACATTGCACATCTGGCCACTGGCCAGCTCAGGAAACACAGAGAGCTTTCTCACGCTTGGACTGATACACTACATGGGAATGCAGGACTATTGTGTCACCAGGCACAGTCCCCAGCCATCTTTATGTTGTGGCTCCATGCTGTCTGAATATGGGACATCTCTAGTGACCTTGTAGTCTCTAATTCCTCTTAATGGACCTGTGGTTTTTGGCCTACACACTTCCTGAGGGATTTGGTCAGCAGAGGAGAGAGGGAAGCAATCCCAGCTTGGGGCTAACCTCTCTCTTTTTCTCCCTCTCTCTCCCCCAACTCCTCCCCTCAGTTCTGAAATGTCTCTAGTCTCCTTTATATGGCAAGAAAACTGGTCCTAAATCTTCAAGTACATTTCCTCCAACTCTATACTTAATGATCTTAAACTGAAAGCTCTAAATCCTCGAGTCTCCTTTCTTGATTGTAAAAGCCAAAGCTTGTTGTACCCCTTACACCAACTCTGCACTGGCATGATCCTGAGAGTGAATGTCCCCTTGAATGGCACCTCCCTTGCCCCACCCTCATTCCAGTGTTGTGGTCACGGCACTTAGCTACCACGTGGACCACCCTTCCTTTGGGAAGACTTCACAGAAGGGGCAACGTTTAAATAGGGCCTTAAAGGAGGAGGGGGAGTTTGTTGGGTGAAGAAGAAGTGAGTGTGTTGAGGAATGCAGCCCTGCCTTAGTTTTGGGGATGAAGAAACAGAAGGAAGGAGGAAAAGGGGTTGGTGGGAAGCACTTAGGTTTGTACTAAGGGGAGACCAAGTGGTGAGAACACGGACTCTGACGTCACATGGAACTAGGTTTGGATCCCAGTTTTGCTCCTAACTAGCTCGGTGGCCTTGGGCATATAATTTAACACCTTTAAGCTTCAGTGTCCTTAGTTGTGGAGTGGGGATATGAAGGCATGTTTGTTTGAACCGAGATGGGGACAGAGTAAGTGTAAGGATTACACCACACAGAGCGAGGCACCCAGAGGTGCCCTTTTGTGACAGTGGGATAGTTACCCAGGTCCTCTGATAAACATGGGATGACCCTTGGAAGCCCCTGAGGTTAAAAAGAAAAAGTCATTGCAACAAGACCAGCTCAAAATTTAAGCCACATGGTTTATTTCCTTCTGTGGTGTGGATGAGACAAGCCATCTCATCTACCAGGCCTGGTGAACACCAGGCTGACAGTGTCTCCTTGTCCCCTGGAGACGAAGCCCAGGTCCTGTGGTAACCTTCTGTGGTAGCCTTGTCCTTGGGCTATGGGGGTGGGGAAGGGAGTGCTGAGAGGCACAGGGAGGTCCCAAACTGCCACTGCTGTGCCCCTGTCGATGCTGACTGTGGTGGTGCCTCAGGAGTGGGCTGGCGGCAGCTCTCCCCTGCAACCTCCCCTCCATTGGGAGATGGTAGGGGGTGGGGGGCGGGGCCAATGCTGACTTCATATTACAGACAAGGAAAATGAGGGTTTCCAGGAAGCAGGGGGACAATGCCTGGCCTAGACCCAGGACTTCAGGGAGCCTGGGGAGCTGGAAGGGCCTGATGAACCTTATCTGGTTCAACACTCTAGTTTCCAAATAGGAAACCTGAGTTCCATGGATGTGGCAACAGATGACAAAGGACAGAGCTGATCTTGGGGCCAGGAGACCTGCGGCCAGGCCACTACCCTGCTGTGAGGCCTTGGCCTGGTATCGGCACCTCTGTGGAATGCCAGAGTCAGACTCTTCCATTCTGGAGGATTCCGGGCTCTCTGACCTTCCCGAGGCCCGAGGGTCAGGGCAGGCCTCGAACCTGAGTCTCCAATGAGGCCAGGATTTCCCCAATGAGCAGAGAAATGCTTAGATGCACAAGGTGGGTGTCCTGGAAGGGTGACAGGGCTCAGGGAGCTGAAGGACACACACCCCTGACGTCAGCCCGGTGTCTTTTAGAAAGAAAGCACTGGGGAAAGTGTGGGAGAGATGTCCCTGGGGACACTTCACTCAGATGCCGGAGTATGTGTAGATGTGGTGAGGGAGGGCAGCTGGGATGGGGCTGGCCCCTGATGAACAAGGTGGGGGTGGGGAGAGGCTGGGCCCAGAGGGAAAAGGCTGGACTCCACCCGCAGGTGCCACATCTGCTACTCAGACGACTCCTTGGGCATATGCCACATTGTCATAGGCAGGGGGCGCAGAGGCTGCCGGGCTGGGGATGTTGAAGTCTGCGCTGAAGGCGTTTGGCAGGAAGATCACAGGCTGCAAAGAAAACAGCACTGAGCGTCCTGGAGGACGCTGGAGCTTCAGGGTAGTGGTTCAATAGTGCCCCCTTGTGGGTAATCTGAGAACAGCGCCCTGGTACTGAATTCCGCAAGTCTGAATCGCATGCTCAGGGCTCTCCGTGCAACCAATATTTCAAACAACATTTACTGGGGCCAGCTATGATCCAGGCATTGGGAGTACAGCAGTGAACAAAACAGACAAAAGTCCCATTTCTCCAGGCGCTAACGTTCTGCTGTTCTTTTTTTTCTTTTCTTTTTTTTTTTGAGACAGAGTTTTGCTCTTGTTGCCCAGGCTGGAGTGCAATGGCGTGATCTCGGCTCACTGCAACCTCCGCCTCTTGGGTTCAAGCTATTCTCCTGCCTCAGCCTCCCGAGTAGCTGGGATTATAGGCGCCTGCCACCATGCCCAGGTAATTTTTTGTATTTTTAGTAGAGACGGGGTTTCATCATGTTGGCCAGGCTGGTCTTGAACTCCTGACCTCAGATGATCTGCCCGCCTCGGCCTCCCAAAGTGCCGGGGTTACAGGCATGAGCCACCACGTCCGGCTCTGCTGTTCTTTCTCTCCCGACTGCCCTGGCCTGGTTCAGGACTTCGCTCTCTCTTGCCTGCACCGTGGCACCAGCCTCCTTGCAGCTTCCTGGCCTCGAGCCCCGCTTGTCCACCCTCTCCACCTTCCGGCACTGGACAAATCCTCTTGACTGATTTCCCTCAACCAGCTCACTCCCCTGCTCAGACCTTCAATCCCCTCACCCTCAATGCATCCCATCGTGCACCTGCCAAGGGCACCCCACCCTGTGGCCTGCATTTGCCTGCCCGAGGCAGCCTTTGCTCCAACTGGTTCCCCTGCCTTGAACACTCCCTCCAGCCCCTTTCTGTCATCACTGTCCTCCATTTTTTTTGGAAATCAAAGCTTAATTTCCATCTCTATCATGCTGCCCTCCCTGATGCCCCTGTCTCCCATGTGGCCTGGGAACTCCAAAAAGTCTCACTCCTCTGGGTGCAGCACTGCCCCCATGCCCTGAGCCTGGGCCTTCTATTCTGCAAGGCTGCCTGTGGGGCTGCACAGAGCAGTGGCCCTGTGGGTGCTGGTGCACCCAGTGCCACGGGGAGAGCAGTCCTGTCTTCACTGACCTGCGAAGACGTCTTTGGTTTTGTTTTGGTTTTAGAGACAGCCTTCCTCTGTCACCCAGGCTGAAGGGCAGTGGTGTGATCATAGCTCACTGCAGCCTCAACCTCCTGGGCTCAAGCGATCCTCCTGCCTCAGCCTCCCAACTAGCTAGGAGTACAGGCACGTACCATCACACATGGCTAATTAAAAATACATTTTTTTTTGTAGCGATAGGATCTTTTTATGTTGCCCAGGCTTGTCTCAAACTCCAGGGCTCAAGAGATCCTCCCATCTCATTTTTCAAAGTGCTGGGGTTATGGGTGTGAGTCACCATGCCCAGCCCAAAGACTTCTTTGGGCCCCCTGACATGGATGGGACACCCTTCCTAGCGCTGTCTCTTCTTATTGCTTCCCAGAGTGCAGAGGGAGGGGTCTGGAGGCAGAGCGCGCTCCCAGCCAACTGCCTTCCACACAGGCTCAGCTCAGGTTTAGTGGACGTGGGGGTGGGGGTGGGGGTACTCACTGCACTGGCCTGGGCATGGATGGCTTGGCACCCGAAGTGCATGGCAATGACCGCTGTGAAGAACTCCAGGACAGTGAAGATAGTAAGCACGGCCAGATAGCCCCTGTCCACATCCTGGGGACCAAAACCCACAGAAAGGTGAGCCCAGAGTTCTAGAGTAAGGGGGTCCCCCGAGTGAGAACCACTTGCCCAAGGTCATGCGGCTAGTTGGGAGCAGAGCTGTGCCTGGAGCCAGTCCCCCTGCCGCCAGTCCTGCACCCTCCCCTTCACCCTGCAGGCTGCCTCCTTGCTCCTTCTGATGCCTATCTTGGGGAAGGCTCAGAGGATCCATGGATTCATGGGGTCTATAGGGACTGGCAGGCCCTGCCAACGTCCTGGCGCTGCAAACTCTCACCTCCCTACCCTCCTGGACATGGCTGCATCATTTTCCAAGTTTTCCCACCCCGAGGGCCATCTGACAACGCACCCGGTTGGTAACACCAAAATCCATGAGCAGAATGGCTGTCCCAGCAAAGGCCGCCATGACGCTGAGGATGTTGGTGCCCAGGCTGCTCCTCACCTGCAGAGAGCAGAGAGACAGGAGCAGAGGGAATAGGCAAAGAGAAGGAGAAAAGGCAGGGGCTGTGGCTCAGCTGCCCAGCCCCCAGCACGCTGCCTCCCACAGCCAAGGAGGCAGTGGCCACACCACCCTGCACACAGCTGTGTTCTCATTGACTGCTCCCCTTTTCTCTTCTCCTCCCCTGGGACCTCGGGAGGAGGTCTTGTTGTCTCTCTTTCCTTCTCTCGTCTTCTTGGAAGCTGCTAGGGAGAAGGGCACCACCTCCTTTACAGCCTTTCTGGGTGGAGTTTGCAGCCTCCAGCTTACCCCGTACTGTGGCTCCCTCTCCCCCAGGCCCAGCACCTCGCAGGAGAAGCTGCAGCTGAGGCCTGCTCAGGGGCATGGGTTGGGGGAGGCTCTTTGCTGTGGACACTGAGGCCTGGTTGGGAGAGGGGTTGAGTTCATTTCTATGAGGTTCCAGGAAGTGGCTGGCGGAGTGAGGCACTGCAGACACTGGTGGGGCACCAGGCAGGGGAGACAGGAGAGGCAGGAGCTGAAGGTCTGAAGTCTGGGTGGGCTGAGAGGCCTAGGACTCCAGGGTCTAAAGAGCGTGCAGGGCAAGTGACTCCTGGGGTGGTCCAGGCAGCCACCCAGGGGTCACCATCCCCGTGCAGCCCGAACCTGACGGTCTCGTGACCCGTAGCTGGAGCCTTCTGGTTAAACTGCCCCAAGGGGAAACATTCATGGGTGGGCTGGGGACTCTAGGACCTCTTCAGGTTTAAAGACCCCTGATTCTTCTTTTTAAATGGCAATCAGGAGGTCATTGAGATCAGAACAGCCTCACAAGAAATCCATTAATTGATTAAGCCAAAAGCTTTTATTGAGCACCTACTGCATGCCAGGCACTATGCAAAGTGCTGTGAGTCCAGGAGAGAGTAAGTCAGGTCTTGTCCTCCTGGAGCTCACAGCCCGGGGGACACTGGGTTTGGTCCGGAGAGTCCTCGCTTCTAGTCCTGCCCCTCCACAACCCATTCTCTGCCCAGCACCTGGGATACCTCTCAAGTATGGAAACAGGGCAAGGAATTCCCTGCTGAAGCCTCTGTGGTCTCTCATTGTCCTTAAAACAAATCCTGAACTTGGCATTTAGGCTCTGAGTCACCTCCCCGGCCTCTCCCTCTCGGCCCACCCCTTGCCTGTGATGGTCCAGCACTCTGGTCCCCTGTCCAGCCATGGCGTTTCCCGACCGGGCTCTTCCGTGGTTGTTGCCCTCTGAACTGTGAAGACTCGGTTCCGTGATACCTGCTCAGGGACTCCAGACCGTCCCAGCTGAGCTTAGAATGACTCATATTATCCTGCCTGCTTCCTTTCAGCACTTCTCATGCTTGGCAACCATCTTTGTTAGTTTGCTTTACGGGTGTCTACAAGGCACCAGAAGATAAATGCCATGACCTTCACTGCTATGTTCATGACCTTCGCTGCCGTGTTCATGATCTTCATTGCCGTGTTCTCTGAGCCTGACATAAAGCTCATACCCTCCTGTTCAAAGCCTCCATCGCCTCCCAGTGCCTGCAGAAGGCACCAAGCCCTCCACAATCCAGCCCCATCATGGGATTAAATCTCTCTGTCTGATTTCTTTCCACTTTCCTTCTCCTACCTTTGCCTTCGTTGGATGGAGCCAGGCGTGGTTTCAGTGGCGACCCTGCCCACACTCCTCCGTGCATTCTCCAGCTTTCCCTGTGGTATTTCTAAGTCCTCTCTGCTCACCAAGGCCCAGCAGGACTCTTACAGGAGATCTTCTAGCATCTTTCCTTTCTCGGAATGACCATGAGCATGGACCTCACTTTCCACCCTGGCTTGTGTATTGAAAGAGTATCCCTGTCTTCTTCTCCTGGACATGCACAGTCTGCGTCTGGTCTGCCTGGGTGGTGCCCCTCCCCTGGCACTTTGCAGGTCCCCTGAAGTGCTGGGGAATGAGCTGAAGGAGTGAGTGGATGGGAGGGGCAGGGTAGAGTGAGATTTAGCTGTGGCTTCATCCCCGCCCCTGGGTCCCCCTGTTCACACTCACCAGGCAACTGGTGTGGTTCTTCTCGGCTGCCACTGAGAGGGATCCGGAGATGATGAACTGTATGGGGAGAGGGGACCAGGTGAGGCCTCAGCCAGGACCCTGGGCAGGGCAGACCCTGCTTGGGATCTGTCAAGAGGTGCCAGGGAGAGACAACAGCCTCCTGATGCCACTTTCTCTGCCAGGCAGGCACCTTGGGGTCTCTCGGCAGGGGTGTCCCCTGTCCAGAGAACTAGGGCTGTGGCTTACAAGGTGAGTGTTTTCATTGACGTCATATCATCAGGGCCTCATGGGGAAGGCATTGTTCCTTCAAACATTCACTCATCAAACATTTACTGAGTGAGGCTGAACTGAGTGAGCTCATGCCTGTAATCCCAGAAGTTTGGGAGGCCGAGGTGGGAGGATCTCTTGAAGTCAAGAGTTCAAGACCAGCCTGGCCAACATGGTGAAACTCCAGTCTCTACTAAAAATACAAAAATGAGCTGGGCAGAGTGGCGTGCACCTGTAATCCCACCTACTCGGGAGGCTAAGGAGCAAGGATCACTTGAACCTGGGAGGCGGAGGTTGCAGTGAGCCAAGATAGTGCCACTGCACTCCAGCCTGGGGGACAGAGTGAGACTCTGTCTCAAAACAAAAAACAGAAAAACCAAATATTTTCTGAGTGGCAGTTATGTGCCAGGAACATAACAGAGTTGAATAAGGCAGACCAGATCTCTGCCCTCAAGGAGCTTTTTTTTTTTTATTTTATTTTCTAAGATGGAGTCTTGCTCTGTCACACAGGCTGGAGTGCAGTGGCATGATCTCGGCTCACTGCAACCTCCGCCTCCCGGGTTCAAGTGATTCTCCTGCCCCAGCCTCCCAAGTAGCTGGGACTACAGACGCCCGCCACCACACCCAGCTAATTTTGGTATTTTTAGGAGAGACGGGGTTTCACCATATTGGTCAGGCTGGTCTTGAACTCCTGACCTCGTGATCCACCTGACTTGGCCTCCCAAAGTGCTGGGATTACAGTCATCAGCCACCGTGCCCGGCCGGAACTTATATTCTAATTGGGGAAGACTGACACTTAGCAAACAGTGAAGAAAAGTACAGACAGTGGTGCTAAGAGCTGTGATGAAGTCATAGCGGTCACTGGGGCTACTCGAGGTTGGGTGGGTGTCAGGGTTGTCTCTGTGAGCTGGGATGACAACAGCCGGGCACGAGGCTATCCATAAGGATAGCCCAGGGACCTGCATCATGGCACCTATGTACTTGGCAGTCGCCTGACACACTGAGGTGGGGCTGGCCCTGCGTCTGCCGAGCTGAGAGGGTGGAGCTGAGCAGTGCTGCGCCACTCTGGGCCTGCAGCTTAGCAGGTCTGCAATTTGCAGGGGGCACTCAGCTGCCATGCTGGGGAGACCGCAGGGTCAGCGGTGGGTGGAGGAGGCCCTGGGGTGACACGGAGACAGAGGACCAGGAATGAGTCACTACAGGTCTCAAGCAGGTGTAGCTCAGCATGGTGGCCATGGGGGTGGGAAGAAGCGGACACACTCAGGCTATGCTCTGGAGGGTGATCCGGCGCGACCTGCTGCTGGGGTGGATGCGCAGCAGGGAAAGAAGATTCTAGGACAATTCTTGGGATATGTTTAGCTTTGGCAGTTGGGTGGCTGGAGGTGCCATTTGCTGAGATGAGGAGGTGATAGGAGGGATAGGGCTGGGGACAAGCCTATGGCAGGAATCAAGAGTTTCATTTTGATATACTGAGTTGCCTTTTCAGCATCAAGCGGAGTTGTCAAGAGGGCAGCTGGGTTTAGAATCCGGCTCTCTGGGCTGGAGACAGGCATGATGTCTTATTGATGAGAAAGTCAAGCCCCAGAGACAGGCAGCAACTTGCCCAGGTTCATACAGAGAAGGAGGCCTGGCTGCACCCGCATGCCGGCTGACTGCCTCTTTCCTTCCAAGTCATCCACCATCCTGGAATTCTGGGAATGTTCAACTAAGGTCTCCTTTGAGCCTCCAAGAAAAGCTATGAGCCTGCTTTCTAGAAAAATGCACATAATACCCCTGTACTTTCAGGGGTCCCCAGACATCAGTGATGTGAAGATCCAACACAATGATTAAATGTTGGAGCTCACAGGTGTCCTGTCAGGATCTCCCGACGCTCATGTCTCCTGAGATTGAAAATCAAGTTTTTGCTTTTGTTCCTTCCCCCATTTTTGAAGCTTTACTGGGCATATTTGTGATAAAGCCTGGCAGGAGGGGGCTCAGAGGGGAAAGTGACCCCTTTGTTTCTTCCTGTTGTGATTTCTCCCCATGGGTTCTCCCGATTGCAAAATTTTCCTCCACCTTCAGGTCAGGGGGACCATTCAAAGTGCCAGAGCTTGTCCCCAAGGATGGCCAGGTGACCATCCTGATCTGGTTGTGATGTGTCAGCCATTTGTCCTCCCTGAACCCCATTCTGGTGGATTTTGTGCTCTTGCTGGAGGCAGCCTGGGCAGGGGAAGAAAGTCACTGTGCCTCGGTTCTGGAACCAACACTCACACAATGGAGACCCCTTTTATGCAAATCTCTGGCTTTCTCTCGAAAAAGGACTTGCTCAACAGTCACCATTTGGTGCAGAATTTTAGCGTTAGTAATCCACTCACCATGCACATTATCTCTCGATTTCCTCTGCAAACTATGAGGTAGGCAGGGCCAGATCTATGAGCCCAAGTTTTAGATGAGGAAGTTGAGTATCGAGATTCAGTGACGTGCCCAAGGGACTCCATCTTAACATGCGGTGAAGCTGAGATTCAGACCCCGTTGACCTGACCCTGAGGCCTGTGCTTCCTTGGGGCGGCTGGAGGCTCTGGTGATGTATTGATGGGGGTGCAAACACCAAGGTTCACGGTATACACTCAAGTGCCCTTTAATGTTGGCAGTGACAAGGACTCACCTGCCTGTTTTCCGGCACGGGTGAGTGGCCAGTTTGGCCGGAAGGAGGTCAAAGGAATGGGCTCAGGGGCTTCAGAGCTGGTTGGACTCCCAGGGGACAGAGCTCCTGGAGGGCTGGGACCCAACTCAGGGAGCTAGAGGGTTTCTGCGGGAGGGGTTTGGTTGCAGGGTGAGGCTTAGGATCTGGGCAGTGCAGGTGGTTTGGACCCAGCCCTGATGCCCTCCATCCCTTTTTTTTTCTTTTTGAGATGGAGTCTTGCTCTGTTGCCCAGGCTGGAGTGCAGTGGCAAGATCTCAGCTCACTGCAACCTCCGCCTCCCGGGTTAAAGCGATTCACCTGCCTCAGCCTCCCAAGTAGCTGGGATTACAGGCATGCACCACCGTGCCCGGCTAATTTTTGTATTTTTAGTAGAGACGGGGTATCACCATGTTGGTCAGGCTGGTCTCCAACTCCTGACCTCAAGTGATCTGCCTGCCTCGGCCTCCCAAAGTGTTGGGATTACAGGCATGAGCCACCGTGCCCCGCCTTTCCCGTCCTTTTTGGCAGCTTCTCTGGCTGTTTGCTGGGAGCTTTTGATCCTCAGGGGTGGGGTCAGGCTCAAGTTTATGGTGAGCGTTTCCGGCAAGGAGTTAGATTTAGACTCTAGTTCTTCTAGGAAGTGCCTCCAGGCCCCCACCTAGGAGAGGCTGTGCCCAGGAGGATGGTGGGGGTGGGCGCGTGGGGGAGAGGTGAGCCTGGGCAGCATCCCCCTACCCTCCCTCTCCATGGCCCCGGCACTCACGCAGGCTCCTCCCCAGAAGGGGACGCCGCCCTCGATGAAGAAGATGCCCACGTGGCCGCGGCGAACCATGAGCAGCACGCTGCCAAAGCCTAGGTGGATGAGGCCGATGAGGATCTGCACCGTCTGCGGGAAGCCCCGAGGCTCAGTGCCGCGGGCCCTGTTCCACACCGCCCCCTGCCGGCCCCGCGGAGAGCGTGGCTGGCCCCGCCCTCCTCCCGCTTGTTGGCCACTGGGAAAGAAACTCAGATTCTGTTCTTTAGAGGCGATATTATTACAGAAACCAATAGACACTTTTAAGGAGAAAGCTAGTTCCCCGCAGCCTACGGGACCCACAAAGCACAGCTCTCTCAGCCAGCCTGCCTCCTGTTTTCTGCTCTGATCCATGGATCTCAAGCATCGCTGTGTCCCTACCTGGCTTTCTCAGGACTCGGTTCAATGGCCCAACATTCCCTGCACCGCATGCCTCACCTTGCCCTTCCTCATCTCCCACCACCCTGTCAATCTGCAGCGTCCATCACACAATTTCCGTGTCCATCACTGATCGTCCCAGCCCTGTGCAGCAGCTGCCTCTCAGCCTGCTGAAATCTCCAGTGGGATTTTTTCTCTTTCTAAGAGTTGGTTTACCAGCACCCTACTAGTCTATGCCCAGAAGTGGGATGGTTTTCCCAAGTGTGAGCTTCTAGTAAGGTCTGCCAAATAGCAGAAACATTGCAACGTTTTGGGTAACTATTGAATTCCGGAACTGAGTGGAAAGAGATGTTGAAGACCGCTGGAATCCAGCCCTGGGAGCCCAGGAGCCACTTCCGGCTCCGTGACTTTCACGGGGACTCCAGTGACCAGTACTCACCACTACCCAAACCAGCATGGTCCTTTTATGGGCAGTTCTGACTGGGAACAACTAGAATTGTCATGTCAGCATCACGTGGAATATATATTTCTTTCTAACATGAGTGCCAAGTATTTGGATATTCATGGACATGAGCCCCTGAATCTTCAGCTTCTTTTTCTCTTCAGCTACACGTCTTTCATCTTTTCAGTGTCCTCACAGGGCACAGCATGGCATGGTGTCCAAGTCGCCAGCGTTGCTCCCCTTCCTTAGATCTTTCCCCTGTGGATAGACCACCACAGCTACTGCCATTATGCCTTGGGAAACACCAGCTGCCGCTTATTGAATGCCTGTCTATGCTAAGCACTGTGCTGGGGGTTTTACAGATGTGGTCTCATTTAATCCTAATGAGAAGAGGTAGGTTATTACTATTATTATTATTATTTTTGAGAAGGAGTTTCACTCTTGTTGCCCAGGCTGGAGTGCAATGGCACCATCTCAGCTCACTGCAAACTCTGCCTCCCAGGTTTAGGTGATTCTCCTGCCTCAGCCTCCTGAGTAATGGGGATTACAGGTGCCTGCCACCACACCTGGCTAATTTTTGTACTTTTAGTACAAACGGGGTTTCGCCATGTTGGCCAGGCTGGTCTCGAACTCCTGACCTCAGGTGATCCACCCATCTTGGCCTCCCACAGTGCTGGGATTACAGGCGTGGGCCACTGCGCCTGGCCAGAGGTAGGTTATTATTATCCTAATTTTGGAGATGAGGAAACTGAAGGTCAGAGATGTTCAGTAACTTGCCCGAAGTGTCCCAGCTATGAGGCGGCAGGCCAGCTAAGTCTGCAGTGGTATTCTTAGCGGGTGGCATTCCATAACTCTTATTTGTATTTTCCACTTTTTTGTGCTTTTCAGCAGTTTGTTTGTCTCATCAATTTTTTTTTTTTTTTTGGAGGGGGAGAGCTCTGGTTCCCAGGGTCCGCTTTGAGGCTTCGAAATTCCAGCCGCTGTCTCCATGGGCCACAAGTCAGTGGCTGTGTGGCCCTTGGTGTCTGTGCCCCCAGTCCAGTCCCCCTCTGCACCAATGGATGTGGTGCAGCTATTAGGATAGAATTCCAGCATGATTGAGCCAGAGGTCCTGGACGCCACAAAGCAGAGGGGTTGAAAGTAGAACTTTAGGGTCAGCCATCCCTAGTTTACAGGATGCCATTTATCAGCTGTGTGGCCTTAGGCAAATGACTTAGTCTTAAGAAACCTCAGTTTCGTAATCTGTCCAACAGGAACGATGATCCCCTTCTTACAAGGTGGTGCTGAGAATCTAGTGAGATGATGCATGCAAAGTCCCCGGCACAGTACGTGCACCTCTCAGAGATGCTTCATAAGTAAGAGCTGTCATCATCTTCACCTTCATCATCATCACCATTGCTTAATCTATGCTTTCATCTTCTACTTGGAGAAACTGAGGCCAAGGAACATACTGAAGAATCTACATATGTGTGTATATAATTAAAATAGCAGGTGGCCATTAGCCTGTCTCCATAATTTGAGTTCCTACATAACAAACTGCAACCCAACCAGTACAGAAACACACTGAAACCTAACCTAGGAGTATATTTTTGTAACAGATAGCTGGGTTTCAGCTAATGACAAACAGCTTCAGCCAACTGATCAGACTATGCCCAAATAAGGCAAATGCCTCATGACATCATGCCCAAATAAGGCAGACACCTAGCTGCAGCTGATCGGGAGATTTCTCTACTTCACTTCTGTGTTTGGCCTATAAGAGCTTACTGCTCACACAGCTGGATGGAGCTCTCTGAACCTCTTCTGGTTTTGAGTGCTGCCAGATTCCTGAATTATTCTTAGCTCACATAAACTCTGCTAAATTTAATTTGTTTAAAGCTTTTCTTTTTCTTTTTTTTTTTAAATGGGGTCTCACACTGTCACCCAGGCTGGAGTGCAGTGGCATGATCGCAGCTCACTGCAACCTCCACCTCCCGGGTTCAAGCAATTCTCCTGCCTCAGCCTCCCGAGTAGCTGGGACTACAGGCACACGGCTCCACACCCAGCTAATTTTTGTATTTCTAGTAGAGACGGGGTTTCACCATGTTGGCCAGGTTGGTCTTGATCTCCTGACTTCATGATCTGCCTGCCTCGGCCTCCCAAAGTGCTGGGATTACAGGCGTAAGCCACCTCACCTGGCCTAAAGCTTTTCTTTTTAACGCTACATGTATACACACACACGTGCAAATGTGTGTATGTATCTTTCTATCTCTACCTAATATTTTATGACTTCAGTATTTTATTGAGACCAATAGCTCAAGGCCATCTGAGATTGAAATCCTTCATGTGCCTTCAGCTCTATCAGGGCTGACTTTCATCTATCACTTTCATTCCATCTCACCTCCCCCTTTCCTTTGCTCATTACATTCCAGCTATGGCGAGCTTCCACCTCTTCCTTTAACAGCCACACTCATTCCCAAGGCCTTTGCACTCTACCTGGTGAGCCCTCCCTCTCCAGCCCTTCCACTAGCTATTCCCTTGGCTGGCTTCAATCTAACAGCCAGGTTTGGGCTTAAATGTCATCTCCCCAGAGACAAGTTTCCACCTACCCTCGCTAGTATTCCCCTTAGCCCTAGTCATCATTTTCAACCTTACTTTTCTCTTTGGAGGTTTCTGAGTCATTTGTTTACTGGTTTACTCTCTGTGAACTTTATGCGGGAAGGGTGCTTGTCTACCTGGTGCATGGCTGAATCTTTGAGTCATTACTACATATTTGTTAACTGCCTTCTCCCCTCTCCAAAACATGCATGAATGTTCCGGTGCTGGGATACTCACTACCTGCCTCAGGTTGTGCAGAGAGGCTGTTCTTACCCCCAAAACTTTGGGCTCTCCTGTCAGGAATGTCTCCACGGGCCGCAAGTCAGGTGGCTGTGTGGCCCTTGGTGTCTGTGCCCCCAGCGGTGGCTCCTCAAACTGCATAATCCCTGGAGGTTGGCACATGGATGTGGGCAGAATGGCCGGAGGTGGGCAGAGGCCACTGGCGTTGTTTGGCGGGATGACAACAAACACTCCATTGCTGGCGGGAGCTGCAGACATCGTGCTCAGAGAGCCTGGGAAACAAAGGCTTGGGAGATAATAATGGCAATGATGATTGTCACCCATGTGCATAAAGCTTTTTAGTTGATAAGCAACGTGCCTACTTCCCTTGCTTACTGCAGCCCTGCCAGTATGGCCCCAAACGCTCTCATCAAAGCTGGGGAAGCTGAGACTCAGAGAAGCGAAAGATGTCTGAGGTCAAGGGCCTGTAGGTGGGGTAAGACTGAGATTTGAATTCTAGTCTCTCTGGTTTCAGAGGCCTTGCTCTTAATCTCTGAGCTATATTATGTGGAAAGCTCCTTTTGGAGGAGTGTTTATTTAAATGCCCTTCTTTTCCCAGAAAGGGCAAGTGACTTACCTAAGGACACACAGCTAGTGCAAGGTAGAGCTTAGCTAGAGTACCGGTTTCTTCACCCCGAGACCAGGACTCACTGCCACTTCCTGCCTCTCAGCTCTCAACTATTGAGCTAGCGTCAATAATTCCCCTGGGTATGGGAACTTCCCACCTGCTGTGGGAAGCTTTCTATTTGGCCACCCAAGCAATTACCATTGATGTAGCCAAGAAATGTGTAGATATGGAAACTTTATGCAGAGTTTATAGCTTGCAGTGAATGCCAAGAATGAGTTCTTAGACAATTCCAGCTGAGTGGGCCTCGAGCGGGGGTGGCGGGGAGCTCTTCTGAGAGAGTCCACCCCAGCATCTGTCCGCCAAGTATTTATTGAAAGAGCTTGTTAAACCACAAACATCCACTAGATGGCTTTTTGAGGGTCATGAGACACCTATGACCTTATAAAAGCTCTCAAACCACCTTCTTAGGAGGCTGTTTTCAGCGTTCCTTATTACACACCTCAATCCTTGTCCTGTTTTTAGGGTCAAGGAGTTACATTCTCATGCATAAATAACATACACAGAGTGCCTCAGTATTTTTCCATGCCCCAACCTCAAATGCCATGTACATAAGCTTGGATATGTTGCCGTGCACCCTCAACATCTCCCCCTTCTTTAATTTTTAGAGTATGTTGGTTATTTAAAGCGAGGTAAGCTTTTATTGCTTTTTCTTGGTTATAGATGCACTGAGTGACAGCACAGAGCCATTTGTACATACCTAGCAAACAAATACAAAAAAGAATAAGTATATTGGCCATTACCCAAATGTGTATGTTTAACCCAGATAACTAAGTGTTTGGGTTTAACTATTGAAAGCCTTTTTATAATTGTTGAAGGGTATTTGTTTATAATTGCTGTGACCATTTTTTAAGTTGTTTTTTAAATTTACACTTAAGAGTGGGAATTTGAGAAGACTAATGATTGTGATAAGCCCCTTGCAGGTGTGTTTTCACTCTCTCCCAAGCATATTGGGAGCTATTATATGGCAGAGGTGTGACATAGATAGAATTATATTGCCAATTACAATATAAATGTTGATGGGTAATGAATGCCAGCTGCTGATCCCCCAGCCATTCAACTGCAGCTTTAAGAGCCTCCAGGTGAGACAGAGTAGTTTGATTAATATTTACCTGTTTTTGAAATTTATGGGTTACATTATATACCATGTGGTTCACCACTGAAGCTGTGTGAATAGATTTTGTTAGAAAAAGCAGCTGCAGTAGCAGCAGTTGCTAATATAATAATAGCTGAGACTAAAAAAGCAATTAAAGTGGCCAGAAATCTTTTTTTCTGAGTATGAGACAGTGCTTTTCTAAACAGCTGCAGGGTTGAATCTCCTTCCCAGCTCCAGGCTAAATTTACAGGCAGCCAAAATTCTGCACGCCATTTTAAGATCATGACATAGGTTATATTTAACTATGTAACATTTCGATGAGACAGGCATGTAGCATACTAACTACTGGAAGAGACTTTACTACTATAAAAGGATTGATTCTGCTCTATATTAGGAACACTTTGCCCAAACAAAAGTATATAAGAGTGCGTAGTACAAATCACAACTATGTCAGTAACATTATTATGGAAACAGAGGGTATAATTGCCACTGCTAGTAATATACTCATCATGTGAAAGAACCCATTCAAAAAAAGGAAGTTCTAATCTCCAAATTTGGGTATGAGCAGGGCTTAAAGCTTGTTTCCCTTTTAGTTGTAATATTGGTCCTGAAAGCCTGTACTCTGACCAGGTGATAGACTTACTGGGGACTCCCAGATCCAATAGTCTGATTTGCAGACATAAGATAACCATGGGGACTCCAATCAAGTAAGGTGCCATTATCAAACAGAGGCCCTTGACATGGCGCAGGCTGTCTGGATGGAGACCACTGAATGGCCTCAAACTTATATCCCCAGTCCCTACTCAGACGGCATATAGGAAGATCAGGCACTTGTGTAGCTTCATTAGAGACCTCAGTAAGATTAGTGGTAATAGCAGAAATAAAGGTCAAGTTTGCAAGCTTAGCATCCCTTTTACACTGATAGTAAAGATACTCCTGAAGAATAAGAGTAACACACTTAGCATGTGCTATTGTGGAAAAACAAAGAGGGGGATTACTAGACAATACAACCAAGGAGTTATTAAGTTTAATCCATCCCAAATTTTCCACTGAAGGGTAAGACAGGGGCATCCATCGACCTCTCGTCCAAGAAGTATCATTAGATGACAAAGGCAGGTCAGCATCCCACCATGAAATAACATTAAAAACAGGGGGATTTAGAACATGACTCCAGTAAACATGTTCTTGAGGTGATCCCACTTGGCAAAGGACAAGAATTACCAGCCACCCCAACATCTATGTCGTCTTACTTTCTCAGAAGTTTTCCCAATTACCCCCAGATACATAAGAAACTGATTCTCTGCAGTTACAGAGGCTTCTATGCCTGCAAGCCGGATAGTTGCCTGTTGATCCAATTTCTTTAGCTGTCCCCAGGTAATGTCAGGTGCCTTCTGAGTCATCACCGTCATTGTCAGTCGATTCTCCAATGACAGGTCCTGTTCTCGAGAAGAGGGCCCGATATTCCCCCTTTTTTGTTTATTAAGATATACTTTACGAGTTTGATGAGCTTGTTTAATAATGGCCTGACTGGTTGAGTTACAGAGAATCCCAGTCTTGGGTTGTATGTTGATCTTATTGCCAAAGTTGCAATGCATAGCCAAAGTGAGCACTAAGATAGCAGGGGCCATTATCAGTTTTACAGTTTGTGGAAGGCCTGGAGTCATAATAGATTCAAACAAATGAGCAACTGCATCTTTAGTTTTTTCTCCGGCATGGGGATAGCATGTATTAGGTCTATATAAGTGTCCACAGTAACATGGAGAGATTTAAAACGTCCAAAGGGTGGATACTGAGTAACATCAGTTTGCCAGATAGCATTAGGCACCAGACCTCGTGGGTTGGCACCAAGTCCTAAGGAAAAAGGGGAAAGAGAATGCCATTGGCAATCAGGATAAGTTTTAATAATCATGTGAGCTTGAGCAAGTGTTAAATGAAACTGTTGTTTAAGACTGCAGGCGTTCTGATGGAAAAAAAGCATGATCAGCTTGAATTCGCAAAAAAGCAGGAGAGTCTGCAAACCACATCTGTGTGTGTACCAGAGCATTAGCTCGAGCGTTCCCTTCTGATAAGGGACCAGGTAGCCCAGAATGAGAGTGAATATGTGTGATGTAAAGAGGGTGATGATCGAAGGGGGCTTGCCCCTCCACACCTGTGGGTATTTCTCGTCAGGTGGAGACAAGAGACTGAGAAAAGAAATAAGACACAAAGTACAGAGAAAGAACGGTGGGCCCAGGGGTCCGGCACACTCAGCATGCGAGGAACTGCACCGGCGCCGGTCTCCGAGTTCCCTCAGGGTTTATTGATTACTATTTTCACTATCTTGGCATGGGGGGTGCGGCAGAAGAACAGGGTGAACAGGGTGATGGTGGGGAGAAGGTCAGCAGGAAAACATGTGAGTAAGGGAATCTGCATCATAAATAAGTTCAAGGGAAGGTACTGTGCCCAGATGTGCACGTAGGCTAGATTTATGTTTCTCTTTACCCAAACATCTCAGTTAGTAAAGAGTAACAGAGCAGTATTGCTGCCAGCATATCTCGCCTCCAGCCACAGGGCAGTTTTCTCCTATCTCAGAATAGAACGAATAGTCGGCTTTACACCGAGACATTCCATTCCCAGGGACATGTGGGAAACAGAGGACTTCCTCTTATCTCAACCACAAAGAGGCCTTCCTCTTTTACTAATCCTCCTCAGCACAGACCCTTTACGGGTGTCGGGCTAGGGGATGGTAAGGTCTTTCCAATCCCACGAGGCCATATCTCGGGCTGTCTCAGTCGGGGGAAACCTTGGACAACACCCAGGCTTTCTTGGGCAGAGGTCCCTGCGGCTTTCCGCAGTGCATCGTGTCCCTGGTTAATAGAGAATGGAGAATGGCGATGACTTTTACCAAGCATACTGTCTGCAAACATATAGTTAACAAGGCACATCCTGCATACCCCTAAATCCCTTAAACCTTGATTCAGTACAGCACATGTTTCTGTGAGCACAGGGTTGGGGCTAAAGTTACAGGTTAACAGCGTCTCAAAGCATAACAATTTTTCTTTGTACAGATCAAAATGGAGTTTCTTTTGTCTTCCTTTTCTACATAGGCACAGTAACAGTCTGATCTCTCTTTCTTTTCCCCACAATGATGGTCACAGAGGAGCTCTTACGCTGCAAGAAACAAAGCTAGTAGGGGTTCATTAGTAATGCCCTTCACATGTGCAAGATCTAAATGAGTAATACTACACACCGCATAAGCGGAATCACTAACTATGTTTATGTCTTGGTGAGGAAAAGTTTGTAAGGCCAATATCAGGGCACCTAACTCTGCCTGTTGCGTGGTTTTAAAATGTTCCTGGATTTTGTGCTGCCATTTTTGCATGGCCTATTGCCACACTGTAGCTGCTCTTCCAGTTTTTCCTAAACCATCTGTAAAGACAGTAGTGGCATGAAGCAAGGGCTCAGAAACAACAATAGATACAAATTTAACAGGCACAGTTTGTAAAAAGTTCAGGAGCTTAGAGGCTGGTAAATGAAAGCTGATATTACCAATAAAGTCAGCTATTGCGATTTGCCAATCAAGAGCACAAGCTAGAAGAGTATGAAATTGTTTTTTGCTTAAAGGTAGGAAAACAGTAGCAGGGTTATTTTTGCCATATGCCTGGTTAGGTCACAATTACAATATGTGGTTCCGGTCATTATTGCAGCAAAAGTTTGAGTCAGATGAGTTGTAGTGCCTATATTTTGGCATGCTTTAATAAACACACTGATTTCAGTGGCAGTGGCTTAGACTGGAGTTATTGCTGTCTGACAATCCTTATTTGCTTTTTCAAAAGCCAATTGTAACATAAGAAGTTTGGTAGCCTTAGGATGGGATACCTGTTTTTCAATTGCAGCTTGCAGTCGGTTGATAAATTTAATGTATGTTTCTGTGGCACCTTGTTTAACTGTTATAAAGGAACCCTGGGATTGTCTTACGGGATTTTTTTTTTTTATGTTTGTATTGCTAGCTGTGAGCATTGAGGAAATAGATGGCCACCTGCTTGACCCTGAGTCTGAGCTGAAGCAAAAGGCCCTGTTCCCAATAGCATATCAAGTTGTATCGGGATATTATTATCCAAATTTTGCAAGGACTGCTGCATGGCTAAATCACTGTACTCACTCCACCACACAGTATATTCTGCAGCTGAAACCAAAACATTTACCAAAGTTTTCCAATCATGTGGAGTCATCTTATAGCCATTTCCCAGAGCCTCAATCACCTCCTTCGTAAACGGTGAATGTACACTGTTTTCACGGATACTTTTCTTTAACTCTTTAAAGACAGTAAAAGGCAAACTCTCATGCCATCTCCTGTTGCTTTGAACAATAACAGGGAATGCGCCAAAAAGCGCCTCAGAGTCTCCCTTCCTAAGTCCCTCTTGGAGGCACCCCTCTACTAAGAAAGTTTGACGAGGAGTTGGCGTTGAGGACACGGCCACCCGATCATATAGATATTCACTGACTGGAGGTCTTATCCAAGAACCATCTCTTGGGCGGCCTCCAGACTCCTCAAGGGGGATGGGAGGCGCCATTGCCTGAACGGGGCCAACGAATACAGGTCCCTTTAAGGGTGGAGGAAAAGAGGGCAATGGCTTTTCTATAGGGGGAGGAAAAGGCTCCGGTCCGTCCTCATGATCACTAGAAAAAAATATCCTCCTTATGCCCTACAGAAGGGAATGAAGTAGAGAGAGGACCCCCCGCCCGCCTCCCGCTGTCCTGGTTGGCTCCTGTTCTTCCTTCTCCTTTAAACCTCCTGAATTCCCTTCAGGCAAAGACGGGCGGTCTGACCCACTGCAATCTGGCAGATAAAGAGGATACAACACCGAGTGTACCGGCGCCCAGGTGGTCAAAACAATAACCTCAGTAAAATGACCTTGCTCACATCCTGTTTTCAGGCAGTGACCTACCTGCTCCATAACTCAAGTCTAAGGTTCCTTGATCAGGAAACCAAGGGCATTCCTGCCGAATTAAGATCATAGCGTTGTGTAGAGCTCCAGGCTCTGCAGTGCACTGGTTAGCCTTAAGTAGCTGTCGCACTGTTTTTAAAAAACACTTTCTGTTCTTTGGTCATTTCTTGACCCATGATAATCCAACCCCTGATATTTTACGCGTGGGTCCCATCCTCCTGACGGGAGTCAGGACTGTCCCTTACCGGGATTCCCCGAAAATTGATGAGTTTTCCTCCTTCAAGCGTAACTTCAAGGCGATCACGTCGGGGTCACCACTTGCAGAGCTTATAGCTTGCAGTGAACGCCAAGAATGAGTTCTTAGACAATTTCAGCTGAAGGGGGCTGGGAGAGGGGGTGGGGGCAGCTCTTCTGAGAGCCCGCCCTTGTGAGAGCCTGCCCTAGCATCTGTCCGCCAAGTATTTATTGAAAGGGATTGTTAAACCACAAACATCCACTAGATGGCTTTTTGAGGTGGGGTCATGAGACACCTGCGGCCTTGCAAAAGCTCTCAAACCACATTCTTAGGAGGCTGTTTTCAGCGTTCCTTATGACACACTTCACTCCTTGTCCTGTTTTTAGGGCCAAGGAGTTACATTCTTATGCACAAATAACATACACACAGTGCCTCCGTATTTTTCCATGCCCTGACCTCAAATGCCACGTACATAAGCTTGGATATGTTGCCATGTACCCCAACACTTTAGGTGTGGCTGGCCTGGGCAAACACTTTGGGAAAAAACACCCATTACCCAGGTGTCAGGAGATGAGCTTACCAGGAAACAACAGAGTGCTGAATCTGCCAGATTATACAATGAGATCGAAAACAGTCATCCTTCTTGTTGGCATGGGTGTGTGAGGAGTTTACCAGTTCAGTGTAAGGGTCTGAGATAGAAGCCAGGGTTTGAATTCTGGCTCCTCTTGTTACTGTGAGGCACGGGAGCGAGAGGGTCACCCTCTGCCTCAGTTTCCTTACCTGTGAAATAGGGATAATACCAATCTCATAGAGTTTGGTGGGAAACACACACCAACTTGATAAAATCCATCCCTTACAACGTGACTTGTTATAACACGATGCGGCTGAGATGTTTTGTTAAATATAACATATCTAAGCCAGTGACTTACAATGGACCGTGGATGTGCATTGCTTCCCAGTGCTCTGAGACCTACTATGCATGCTCGGGAGAGCACCAGCTTGCAGATTGTGCAGCAGATTCTCTGTGGTTCTGCAAGCGCTCTTGGCTGATAAGGGCTCAGCCTCACTGTTCTGTGCTCAAAATATGTGTGTCTTCAGGAAGCCTCTGTGCCATTTATTTTGTGATAGGTCTGACCTATATTGGTGAACAAAGGGGGCAAGGGACAGCGTTGGACCCTATGCAGAGAAATAGAGCGAAAAGGACACATAGGCTCTTGAGCAAGGTTTTCAGTGACTGGAGGCACCTCCAAGGAGATGGCTGAGAAAACACAGGATAAGAATCTGCTGGCATTAAGGGGTGGGGGAAGCCATTTGACATTTTTAAGGGCTTACTAACATGGCTCCCTTCAGCCTAGGAGGTGTGACCAACACGTGATGCTCAGAGTGGATCACCAGAGGGATTGTGCTGTGACTTCCCAAATAGCACCGTCTCCACTGAGTCTCTCATTTCCAGGATCTGACACTAACCTGATTATTAGTAGACATGACAACTACTCAGAGCAGGGTTGGCAAACTTTTTTCAAGAATCAGATAGTAGGCCGGGCACGGCGGCTCACGGCTGTAATCCCAGCACTTTGGGAGGCCAAGACGGGTGGATCACAAGGTCAGGAGATTGAGACCATCCTGGCTAATATGGTGAAACCCTGTCTCTACTAAAAATACAAAAAATTAGCCGGGCGTGTTGGCGGGTGCCTGTAGTCTCGGGAGGCTGAGGCAGGAGAATGGTGTGAACCTGGGAGGCGGAGCTTGCAGTAAGCCGAGATCGCGCCACTGCGCTCCAGCCTGGGTGACAGAGCGCGACTCCATCTCAAAAGAAAAAAAAAAAAAGAGAGAATCAGATAGTAAATATTTTGGGCTTTGGGGACCCATATAACTTCGATTGCAAACACGTGACTCTTCCATTGTAGTGCAAAGCAGACATAGGCAATATATACCCAAATGGGTGTGGCTGTGTTCCAATAAAACTTTATTTATGCCTGGGTGCAGTGGCTCATGTCTGTAATCCCAGCACTTTGGCAGGCTGAGGTGGGCAGATTGGTTGAGCTCAGGAGTTTGAGACCAGCCTGGGCAACATGGTGAAACCTCACCCCTACCAAAAAAAAATACAAAAAAATAGCCAGGTGTGGTGGCACACACATGTCGCAGCTGCTCGTGAGGCTGAGGTGGGAGGATCTCTTGAGCCCCGGAGGTCAAGGCTGCAGTGACCTGAGACTGCGCCCCTGCACTGCAGCCTGAGTGACAGAGTGAGAACTTGTCTCAAACAAAACAAAACAAAAACTTATTTACAGAAACAGATGGTGAGCCAGGTCTGATCTGTGGGCTGTAATTTGCCAACCCCATTCTTAGAACACTGCCTGGCACATAGTAAACACTCATTAAATTTTAGCTATTGCTTCAACTTGCATGTCTCAGCCTCCAGAACTGTGAGGCATAAATTTCTGTTCTATATAAATTACCCAGTCTCAGGTGTTCTGTTATAGCAGCACAAAATGGACGTATTTGGAAAGACTATATAGTTTCTGAGGACATTGCTAAATATTGCCTATCCTAGTTGTTTATCTTGATTATTTGCTGTGATTTTGGGCAAAATGTGAAATGGCACTGAGCTAGTCTACATTTCCATAAAATAAAAATAAAGATACTGAAGGCTGCTCACTGTGCCTCAGTTTATTGTGAGGGTCGAAAATGGTAAGAAAGTCCTTGGAGATTGGTGAGGTGCTGTGAATGTTTTGGGGTTCACTTTTGGGGGAGGGTTTCAAGATGATGTTGCTAATGATCCTATCTCATCACTCACCTCTCTGGAACTTTCTTTTTTTTTTTTTTGAGATGGAGTCTTGCTCTGTCACCCAGGCTGGAGTGCAATGGCGCAATCTGGGCTCACTGCAACCACCACCTCCCAGGTTCAAGCAATTCTCCTGCCTTAGCCTCCCAAGTAGCTAGGACTGTAGGCGTCACCAACATGCCCAGCTAATTTTTGTATTTTTAGTAGAGACAGGATTTGGCCATGCTGCCCAGGATGGTCTTGAACTCCTGACCTCAGGTGATCCACCCACCTTGGTCTCCCAAAGTGCTGGGATTACAGGTACAAGCCACTGCGCTTGGCCCTCTCTGGAACTTTCTAAACCAATTAACAGTGATAGAGCCCCACATTGTTTCTGCACTGGTGCCAGGTTAATAAGAGCTTATCATAAACATTTTTTGAGGACTTGCTCTTTCCTAGGCACTTCAAATAAGTTATTTCTTATCCTCACAATGGTCCTTTGATAATTCCTGAAAGTTTTTTTTACGGCTGTGATAACCTCGGTTCAGGGCAGTGAAAGGACTTGCTCAAGGTGATATATCATGAAATGGCTGAGCTGGGATTCAAGTCCAAGTTTGGCCATCCGCAGAGTCTGCATCTGTGCCCCCTATTGCTGTCTCCAGTGCCAGACACAACTGTTATCTCCCTATTGTTCCCAGCCCTTACATTCTGGGTGCCTTCAAGTTTGGCATGGCCACGTGACTTGTTTTGGTTAAACCAATGCAAGTGGAAGTAAACGCATAGCTTCTGGGTGGAGCATTTAGGTGTCAGCACGTGACTCTGCAGGGCTCTTTTTCCCTTTGTCACAGTGACTATCAGTGTTCCAGGCAGAGCCTGCCTTATCCATCTGGGTCCCTGAGTGAACAGAGCCTCCAGGAGACATAGAACAGAAGGAAGAAATAAACCTTTGTTGTGTTAAGCCACTCAGCTGTTTGTTATAGCAGCATAACTTAAGTTTCTCCTGATTGTTATATTTTCCCAGAATGAATCCATACAGGAGTAAAACACAAAGTCCATGTCCTCAAAGGACTTAGAGTTTAGTAGGAGGAGCAAGAGCAGTTTGCAATTCAGTCCAACAAACAATTGTTAAGTGTTTACTATGAGCACCAAGTTCAGGGACTGGGAATGCAACGATGAATTAAGGCTGGATGTCCTGCTCTCAGAGACTAGCAAGGTAGAGGAGGCTCGGTGGGGGGAGGGAGAAGGGTTCCTGATTGTGGAACTCAGGGATGTCTTCAGGGAGGACGTGGACCCAAAACAAGGGTCCTCTGCCTGCTCCCCTGCTGTCCCCATCTCCCTTGCCCCACGCTCCTTCTCTTTCCTTTTTCTCTCTTCTTCAATCTCTTTCTTCTTCCCCACCTTCTGTGGTTTGAATGTGTCCCCTCCAAAATTCATGTTGAAACTTAATCTCCATCGTGATGGCATTAGGAGGTGGGGCCTTTTGGAAAATGGTTAAGTCATGAGGGCTCTGCCTTATTAGTAGACTCATGCCTTATAAAAGGCAGAGAGGGAACTAGCTTAGGTCCTTTTGCCCTTATGCCTTCCATCATGTGAAGACACAGCATTTGTCCCCCACGGAAGATGCCGCAACAAAGCGCCACCTCGGAAGTAAGTGAGGAATGGGGCTCTCACCAGACACCAAATCTGCTGGCACCTTGATCTTGGACATCTCAGCCTCCAGAGCTGTGAGGCATACATTTCTGAAGTTTATAAATTATCCAGTCTTGGGTATTCTGTGATAGCAGCACAAAATGGACATATCTGGGGAGACTCTACAGTTTCTGAGGACATTGCTAGAGATTGCCTTGGCTGGGAGTCCATGAACACTGGACAAGAGAAACACATGGCAGAATAATGAAGAACTTGGGGTGAGGGGGGACCCACCCCGCCCATCGGTCTTTCCCTTCCTCAGATGTAATAATGAACATTTACAGCCCGCATCTCACTCTAAGGGAGAGGCAGGCATGGATTATTACGTGTGATTTAGAGATAAGAAAACAGAAGTTCAGAGAGGACGAGTATTTTCCTTCCAGTTGCACAGCACCTCAGCGGCAGAACAGGAATGGACCCAGACTCCCATCTCTCAGTAGGAAGAGTGCTGACGTTATGGAATTCCAGTACTTTTGGGTTTGAGTCCTGGCTTTGTCAGATGAAGGAACAAATGTTTGAACTTCACCCCTGGGAGTAATAGTTCTGAAATGCTTGTTCACAGATCAGCAAATGAGAAACAAATTGGGACCAAATGAGTCTGCCAGTTTTCTACTTCCCCAAGTAAGTTCATGCAAAAAGTCATCCATGTTTTCACCATCATCTAGAAAAGATATTTTAACACCAAAGAAGTAGAAAGGACATAATTTTAAGATACAGGCTGGGCGCGGTGGCTCACGCCTGTAATCCCAGGACTTTGGGAATCCGAGGCAGGTGGATCATGAGGTCAGGAGATTGAGACCATCCTGGCCAACATGGTAAAACCCCATCTCTACTAAAAATACAAAAATTAGCTGGGCATGGTGGCGCACGCCTGTAATCCCAGCTACTCGGGAGGCTGAGACAGGAGAATCGCTTGAACCCAGGAGATGGAGGTAAGCCAAGATCGTGCCACTGCACTTCAGCCTGGGCGATAGAGCAAGACTCCATCTCAAAAAAAAAAAAAAAAGATACAAACACAAAACCTTAAAATTTAACAATTTTAACTTGGTGAGCCCCTCACCACTCTTCCCGTATAGTTGTCATTTCACCAGGGACAGGTGAACACTGCATCTGAGATCCACAGTGGTGTGTGGCAGGTTTGTGGACCTTCTGGGGTGGGGAAGGACCAGCCCCATGTGGTTCAGCTGGGCTCTTCGTGGGCTTTCAGATCAGACTGGGCCTGCGCAGCCCCAGAAGGGAGCACATGTGTAATTAACAACATCTCTCCTGGGCAAGTGGTGAGAAATTTGAGAAAATAGAGACCTTGTGATCCTCAGGAGAAAACACCTACAAAAATAGGCTCCCTGTCAACAGGCAGGTTAAGTGAAATCGTGAGCATGAAAGTGTCACATAGTTCCTGAGATTGCAAATTCCTCTCTCTTCCTAGCCCTCTGCAGCCACCACCAGCACCTCTGAACCCTGGGGCCAGGGACTAACCCATCCGCCACATTCCAGAGGCTACCTGGCCCATGCCCTGGCTCTGTGCCACCCAGAAGGAGGACTCTCTTTTTCTTACTAACCAATCAGTTAGCATGCCCAAAACACAAATGCATGCATGTCAGGGACGGACAGGTGGAAGAGGGAAAAGCCACTGTCCCCTGCCTCTAGGAATCTGCAAGATACCCACCAGAGGAAGAGCTGCCTGTAGCAGAGACACATAAAATACCTAGACATCACCAAAATGCATGTCATCACCCAATGAATGAGCAGTGGTAGTAACAGCCCCTCATATGCACAGCCCTCTCACAGTTTATAAAGAGCCGTCACCTGTATGAGACCACAGAACCATCCAGTAGCCCTGTAAGGTAAGTGTTATTCAGCCCATTTTGCAGACCAGTAAACCAAAGACTAGAAATAGCAGTGTGGGAGAATGGGACAGGCTGTGGGCCTTGAAGGCTGATGTATTTATCAGAGATGTTAAAGGGAGGTTTCAGCTGAGATCAGGTACTGAAGTGAGCTGTGCTGTAGATGGCTCAGTGGGACGTGCGGAAAGCAGGTGGCTGAGAACCTGCTAGATGCCTTTCGCACCTCCCCCATGGGGTAGGGAGTGGGGATTGAGAGTGGGTTTTGGGAGAGAACTTATAGAATCATCTGAGCACTGTATATGGGGGAGGGGGATGCGTCCTTCTTTATCTTAAGGCAGAGAGGCTGGCTTTAAGGTGACTTCTGGGAGACATTTCAATGTACAGCCTGCATAGTGGACCTGACAGTTTCCTCCTGAGTTGAGGGAGGAATTTTGTGGGGGGGACACAGGAGAGAGATCCCAAGTGTCGGGGGCATCTCCGTAGAACCCATGAAAACACCTGCAGAGAAGTCAGCTTTTCCTCTGCCAGTCTCAGGGAGGTGACGCTAGCTTCCAACAGTATCAGACAAGTACGCATTCCTACCCCGTTCCCCTCTTTCCCCATTATTCAGCCTTGGAGAGGGCAGAAGCCACAGTTAGCTGGCTGGCTGGGGAGGAGGAGGGAAATCCAGTGGGAAAAGGGAGAGGAAGCCCACCACACACCCTTTCTCACCTGCCACGTGCCCGGGCTGAGAACCGAGGGGCCCCAAATCAAGTCGTGACATAACACAAGATTGAACACTTTAATTACTAGATCACAGGTGTTTGTCTTGTCTGAGTGCAGTCAGAAAAGCCACTGGACTGCCCCAATTTCAGCCTTCTATGGTTGCTGTGAGTTTTAAAAGAGTTAATACCCAACCTCGTGCCTAGCACAGTGCCTGGTACACAGGAGGCATGCCATTGCCATGCCCTTTAGCTTCTATTATTTTAAAAACCTTATGAGGTTGGTACTATTAGTATTCCCATTTTGCAGATGAGGAAACTGAGCTCAGGACATTCAGTGACAGGCTGCCCCAGAGTCCTAGGCTGAGCTGCCCTGAGCAGCCAGGACTTGTCTTGTGAGCATGTTTATCACCTTTATACACGAAGAGCCAAAAGCAGCTTTGTTCATGGGCTGCAGCTGCTGCCTGGAATGGGGCATTACCAGCTGGAAGAGAGGGTGTCTTGGACAAAATTTATAAGCGCACATCTGGGTGGGGAGGCCCTGCACATCTGCACATCTGAGAGGAGGCAGTTTTGCTTAGTGGTTAAGCTAATAGGCCTTGGGATCAGCTTGGTAAGAATCCACCCTACTATTCAATGAGCTTAACCAGCTGCATGACTTTGGGCAAGTTGCTTAGGCTCTCTGGGCCTCAGTTTCCCCATCTGCCAGATGGGTGGCTGTGAGGGTGGTGGGTGCTCCAGGCTCCTGAGGATGCTCCATCTACTTTGCCCATTGGTCGCTGTGGCCCCACCACTTTGTGGATCAGGTGGGAATTCACCCCTTCTGTCTAAGTCTGACCCCACGGCATCTATCTGGATGCCAGAGCTGGGAGGCTGGACCCGGGTTCCTCCAATCTTAGCCCTTCCAGGACAGCCTAGACCTGCCCCACTGGCCTAGAAAGGATGCCAACAGATGCAAACACACCATGGTGGACGCAGGCCTCCCCTCCCTTCCCACTCCCCAAGCTTGGCCCCTTGGCAGGGTTCTGCTCTACGCCACTGTGCTCTCCATCGTCACTAAGGGCCAGGTGCAGGGACAGCCCCTTTCCTGCACTGGGCTTCCGTTTCTTCATCTATAAATGAGAGGTGAAACAATTTGCCCCTCGGCTTCTTTCCAGCTAAGAAGCCCTGCCGGGTCCTTCTCTTTTTCTTGCAAGGTGCCTGCATCTCAGCAGGAATCACCTTTCTGCCCAGTCCGGGGCTGGGTTGGAGTGAGGACCTACACTCCATTTCCCTGAGAGAATGGTTAGGGCCCCAGGGTCTCTAGCGGATGCCTGAGTCATCTCAGCCACTGGCTTTGAGGAGAGAAGACAGAGGCCCCTCCTTTACCCCACTCACCTGTGCAATGGGGCCCATGGGCTCTAGGCTGGTGGTTCTCTGTCTGTGGGAGGCAAGGAGTTCAGAGGGCCCCAGGAGCCGTCCAGCCCCTTAGTGCCAGGTGGGGGATGAGACGCACAGGGAGGGCCGCACCCTCCTCTGATGAGCAGCTCTATCTCTTTCCTTTCCCGGGGATCCCAGGTGCTCCTGCGCCAGTTCCCCTGCTACACCTCGGGGCTGGGCGGCCTTGACTGCCCCCCTGGAAGGGCGGAGGGTACTCACCGGGCTGCCACCGCTGCTGTGCTGCCGCTCGCTCCCGGCTGCCTCTGTTCTCCCGCAGCCAACTCTACTGAGTTCACACATATTCATGTGAAATCCTTGCTATTCGCGTGGGGCTTGGAAATCTACTCTGCTTGTGAGCTGCCGCCTCTGGGAAATTCTCAGGTCCCTCCTGGCTCAGAGGCCTCTGTCCATATGGCCCAACTGAGGGAGAGGAGGAAGCCGCTCGTGGAATCATCGGCCGCCAGGCCGCAAGGGCCCAGGGAGAGCATCTGGATACCTTCCTACAATCTACAAAAGGGGAAACCGAGGCCCAGAGAGGCAGGTTGCCTGCTGGGGTCCCCCAGTTAGCATCAGAGCTGGGATGGGGATCCAAACTAGCCTTCATCCCCCTGCCGCTGAGAGGGGGAAACTGAGTAATCAGAGGCCAACTGGCTTTCTTCCATTGGACTTGTCTAATGTTAGATTGGGGGCCAGGGAGCCCACAGCTTCCCAATGGCAGGAGCATAGGGGTGTGTGAACATAGGGGTGTGTGAACATAGGGGTGTGTGTGTGTGAGGGTGTGAGCATGTGCACACATGTGTGTGCATGTGAGTGTGGATGTGTGTGAATGTGTGTGGATGTGAGTGTGTGAGTGTGTGGATGTGTGTGATGGTGTGTGAATGTGTGAGGGTGGGCATGAATGTGTGTGCACATACACGTGTGTGTAAATGCATGTGAGGATTGAGTGTGAATGTGTGTGCACGTGTAGGTGTGAGTGTGTTAGTGTGTGCACACGTGTGTGTGCACATGCGCATGTGGGTGCATGCGCATGCATGTGAGAGTAAGGTGTGTGCACACGTGAGTGATTGTGCACAGACGTGCCAGTGCACACACGTGTGTGAGAACACCTATGGGTGAGTGTGCACACGTGCGTGTAAGTCTGTGTGCATCCATGTGCATGTGTGCATACGTATGCATGTGTGTGTACAAATGAGTGTGTGTGCATACGTGTGTGAATGTGTGCACACGTGTGTGTGCACACGTTAGTGTGAGTGTGCACATGGAGTGATATTGGAGTGGCACATGCAAGTGGAGCAAATTGTTCATCAGTTTCTGGGTTCAAGTTCTCACCAAAATTGCTCTTGATGCCCCCACACAAAGTCAGGGAGATGACACAGGACCTGAGGGCTCAAGATGGCACAGGGAATGGTCTGGATGCCCATGGCTGGGCCAGCTCTCAGTTGAACCAGCACCACACCTCTTGAAGCTAGAGATGGAGTCTCTTTTGCCAAATCCTTGAAACTGAGCTGCCTTGTGGCTTCCTTTGCCAATAGAACAAGGCAGAAGTGGCCATGTGTCAGGTCTGAGCTGCTTCTGTTCTCCCTTGGAGCTCTGCAACCACTATGGACCACTCCTGGACCAGCCTGCTGGAGGATGAGACACATGGAGCGCAGCCAAGCTGGCCCAGTTGTCCCCGCTGAGGCCCCACATATGCAGTCAAGGTCAGCAGGGCCACCTAGCTGACCCTCAGCTGAACACAAGCACATGGATGAGTCCTGCCAAGCCCAGATCAAATCAGGAAGGCTGCCCAGACAACCAACAGACTCGTGAGCAAAAATAAACGCTTCTTGTGGGATGCCTCTGAGGTTTTACAGAAATTTTGTGGCAATAGCTAAGTGCAACAGTCCGTTTCTTTATGGTGGCCTGATCATTGCTCGTATCAGCAACCCTGTAGGCCCAGACTAAGCAAGGCATGCTGAAATTTAAGAACTAGGAACAGCAGGAAAAAATGGAAATGTCCAGACTCTAAGCCCAGCACTAAGCCCCACCCTCTCATTGCCCAGTGCTGTGCTATCCCAGCTGATGACCTATTTACCTTCCTTGGTGCTGCTATAGGCTGAGTGATTCTTTCCTTGCTTTTGCTTTTGGGAATGCTCGATTCTTTCCTGTTATTTACAAGTTTTTAGAATAATAGGTGTGCCCTAGCAATCTCCAAAGATAATCACAGATTTTTTTTTTTCTAACATGATGAGCCATGTGTTTCAATCCATTGCAGGTGTTGTTGCAATTATTATTATTGCAATTGCTCTTCCTCTTCTTCTTCTTCTTCCTCCTCCTCCTCTTCCTCCTTTTCCTCTTCCTCTTCCTCGTCTTTTTCTTCTACAGAGTTTCACTCTTGTCACCCAGGCTGGAGTGTAATGGTGCTATCTCAGCTCACTGCAACCTCTGCCTCCTGAGTTCAAGCAATTCTTCTGCCTCAGCCTCCTGAGTAGCTGGGAATACAGGCGTACACCACCACACCCAGCAAATTTTTGTATTATTAGTAGAGATGGGGTTTCACCATGTTGGCCAGGCTGGTTTCGAACTCATGACCTCAGGTGATCCAACCCCCCCGCCCCCCCAGCCTCCCAAAGTGCTGGGATTACAAGCATGAGCTACCGTGCCTGGCCATTGCTATTATTCTTGACGTTCTAATTCGTTCCTTTTTTGGCTATAATTTTGTCATTATGAGAATATTATATACGTGGAGTCATGCAGTGTGCAATACTTTGAGATTGGGTTTTTCACTCATGTCCTTGAAATCCAAATTGTTGTGTGTATTGAAGGAAACCAGATTATGTCACCCCCAAATATGCCTCTTTGACGTAGAAAGTATTTCAAGCTGAAGGCAATTAAGAAGAAGCAAATGCAGGAAAAGTTCCCTCTATCTTCTTCCTTTTCTGCCTAAAGGCAGGATGTAAATTCTCCTTTGCTGAAGAAGAGTCTAAACTCTTATTAGCCCAGAAATGGCTCCAGAGGAAACTGTAAGCAAACCTTACTCCATTAGTTTCTTTCCATATATTTAACTTCCCACCGTTTCCTGCCTTTGGAAGCCTAAAACTGCCTTCCTTTGTCCTGTCATTTCTCTACAAATCCATTGTTCTTTGGGGAAGATGCTATGTAAGCAGATTCTAAGCCACTGCCCTGAGTTACTTCTCCTTGAGGTTTTTCCCAGGTGATGTGTGCTGTGTGGGCTAATTAAACTGCTTTTGTCTTGTGAACCTGTCTTTATGTTAAAGAGCCTCAGCTGAAAACCTATTTTAGCTTGATTTAGAACTGGCTTAGAACTGGTTTTTCAACAATGAACACACATCAGGGACCACGGAACAAAAATGCACCCTGCCCTTTGCCAGGTTAAAAGATACTGAGAGCCAAAGGAAAATTATTATGAATGAAAAAAAAAAAGACATCAATAACAAACAAAAATGAAGATAGGTAGAGGTAAAGTTTTGCTTCCTCCACAGCCATCAATAGCTTGTTCCTTTTTACTGCTGAGAAGTATTCTGTTGTATGGATGTAGCACAGTTTGCTTTTCCATTATTTATCCAGTGAAGAACACTCAGGTTGTTTCCAGTTTTTGTTTATTACAAATAAAGCTGCTATTCGCATTTCGTGTGGAAGTAAGTTTTATTTTCTCTAGGATAAATACCCAGGAACAAGATTGCTGAGTCATATGGTAAGTGTATACTTTGCTTTATAATAATCAGCCAAGCTGTTTTCCAGAGTAGCAGTGCCATTTACATCCTAACAACATCTGAGACCTCCAGTTGCTCTGTTTTCACCAGCACTTGGTATTATCAGTATTTTTAATTTCAGCCATTCTAATAGGTGTGTAGTGTTATTTCATTGTACTTAATGGCTAATAACATTGAACATCTTTTCATACGCTTATTTGCAACCCTATATTCTCTTTGTTAGAGCCTCTGTTCAAGCCTTTTGTCCATTTTGTGATTAGATTTTTTTTTATACTGTTGAGTTTAGAGAGTTCTTTATATATTGTGGAAACATGTCCTTTGTCAGATATATGATTTGCAAATATTTTCTTCCAGCCTATGACTTTTTATCTTAGCAAGATCTTTCACAGAGCAACTGTTTTTAATTCTAAGTCCAACTTATTGATTTTTTTCCTTTTGTGAATTGTATTTTTGGTGTCTTGTTTAAAAACTCTTCACCTAACTCTAGGTCACAAAGATTTTCCTCCTCCTACACCTGGGAATACTGAACACACTCCACATTGCTCCCCCTCCTCTGTGTGGGAGAACCGTGTCAGAGTTAGAGCTGCGGACTGGGAAGAAGTTGGACCTACAAGAATTCCATGGCTGAGGCACCGATTTAGAACCGGTTTTTCAACAGTGAGCATACATCAGGAACCACGGAACCAAAATGCACCCTGAACTTTGCCAAGGTTAAAAGATACTGAGAGCCAAAGGAAAATTATTTATGAATGAAAAAAAAGACATCAATAACAAACAAAAATGAAGCTTAGGAGTGAAGAGGAGAGGAAATGCTTGTTCATTTCAGTCTGGCAACAAGGCTAGGGTCATGGTCATGGAAGTTTCAGGGAGAAGAAAAGATACAGCTACAGTGTATCCCCTTGTCATTGAGACAGGCATCCCATGTCATCTATCTCTGTGCAAATCAGCTATTTCTTGGTACGAGGGTTCGGGGGTACATTGCTGGTGTGGATAGCATTGACACAACTGGTGGTAGCTTTGGCAGGGGCAGTGGTAGTGTTAACGGGGCCAGTTGTCACATTGACAGGGCCAATGTTAGCATTGACAGGACCAGTGGTAACATTGACAGGGCTGGTGGTGGTGTTGACAGGGCTGGTGGTGGTGTTGACAGGGTGAATGGTAGTATTGACAGGACCATTGGTGGCACTGACAGGGCCAGTGGCAGCATTGACAGGACCAGTGGTAGCATTGACAGGGCTGGTGGTGGTATTGGCTGGGTTGAAACTGAATACGGTTGGAATCACTGCCACATTCTGAAAGACAAAGGACATGTGGTCGTCATCTTCCTCTGTAGTAAACAACAACAATGGCCATAATTTTTTTCTTCCTTCTGTTTCCATACCCTTAGGTAGACCCTCTCTCCCTGATGCTGGGCTTGGTCATGTGACTTTCTTTGGCCAAGGGGGCAACAGTAAATATGATCTGTACAGTGTCTGCCCATTGGAGCTTGCTTTCTCTTATTGCTCTTTGGAACACTGAACATAAAGACTGGCCTGCCTGCTGGATAATGCAAGACAAGTGGCCCAGTTGTCCCTGTTGATTGCCAGCTTGCAAAGAGCCAGACACCCATGTGGGACTGCCCAATACTATCCAGCCACCAGGCAACTCACCAACTGACTGCAGACTCATGGCAAGCCCAGCAGAGGTCAGAAGAACTGCCCAGCAGACCCAGGGAATCAGGAGCTAAATAAGTGGTTGTTGAGTAAGCTATTAAGTTTTGGGGTTGTTTGATATGGGGCAAAAGCTAATTGATGTAGAAATTGGTAGCTAGAAGTAAGATAACAATAATCCAACACATGCATTGGGTTTGGGACTAGGTGGCAGGTGGCGCTGGAGAAGCTGTGAGTAAGCCTTTAGCAAAGGCTGGAAAAGTGGTGATCTCACTGCTGAAGGAATCTGGAAAAGGGGAGAGGAAACTGCCACAGCAGACTGGAGAAATGATTTCCCATGTTATGTAGTGGTGGAGTGCTGTTGTACTTCAGAAGACAAAAATATGCATCTAATAACTTTTGGATTTGGCTAAGGAGATCATCAGGCAGAATAATGAAAATGTCATTTGGGTGCTTCTGGTTGCATATGGTAAAGTGCTGTGAGAAAGTGAGGATAAAGAAGGAATGATTTAGTTTGCAAGTGGTATTTAGAGGCAAAGAAGAGAGCCCAGGACTTAATGAGTTAGAAAACAAGATTGTCTCTAATTTCCAAGGTCCTCAATGGATAAATAACATTCAAAGTAAAACTAGGCCTAAGAACAAAGATCAAACAAGGATGTGTCTATACAGCCCTTTGTTAAGACCTTTGAAAGGCTTAATCAGTGCTTATTAGACCCTTTCAGCTAGACAGAAATGCTTCTAAGAATCTAAAGGTATTGGTCTCACAGAAGCCTAATCCCAAAATAGACATTGGTAGATTTAGAGCAAGAGTGTGTCTAGAACACAGTCTTAGGTGTGGCTTTTATCAGATGGTGAAAGCCATAATCTGATACATAAAACACCCTTGGAGTTTTTAAGGGAATTTTATTAGTAACAGGATTACCAACTTGGACCAAATCTGACTGAAATTGCTCAAACTACAAAAAGACCTTTGGGGCTCACTCTTAATATGGGAAGCAGATTGAGAAATCAAGGTGGAAAATACAGGCCTTTCCTTATGAAAAAAGAAAACATGTTTCTGAGAGTAGAGCCAAGAGTCCAGAGGGTGGAGTCAAGGTCCTGGAAAACAATGGATTAGAAAGCTCCTCTCAGGAAGCAATAGAAAACAATGGCATGGGCAGAGTCTTCCAGAGAGTCAAATTGACTCCTAATCAAGAAACATTCTCTGCCCCCAGGGTAGGACAATATGTGCCTCATAGGATTTCAGAATTATTATGGAGCAGTGACAATCTTGTGCTTCTGTTCTTTCCTTTATTGAATGGGGAAATAACAGAATTCTATTTATCCTATTTTTCTCTCACTAAAGTATGTTGGATATATGGGGACAGAACTTTCTTTTAGTTCATGGTTTCTGGATCAAGAAGAGCAATACACCCAAATCCTCAGTCACATCTAGATCTGATTTGGATCCTAGACTTCAAGCCTGATGCCATGATTAGATGGGACATTTGGGCATCCAAAATATGGGTTGAGCATACTTTGCATCTTGGACAGCTGTGAGTAATTTGTGGCCAGAGGAAAGAGTGTTGTAGACTGCAATACTGGTTACAAATCCTTATATTCATTAACCTTTGCTGGGTGACTTTGTAGCTCCTCTTATCAAGAGGTAGAGCTGTTGCTCCACTCGTAGAATCTGGGTTCGGCCATGTGACTGACTGTGACCAGTGGGACATTAGCAAATGTGATGCAAGCAGGGACTTAAAGTGCTTGCCTGTGGGAGCTTGCTGTGTCTTGCTACTCTTGGAACCTAGCTCCCCACAAAGAAGCTCAGGTGGGCGTACTGGAGGATGAGATAACATGTGGAGCAGAGGTGAGCTATTTCATGAAGGTCCCTGGAGACCAACCATCCCCAAGCTAAGATACAAGGGTGAGTTCATCTGAGGCCAACAGAAGAGCTACCCACTGATCATAGCCCAAGCTGATGATGCACAGAATAAAGAGCTAAATAACCGGAAGTCACTAAGTTCTGGGGTAGGTAGCTATGCAGCAAAACTTAACTGATACACCCTCTCTCAGGCCTCATTTCTCCAGATCTCTGGTTACCTCTTGCTATAGCCCACACCCAACTCCAGAGCATGATCTGATTCCTGGAACAGAGTCCAATGCTTACCTCAAATTGTCTGCAGCAGGTAGCCTGGCACCCAAAATGTGAGACCACACAAGTGAGGATGAACTCCAGGAGGGCAAAGGGGAGAAGACCGCCAGAAACCGCCTTTGAATATGTCTAAAGGCAAAGAGAAATGGAAGGCATTTAGTCCTTCAGGTTGATGGCCTAGGTGACAGTCCACATTTGGAGTGCCACACACCTCACCTGGAAGGCCTGAGACCCTCTCTGCATGTGGCCCTTTGGAGCAGGTGCTTGGGTCACCCATTTTATATGCCCTTGCCTTACCCTCTTAGTCACTGGCCTGACTTCCAACTGCCAGCACCTGCATTCCTTTGCCTCAGGGCTCTCTCTGGCCTCTGAAGCCTACTTTGCTGTTTGCACAGGCTCAAAGTTCCAGGAAATGAGTGCCTCTTGAGAACAGCCCTCTCTCCATGACTGTCAGGGGCTGGTGTATAAATACCCCAGCTCTCTTACCCCTTAAGTTGGTGTTTGCTTCCTCTCCCAGATAAACTACTTGTCTCAAATTCTGCTCCTGGGAGGAACCCAAACTGAGACATTTCAACAAGTGCACTGGCTAGGAAACCCTGTATGAGGGTCTGGGCTACTTGCCTGGGGCCAGGGGATAGACACCAGCTAGGTCAGGGTCCTTAGCTCTGTCTGGCTCCTGGCTTTCTCAGCCCTCTTCCAGTATCCCTGCCTCATACTGCCCTTGACAGGTTGGGATGGGACCTCAGAGCTTCAAGGGATTCTGTCAAGACAGAAACTAAGGCAGGATTGAAGGGGTCCCAGAGAGCTCAGTGTGCTCTGGGCCTGGTCCCTGCCCACAGTAGGGTGGAAGGGATCACTGAGCTCCTCTCATCCCTACACACTCTTTCTCTGGAGCAGAGGGTGGGGATCCCAGGGCTTGGAATGCCTGTTGGAATCCAGTGCCGTTGTGCTACACTGCACTAGTATGCTCCTTGATGACAGAGGTCCTGATTGCCAAATGACCACCTTTAGGATTTGTAGCTGTTGTGCTCTTGGTTCCACATGAACACAATCCACTCCCTTGTTGGGACATCCTGTTGCATCCTATTGGACTCCAGAGGCCAGCATCTTGCTGCCACATCCCCTAGATACCAAGTTACACCCTGTGCATCAGGCTTCTTCCTGGGGCCTTCAGGGAGCTCTCCCCTTAGGGACTGCCCTCACCCCTGTAGACATGTCTGGTTTAAGACCCTGTGTCCTGCCAGCCTTCCCTTGCCCACTTGGTTAGTCCCAAGAGAGGATCAGATTGCAGCCAACTGTGGAGCTAGCTACTCTCGATCTTGTTCTTCAGGCCTCCTCAAGTACTGTGTCAATGTTACTGATGTCCTTCCATGCCTGCTGCCTGACTTTCATTTGCATGGCTTCACTTGAGGGCTTCCTTTGGCCACAAGAAACTCCTTTGCCCATGAGCATGGCAGACTGGAAGCACTAGGGAATTGATGCCCCTCAGGAGCAGTTTTTGATCAATGATTGAGGGGAGTTGGTGGATAAATACACCCTCACTCCAGGACAGGGTGTAGCTAAGGCACATATCATTCCCTGGCTACCAGGGCCCCGGCAGGTCCACCTCCAGGGGTCCTTGCCGGATAATACGTTTATAGTGCAGCTTCCTCTCCTTGTTTGTCTTACTTCTTCCCTCCTCTAGTGAGGTTTCCTAGAATAACCTCTGAAATACACGACTTGCACCTGAATCCTTCTCTTTGCATCTGCATCTGGAGGTCCCCGCACCAAAAGACCAGAACTAGCATCCGCACCTCCTGTTTGTGTGAAAGGCTATCCCTCGAGAGACCCCTAGGGGCAGGTGATCTTGTGAGTCTGAGTGTGGCAGCCCCCTAGGCCGCTTACCTGGTCACCTGCTACCTCCAAGTAGAGAAAAGGATAGGTACGAGGAGAGGTCAAGTGGCTATACCTCTCTGAGTCTCAGTGTCCTCACTGTGAAATGGAGTTTATCATGGCCACCTCAGAGGGCACAGGGTTTTGGTGACGGTTAAATAGCTTATGGATGTAGTGGTTGTCATACTAGGATGGAATTCTGGGGCAATTCCATTCTGCTCTGGGGAGGCAACCTCAGAAGCCCTCCTGGTCCTTTGGCAGCACGGGGCCCTGGCAGTCAGATGCTCACCGTCACATAGTAAAGGCTCAGATCTGTAATGATAATGAAGATCCCGGCAAAGGCGAAGAGTGCGCTGATGATGTTGAAGCTGATGCTGCTGTTCACCTGCAGGAGAGGAGGGAGAGGAGAGAGGGAGCCGAGTCTGAAGAGTCTGAAGCCTGGCTTGTGGGGACTCTTGGGAAGTCGGAGAAGAGAGAAGGCAGGGCAGAAAAGAGTTGGCCAGGCAGGGTGGAGAAGCATTTATTTTAGCGATAGTGAGGTGAGAAAAATCATTGCTTTTTTTTTTTTAACTTTTATTTTAAGTTCATGGGTACAAGTCCAGGTTTGTCTCATGGGTCAACTTGTGGCATGGGGGTTTGTTGTAGAGATTATTTCATAACCCAGGTATTAAGCCTAGTACCTGTTAGTTGTTTTACCTGATCCTTTCTTTCCTCCAAACCTCCACCCAAAATCATTCGTTAATCAATGTGCAGCATCCTTCTATGGCAGGGACTGGATTTGTTTGGGAAAATTTCTTTCGAAGCAGCAGAGAGTAGGCAATGAGATTCAGAAAGAGATAAGGCAAAGATGCAGAACTACTCTGCAGAAGAAGTGAGCAGAGATCCCAAGCTTGAATTGAGGGAAGGGAGTCGGGGAGACTTGGTCCCTGTGGTGGAAGGCTGGGGCCAGCATCCTGGCAGGATTGGCTGGGGAAGGTTTTCAGAACCGGAAATTCTCATATTCAACTTTGAGGGGTCTGCCGCTCAGTGCTGAGAGGCTGAAGTCCTCGAATTATTCATTATCCATCCCCTACTCAAGCTGCTTCCCTTTAAGAGGGTTATGGGGATGAAGAGAGAAAGGTGAAAGAGAAAGGGACCGTGTTCTACATTTGGGCTGAGGCCAGGACAGCTGTGAGATGTATAAAGTAGAAACGGAAGTTGAGATTTCAATAGAAAGTCAGATGTCAGAGCAAGAGAGGACTAGGAGACCCCCACGAGTCAGCAGTCACCTTAGGGAGAGCATTTGACTTCCCAGGGGATATGGAACTTCCCAGTCCTGTTGGGATATGAACAGGTGGTGTGAGCTTGGTTGATGCTGGGGTGTCTGGAGGACTCTGCTCTTCCTAAAGGGGGTGAAGCAAGGCAGATTGTGGGGCCACAGGAGTTTGCCTTGCAGACTGGAGATTGGTAATTGGGAAACCCTCTGTTAGACACCCAGCCCCTAGCTGACCTACTGCTTTCCCATCAAAAGGCAGAAGAAAGACGACAAGCCATACAGAGAAAGTGGAGAGGGGAAGGAGGACCTGAGAAGGAAGGAGATGAGAGAAGGGCCATTGTGGAGCTCTAAATTTATCCCTAAGCTTCTTAGAGGCTGCAACAAAAATCAAAACATGACCAGATACTTTGCTGGATGCTGAGACAGAGAATAAATGCCCCAAAGGTGCAAGGGAATTCTGGGCCCTGTGCTCCTGGTTGGGACTTTAAATTGTTCAAGGCAGGTATTGCTCTCACTTTTCTAGGTCCACACAAAGAGGATCATGGAAAATATCTTAAAGAGATGGCCGAGATGCACACACATTTTCGTTTGGCTCAGGCCTGGCTTTCTGCTTAATTCAGAGCACCCATAAGGCACTGCGTGTAAATACTCATGAGTTTCCCAAAGAGCTAAGTTTTTGAATAGTAAAATGCAATAGTTAAAAAAGAACAGCTTTGGAATCAGAGGGCTCTGGGGTCAAATCCCAGCTCTGCCATGTACTCACTGTGTGATCTTAGGCAAGCCACCTGACCTCTCTGCTCCTCAATTTTCTCCTCTGAAAAATGGGGATAATACAGCTTCACAGAGTGATGGGGATTGACTGGAATAAGGTATGGAAATGCACTGTACCCAGGGCCAGGGCCAGGCCACACCACTACTGTGAGTCTCCTTTTTTCATGTTTGGTAGAGAGTCAAATTCTAACATTCAAGGATCATCAAAGACAGCACTGTGACTTACCACACAAGGACTGGGGTCCTTTGCAGCCCATACTGAGAGGGATCCAGATACAATATACTACGCAGACAAAAAAAAAAAAAAAAGAATGACCAATTGTGCAGCATGTTAAAAAAGACAGCTGTCCACTCAGAGACGCATTTCTCAATCTTTATGTTCTATGCACCTTGTTTCACAAAATGTGCAAATCTGTTTATTTCCTCCCAACATTTTTACTATCCCAATGGTTAGGCACCAAATATACTAAATACCGTGATACTCAAACTCCTGTGGGTCTAGGCTAACACCTTCCTTTCCCCTAAAAACCTGAATTTTGTCCCAGGATGCTGTAAATCTCATTATTATTATGTTTTGACTGATTCTCCTTGAGTCCACTGTCTGGACATATCATCGCCAAAATGCATTAATTGCTCATTTGGCCTCCGCTGCCCTATCCTCAACTGTGATCTTGGAAAACCAGGGGCTGAGCAGTGTGGTGGGTGGAGCCTTGGGGCTGGGAGATAGGAGACCTGGGCTGTGGCCTCATCTGCTGTGGTCCTGGACCCAGCTAGAGGGTCCTCTTTAGCACTTGATGCTGCTGAGCAGGTGATGGAAACATGAACATCAGAAGCAGTAAGAGCTCTGTTCAGTTATGAGAGCCCTGAAATGAGGAGGCCTGGGCTCAGGACGTTCCTCCAGCACTTTCTGGCTATGAGGATGTGGTGGTGTCATCCTCATAGCCAGAAAGTGCTGGAGGAAGATCTTGAGCTTCAGTCTCTTCATCTGGCAAATGGGCATACATAATGATTCCAGCCCTCTCTATCTGCAAGTGGGTCATGTAGTTCAAGTGAGAGAACAAGGATAGGATTATTGATGGGGGAGAATAGGGGCACTCAGGGGTTTTGCTAGCTCTCTTGAAGCTACCCCTCAAAGGAACTCACTTCTTCCCAAACAAAATGGCCAGTGGGGGAAAAGAGCCAGCTGCATGCAAATACAGGATTATTCCATGTATATGCGTTTGTAAACAAGCAAAGCCAAGCCACTCGTTGCTTAGGCATATAGGTAAATATGATCGGACCATAAAGAAAAGCAAGGGAGGCTGGACGTGCTAGCTCACGCCTGTAATCCCAGCACTTTGGGAGGCCGAGGTGGGTGGATTATGAGACCAGGAGTTTGAGACCAGCCTGGCTAACATGGTGAAACCCTGTCTCTACTGAAAATACAAAAATTAGCTGGGAGTGGTGGTGCACGCCTGTAATCCCAGTTACTCAGGAGGCTGAGGCAGGACAATCGCTTGAACCTAGGAGGCAGAGGTTGAAGTGAGCCAAGATTGTGCCACTGTGTCTCAGCCTGGGTGACAGAGTGACTCCGTCTCAAAAAAAAAAAAAAAAAAAAAAGCAAGGGAATGAAAAACATTAAATCGGCCAGCCGCCGTGGCTCACGCTTGTAATCCCAGCACTTTGGGAGGCCGAGGCGGGTGGATCACAAGGTCAGGAGATCGAGACCACGGTGAAACCCTGTCTCTACTAAAAATACAAAAAAAAAAAAAAAAAAAAAATTAGCCGGGCACGGTGGCAGGCGCCTGTAGTCCCAGCTACTCTGGAGGCTGAGGCAGGAGAATGGCGTGAACCCGGGAGGCGGAGCTTGCAGTGAGCCGAGATGGCGCCACTGCACTCCAGCCTGGGCGACAGAGCGAGACTCCGTCTCAAAAAAAAAAAAAAAAGAAAAACATTAAATTGAAAATAGTGGTTACCTCTCGGGGCATAGAGGGGATACTTATAGGGATTTAAAAATTTAAAAACCACGTGTGATGCTTTGTTTTTTAAGTTAGGTGGTGGACACGTAGGTGTTCATTTTTTAAAACTTTAATTTAATTTACTATTTTTAATCGTGGTAAAATACACACAACTTAAAACATACCATTCAAACCCCTTCAAGTGTTTGGTTTACTAGCACCAAGAAAATTCATATTGTTAGGCTGGGTGGGATGGCTCATGCCTGTAATCCCAGCGCTTTAGGAAGCCAAGGGGGGCAGATCACCTGAGGTCAGGAGTTCGAGACCAGGCTGGCCAACATGGCAAAACCCCGTCTCTACTAAAAATACAAAAAATTAGCCGGGCATGGTGGCACATGCCTGTAATCCCAGCTACTCGGGAGGCCGACACAGGAGAATTTCTTGAACCCAGGAGGCAGAGGTTACAGTGAGCTGAGATGGCACTACTGCACTCCAGCCTGGGCAACAGAGCGAGACTCCACCTCAAAAAAAAAAAAAAAGAAAAGAAAAGAAAAGAAAATTCATATTGTTGTGCAACCAGCCACCCCAAGATCTCCTTTTATCATCCCAAACTGAAACTCAGTCCCCATAAAACACTAACTCCCCATTACCCTCTTACCCCAGCCCCTGGCAATCACCATGCTGCTTTTTCTATCTTTATGAATTTGACCACCCTAGGGACCTCATCTAAGTGGAATTGTACATGTGGGTGTTCAATTTATTAATATTATTTAAGCTCTGCAAGATGAAATATACTGAATGGCCTGCTGGTAAATGATTAACATCTGCCTTATGAGGTGGCAGCACTGCAGGGAAGGGCCCTGATTTGGAGCACGTGTTGATTTCCATGTCGTATGTATACCCAACATGGCCAACTTCCTGCTACCAAATGGTTTGACAATCATTTTACATAATTCCTGGAAATTTTGCAGTCGGCTCCCATAACTGGTATGGTAGGTAGATGCTGTCTATAGCACACAACTTTACGTACTCTGAGTTACATATGAGATATTTCTTTTTTTTTCCTTTGAGACAGGCTCTCACTCTGTTACCCAGGCTGGAGTGCAGTGGTGTGATCATGGCTCACTGAAGCCTCCACCTCCTGGGCTCAGGTGATCCTTCCACCTCAGCATCCCAAGTAGCTGGGACTACAAGTGCACACCACCACACCCAGCTAATTTTTTGTATTTTTGTAGAGATGGCGGGTGGGGGGAGGTCTTGCCATGTTGCCCAGGCTGGTCTCAAACTCCTGACCCCAAGTGATTCACCTACCTCGGCCTCCCAAATTGCTGGGATTACCTGCGTGAGCCACCCTGCCTGGCCTTATCAGATAAATATCTCATAAAAGAGAACCCAGAGAGGGTGGAAGAGGTAAAGAACATGATAATGAGTGTTTGTACCCAATAGTTCCCTAGAGGCTGGGTGGGGGGTATGGGAGATGGGGAGGGTGGTGGTGGGAGGGAGTGTTGCTGGGGCAGGGAGTTGATATAACCCTTTGCTGTATCTGCAAGTTGGAGGCTGGCTCTAGTCTACAGAGTCATATTACTGGGAATGGGATTCCATGCTCCTTCTTCCTCCACTTCCTTCTTGTCCCAGTCTGGTGACCCAGGAAGGAGACCATATGGCCTTGTACTCACGGATAATCCTCCCCAGAGCGGGTACCCTGACAACCAGGTCACAAAAGGATAGTAATACAGCACAGGGTTAATTGCAGAGAAAATGTGCGTCAGGCCGATGAGGATCTGGATGGCCTGCAGGGAGAACAAGTCACTGTGAGAGAGCAGAACTGCGGGCCTGTGGGCTGTGGAGCTGTGCTTTGCACCCTGGCTGTGCCCCAGAATCACCCCAGGGGTGATTGGTGTTGGGGGCTCATCCCAGACCAAATGGATACAAATCTCTGAGGGTAGGGTCCACACCTGGGTGTTTTTTTAAAAACTTCACAGGTGATGCGAATTTGCACTCAGGCTGAGAATCACAGGCATAAAGGAAAGGTAAGACAGCCTATAACAGAGCAAGAAATGTGTTCCCTTTAGACTGAGCCCACAAGTGTGCAGAGACACGGGCCGAGCCCGGGTTGTGGCTGAAAACCACCTGGCTCCTGTCCTGGCTGCAGCACTGGCCGGCTGTGTGGTCTCCAGCAAATATCCTCTCTGCCTCAGGGTTTCCTTATTTGCAGGGAAACCAAAAATGTCAAATCCTAGAAAACGTAGCATTCCTACACGTGATGTTAACATCGTTCTCAGATAGTTGTCGGCCGAAATTCATGTGATGAATCTGATTTTTCCAAAATAGATGATTCTGATGATTCAGACCATTCGATGTTAGTTCTGTTTAGAAATAACTCGAAGAAAGGTCTTTATATTTTATTTTCACTCTGAAAATCAGCCAGATTTGCTTCAGCCTCAAGAGCATGTTTGAGAGGCTACATATTTGCAAGATGGGGGTAACAGTATCCAGCTTGCAGGGCTGTGGTAGAGATTAAAAGTGCCTATGAAACTTGTAGCCCAGTTCCTAGCATGCAGTAGGTGTTTCTTTTTTTTTTTTTTTTTTTTTTGAGACGGAGTCTTGCCCTGTCGCCCAGGCTGGAGTGCAATGGCGTGATCTTGGCTCACTGCAAGCTGTGCCTCCCAGGTTCACGTGATTCTCCTGCCTCAGCCTCCCGAGTAGCTGGGAATACATGTGCCTGCCACCCAGCCAGGCTAATTTTTTTTTGTATTTTTAGTAGAGATGGGGTTTACCATGTTAGCCAGGATGGTCTCGATCTCCTGACCTCGTGAACCGCCCGCCTCGGCCTCTTAAAGTGCTGGGATTACAGGGGTGAGCCACCACGCCAGGCCTGAATGCAGTAAGTATTTCAATGCCCTCTGCTGACTCCATTCATCTTCCCAGTACCGATATTCTCTTTGTGGCCTCCTCTATGACGTCCCCACAGTTCCCCTTGGCAACGTACACAAGGGGAGATCCTCTGTCCCCTGCAAGTCCTGTGTTTTTCCCCTTACTCCCTGCTTTTCCTCCACTGTTGCCACTGTCTGAAATCTGCTTGCTTTACTCTCCTCCTCCTGAAATCCTATCCTTCCCTTAAGGACCAGAGAGATTCTTTTCCTGAGCCCCCGTCCAGGATGAATCCCCTCTCATTTGGGGCTCCTACAGCATTTACCACTGGCTTCTCTGGGCCTCAGTTTCCTCAGGGATCAAATGACTAGCCTAGGGCAGCTGCTTTCTGTCTTCCTGGTCCATGAGTCTATGAGTTGGTGACAGACCTGGGTTTCACATGAACATCCCTTCCTAAGGCGACATGCTTGACTCTGTCTACAGGCCCACTTTATCAGTATATTAATGAACCCTGTTCCCATTTAGAAAAAAAATAGTGCCGCTCGCTGCCAGCACTCATTTAATTTTACATAAACACACTCTTGAGGCTGAAGCAAATCTGGCTGATTTTCATTGTGAAAATAAATGATAAAAACGGTTTTTCGAGTGATTTCTAAACAGAACTAACATTAGAATTGTTTACTTCGGAAACACTGGATTCATCAAATGAATCTTTGGCCAACAACTGTTTGAGAACAATGTTAACACCATGCGTAGAAATGCTACGTTTTCTAGGATTTGACATTTTTAGTAATCGAGAATTACTGTATTTTGTAAATGGGAATACTACTACTAAAAACAGAATGCTATAAATAGAATGATGTCTCTTGCTTCCAAGGTCAATATGCTAGAGCAAGGCGAAAGTTATAATAAAAGGGAGACATTGGCAAAGTTATCTCGGGCTAAATACTGCAGCTGCAAGTGCTGCTGGCGAATATTCTTGGGGCAATCGGGAAAAGGGCTAAGAGGCACTCATAGTTTCCTTCCCCAAACAAAATTGTAATTGATTAAAGATAGTCTGCAGTTTTGGCTTTTTGGCTTTTCATTTTGTTTGGCCAGGTTCCCCAGATATTTGCTCTGACTTAATTCTGTTTTGACAAATTTTGAAATCCTTCCAAAATATCTTAGAATAATTGCTAGCCAAAGTTAACAAACCTTTACCCAGTATTAATTAATAATAATGATAGTCATTGTAATACAAGATGATAATTACTACGCAATATCATAGACCAGCTTTACCTTTTGGAGGATTTCCGCACACATTTATAATCTCACTTGATGCTTGTGACCAGGATTTCCCTCTTTTTTTCTTTTTTTTTAAAGACTGAGTCTAGCTCTGTAGCCCAGGCTGGAGTGCAGTGGCGCTGTCTCGGCTCACTGCAAGCTCTGCCTCCCGGGTTCACGCCATTCTCCTGCCTCAGCCTCCAGAGTAGCTGGGACTACAGGCACCCGCCACCACACCTGGCTAATTTTTTGTATTTTTGGTAGAGACAGGGTTTCACCATGTTAGCCAGGATGGTCTCGATTTCCTGACCTTGTAATCTGCCTGCCTTGGCCTCCCAAAGTGCTGGGATTACAGGCATGAGCCACCGTGTCCGGCCTGACCAGGATTTCTATTCCTGATTGCTGTTTTATAGAATTTAGTTCAGGATTTGATTTTGATTTGTTTGGGAGGCAAACAACGCCTTGTTCCTGGCACAATCTACTTGTCTACCCAGGATTAAATAAGGAGGAATGGGTCCCCTTCCTGCACCTGTCCTTGTCTTCCTGCCTCCAGGAGGCAGTTTGTAACTTCTCAAAGAAGCCAGACAATTTGCACTTTGGGCAGCCACAATAACTTATGCATGTCTCATGGCAATTGCCAGAAGGTATTGTAATTATGACAGCTGCCATGAACAAAGACCCTCCTTCATCTTCATGGATGATGTTTTGGTTATCTCTGAGTCTCCAGCTCCTTGCAGGGCACGTGCAGTGTTGAATGGATGAGTGCATAGAGTATGGGCATCTGTGACACGCCAGTCTCCATACTAAGAGTTGGCCAGGCATCCAGATCCAGCCAGGCATCTGGCTTCTGCCTCAAAAACAGAATTGAATTGAGCTTTGGAAGGTGCTAAATGAAACTGGAGGAGGCAGGAAAGAGGCAGAGGCCCCCTTGATTGAAAAGGAAATCACAAAACCTTGGAGCTGGAAGGAATTTAAGAAAGCTGAATCTTCTTATTCTAAAGATGAGGAAATGGAGGCCCAGAGCGAGGAAGAGATGTCTGCAAGGCCACTCAGCAAATCTAGCTGGCCTGAGACCTGGATTGCCTGACTCCCTGCTCAGTGGTCTTTTTAGTGGAACTATTGCTGACCCATGCCCCTGATAGATAGCTGGGTAAGGTGGGGATGTTCACTGATTATTCAAACCTTTATCCCCCAAACCATGGGTCTCCTTGGGGAGTGGAAGGAAGACAAGGGAGAGGGGCCAGCATCTGGGTGATTGTACTGGGTCCAGCCTCCAGAAACTGCCCCCCACACCCACTCCACCTCCCCTTTACCCTCTCAACACATTCCCTTCCTCATCCCAGAGCACTAGACGAGGGCTTATGAAGTGACCCAAATCGGAGAGAAGGAGAAATCACACTCACCCCTAATGTTCTGACCTCCTCATTTATGAATTTCTTGGGATTAAATGAAGTAAATGATGCAAATGACGTGTTCCACTGGGATGAGTTTGAGGTGTGTGTCAGCCCAGGGTTAGCATTCAGAGGATTCTGAAGGTCTCCAGGCCATGTCTGGAGATTCGTGGTTCCCTGTGTGTATTGGATCACTCCAGGCACCGTCTGCAAACTGGCTGTTCCCACTGGATACTGTCGCTGATACCCAATGGGTTGACTCTGTACACCTGCTGCTGAGTTCTGGTTCACCACGAGTAGATTCTGTAAGTTTGCTCTTCCTGTATCACAGTGGATTACTTTTGGTGAGATTGGGTAAGTGGTCACCTCTGAAGGCTGCAGATGATTTCCAGAGGCCACAGGGTTGCTGGGCTGGATGACGTGAACATTATCTGGGGCAATAATGCCAGGTACACTGTTGGCTCCAATCACCTGTTCGGTCATGGTGTACAACTGCTGCAAAACACATAAGAAGGTGCATTTCCCTCTTCTGACAAAATGAATAATGCATCTTATCTCATTCTTATCTTTAGTTTCATCTTCATTAAAATAAGAATCACCTAGCATGGTACCAGACAAAATAAACTTCTTGCCTTTCTTGGCAAGAACACACTGTTTTCCTTTTACGGATTTGGATTTGCAAGACTAGGGTTTCCCGAGGCTACTTAGCTTCTTGTAGACCTTTTGTTCACAGTCTGGATGGTGGCTTTGCTTAGCCCCCTGCAGTTGGCATTTTAATCTGCATGCCTTGAGTTTGTTGAGTGGGCACAGGCTACCTCCCCATCTTGCCCCCTGCCCTGGCAAAGCTGATTGATCTGGGGGTGAACAACTGACCCCAAATGCTCTGGTAACTTCTTTCTCCTGGGAATTTGGAACTGGACCCAAGGACTACTGTGGGATGGGAGGCTAGGCAGAGTTGGAGGGGTCACATGTATGTTGTGTGCAGGGGGAGCAGAGAACACCAGTTAGTAGAGTGAAGAGAATAAAGCTGAGAAGCATTGGGGGAGGGAGAGATAAAAGAAGAGGAGAGAAGGAGAGAGAGAGGGAAAGGAAAAGGGGGAAGGAGAGAAAGAGAGAGCGAGAGGGAAGGAGAAAGAAGACACATAGACACAGACAGACAGACACACACGCAGAGAAAGAGGGAAGGAGGGAGGAAGACACAGACACAGACAGACAGACACACACTCACACACACAGAGAGAGGGAAGGAGGGAGGAAGACAGATACACAGACACACACACACACATACACACACACAGAGAGAGGGAAGGAGGGAGGAAGACAGATAACACAGACATAGACACAGACACACAGACACACACACAGATACACACACACACACACACACACACACATACATACACACATACACACAGATACTACCTTGGTCTTTGATGTCCTTTTGACTCTCGGTTCTAGGTTCTCATTTGCCCCAGCTGTACTTCTGTCCTTGAAGTCTATAACTAGTTAACTCATTTATGGGTTTAATTTAATTAAGGCATTTTGTGTATGATTTTTCAACATTAATTGGTTTCAGAGCAAAAAAACAGACTGTCTTTCCCAGGCTTCTTGGGTGCCCTTGACATCCAGGAGGAACCATGGGCCAAGTGGCCTGGGAATGATCATCCCTTTCAATCTCTTCATGGGTCTTGTCCATGTTGGTGTTGGGATTGCGACCATGTAGAAATTTTGTTGCATTTTCCTTGTGTTTAAACCATTATGGTCCAGGGTCCTAGAGATTATGACAGTGATCAAACCCTTAATAGCCTGCAGTTTCTACTGAATCTTGAGCATTAGAAAAAGTTGAGAAGGGAATCACTTGGGGGGAGACCTGGGATATTGTCCCGATTTGATGAGGACTGATAAGCTGGACTTAGAGAATTGCTTAATTTTTTGATGCTGGGGAGCAAGTGTGCAATGGGAGGAGGTAGGCATGTAGCCCTCAGAACATTAAAGATATTATTAGATGCGAAGATATCCCATTCAGATGAGAGATAATGTTACTAGTGTACTTTACTTGTTAATTGTTGTGGCTGGTGGGCTTATCCCTTTACTTAGATTATACAGTCCTTACTGGCAAGACACCAAATCCTATGGCACAAAATAACGTGTGCAGGACCCCAGAGGTATGTTCTCAGGAGGCTTTCTGTCCTCACTAAATCACAAGTATAAATTGATCCCCCTGTCCCAGCTGCATCCTGAGTGAGAGAAACACTCCAAATTGTCAATGGACATTTTGAGTTTGGTGCTAGCTGATGAATTGGCATTATTTAATATTAATCGTCTATAAAGTAAACTCGAAAGCAAGACAGTATCAGGGTTAAGAGCTCAGACAGCCCTAAGTCCACTTCTCAGTTCCTTCATTTATTAGTTGTACGACCTTGAGCAAGTTGCATACGCTGTCAGTTTCTTATCTATAAAAGGTGCATAATAGTGGCACCTTCTCCAAAGGGTGTTTTGAAGATTGAGAAAACTGCCAGCATAGAACCTGGCACAGAGGGAACAGTTAACATTTGTTCTTTGTTGAAAGGTAGAGACCACCCATAAGAGAAGGGCCATTGTTTAGCAAAGTCTTGGAACCAACCCAAATGCCCCTCAACAATAGACTGGATAAAGAAAACGTGGCACATATACACCATGGAATACTATGCAGCCATAAAAAAGAATGAGTTCATGTCCTTTGCAGGGACGTGGATGAAGCTGGAAACCATCATTCTCAGCAAACTAACACAGGAACAGAAAACCAAACATAAGTGGGAGTTAAACAATGAGAACACATGGACACAGGGAGGGGAACATTACACACTGGGGCCTGTCGGAGGGTTGGGGGGCAAGGGGAGGGAGAGCATTAGGACAAATACCTAATGCATGTGGGGCTTAAAACCTAGATGACGGGTTGATAGATGCAGCAAACCACCATAGCACATGTATACCTATGTAACAAGCCTGCACGTTCTGCACATGTATCCCAGAACTTAGAGTAAAAATAAAATAAAATAAAATAAAATAAAATAAAATAAAATAAAATAAAATAAAATAAAAGTGTTACCCCAATCTTAAAAAAGAGAGGGGCCATTGTTGTGAATATTTTTCCTAATTGACCCCAAACTATTAGATTTAGTATTAATAGCAGAGGATCTCAAAGTACGGTCTCTGGACTAGCAGTATCAGTATCACCGGGAACTTGTCGGAAAGTCAAATTCTTGGTCCCCTCCCCAGAGCTACTAGAAAGTCCAGGGGCAAGGATCAGCCATCTGTGTTTCAACACACCCTCCAGGTGAATCTCATGCTGCTGAAGTTTGAGAACCACTTCCATGCAGAAATGCCCTACACTTCTCCTTTGTGGTTTCACTTCTTTTTCCTTGGATCCCAACAGTTCAAAATATTGGTTATATAAAGCTTCAGAAAATTCCCAGCTTTTTCCTTATTTTAAAATCTAGCTGGTCTCTGAGGCCCCTTTCCATGCTACTCTTCCATAGGAAAAACAACTGTCACTGGTCTGACACCTGATGGCTAAGGCATTCACCCCTGTCTTCTCACTCATTTTGATCCGACCCGCCTCTTTGCAAAGTAGGGAGACCAAGGCTCTGAAAGTGGAATAACTTGTCTACAATTATGCAACCCACAGGAATAGATCTGAGACTCAAATTTATTTTTTTCTGACTGCTATTTGCATTTCACTATGTTTTCATTTCCCAGAAGAAATGTTCTACCAGTGACATATGGATGGTGGAACATTCAGCTGCATGAATGGAGGCTGTGCAGGCAGTGTGAGCCACTTCTGCATTAGACCTTGACATTCCTTGCTTTCTTGAAGAATAACAGATTTCCCAGGAGAGTGGTTTAGAATAACAACTACAGCATCCTTGGATGTTGATGCCTCATAACCCTGTAGATATAAGGCAGTTCCCCCAGCAATATATTATTGTTATGACCATTTCTCGGGCAAACTCTCTGAGGCTCAGAGAGGTTAAGTGCCTTGACCATAGTCACACAGCTAGGAAATGCTGAAGTTGAGATTTGAAATACAAGAATTGATAGTCTGCCTGCCTTCAATTTTCATAATGAATACTGTGCTAAATGTTATACTCTGCTTCATGATATTAAAAAATTAATCATTTCTCTCTTCCTTTTTTTCAGAGGACTCCTTCTTTAATGTGTGAAAAACAATACAGCCGTAGACCTGACAATTGGCACAAACAGTTGGGCCCTATGAGGGATGTTCCTGGGACCCCTGAGATTCTACCTCCCGTCAGGAAAATGTCAGGAACAAAGAGAATGGTTCTGCCTGTAATCCCAGCACTTTGGGAGGCCAAGGCGGGCAGATCACGAGGTCAGGAGATCGAGACCATCCTGGTTAACACGGTGAAACCCTGTCTCTACTAAAAAATACAAAAAATTAGCCGGGCGTGGTGGCGGGCGCCTGTAGTCCCAGCTACTCTGGAAGCTGAGGCAGGAGAATGGCCTGAAACCGGGAGGTGGAACTTGCAGTGAGCCGAGATCGCGCCACTGCACTCCAGCCTGGGTGACAGAGCGAGACTCCGTCTCAAAAAGAAGAAGAAGAAAAAAAAGAGTGGTTCCATCAGAAGCCATTCCACCAGTTCTAGATTGAGGTCCTAAGTAGACCTGATCACAGTGTGCCTACAGCTGGGCTTAGGGAGCAAGGCAGCCAGAAAATGCCTAGCAGAGTCTCCAGCCTTCTATCTTAAGATTGCTGTGTCCATGCAGAGACAGGAGCTCAATTTGAGAACCTGTTGTGACTCTTCAGTTACTTCCCAGCCTCCCAGCACCTCCAAGGATGGGTGGCTGCACGCCTGTCTTGCTGGAGGGCACTACCCTATGTCTGAACCCCTGATTCCTTGTGGTTCTCAAGAGACACTTCCGAGGGACCGCCTAGGTCCACGTCTCTGCTGGTGCTATCCAGGCTCTGTCAGAGTCTTGCGGAAGAATTCACAGAAGTCTTACCTTGTGCTCCTGGGAAGTCTTTGGATGCTCTTTCTTCAGGCTCTGTGGGTTTCTGCAGCCTGATCTAGAAATTCTGGTGCTAGCTGATGGATTGGCACTATTTAATGTTAATCATCTAGAAAATAAACTCAAATTAGGTTTCCCTTTCAAGCTCCAAAGTCCTCTTTGCAGTTTCATTTGGAGTCAATACGTCTATTCTCTGGCATCCACGCTGTTTATTTGCCCCTCAGAGTATTTATGGCCTTGGCTAAAGTAGGATTCCATGGGATCTCCTTCCAAAGTTTCTCTTTGAGAAAGTGAGAAATCCAGAAGTGGGTCAAGATTTTCTGAGCCAATAGATTTCCCTTATAAGCAATTAGTGAGCATTTATTGAGTGTCTGGTGTGTGCTAGGTGGTATGCTAGGATACGAGGTGCTCTAGAATTTGCAAGGAGTTGACGAGACAGAATATAACCACTGTTGGGATAACTCTAGTGCAAGTATGGATAGGAACAAACAAATATTCAGTCAGACCATCAGGGATGATGTGGCTGGGAGATGTGTCAAAGGGATGGGCTGGTCCTAGGAGGTTTGTCGAGTGGCTGGACATGGAATTGGACATCTAACTCAAGTTGGACATTGAAAGAAAGACTGGATCAAAGCTGCACTGAAGGCACAGTGTATTCCAGAAGAGTGTGAACCAGAGGTGTGGGAGCATGTCCAGATTCACCCCATCCTCCAACGCTCATCCTGAAGCCTCTTCCTCCACAAAGCCTTCCCTGAACTTTACAGTCAAACTAAATCTCTTTGGAACCCACATGCCCCAAATGTGAGCTGCCTGTGATGTTTGTGTGTGTGTGTGTCTCCAATTTTTCCAGCCTTATAGAATCACCCTTTCCTTTAGTTTACATGAACTGGCTAAAGCCGCCATCCTATATATAGTAGCTCCATTCCCAATAAGTTGGAGGATTTCTTCATGTAGATTACGCTTTACATAGTCAATTTCCTTGCTCAATTTCCTATACACTCCTGATCTCCCTCACATCTCCCCTTTTACGGCTGTTTGTCCACCCCACATGAACTCAGTCCTGGAACACATCTCCTGCTGTGGGTTGAAATGGAACCCTCCAAAAAGATATACTGAAGTCTTAACCCCTCATCTAGTATCTCAGAATGTGACTTTATTCGGAGATAGTTTCATGGCAAAAGTAATTAGGTTAAAAGGGGCCCTAATTTACTATGACTGGTGTTTTTGTAAAAAGGGGATATTGCACAGACTTGCACACAGGAAGAAGCCTGCATGAACATGAAGGCAGACTCTGGAGTGATGCATCTATAGGCCAAGGAGTGGCCAAGATGCCCACGGACCACCAGAAGCCTGCAGGGAGGTCTGGAATGGAGTCCTTCACAGCCCCAGAAGGAGCCCACCCTGCTGACACCTTGATCTCAGACTTCCAGTCTCCAGATCTGTGAGACGATACGTTGAATTAACAAGCCACCCAGTTTGTAGTCCTTTGTTATGGCAGCACTAGAAAACTCTCCCTTCCTTGATTTTCCTACAGCTTTACTCACACAAAGTGGTTCTGTGTAGCGGAATTTTACTAAAGTGTAGGGGGTGGGAAAGATGCCAATGCCCCAAAACAGAGCAATGAACTAAACATCAAGTGCTGGATGTCTCTGATCTTAGTCCCTTGCTCGTTCCTGTCACAGAGAACTTCAGCTGGGCCCTTTCTTCTCCAGGACCCTGGCCTTCCTCCATGCTTCTAGGCCCCATCCTCTTCCTCTCCACTCTTTCCTTTTCTTCCCATCCTAGAGCCTCGTCCTCCGGCCCCTGCAGAGCTGCCCTCAGAATTTCCAGATGCTTCCTGCAATATTGTGCAGAACAATTCTCTGTTTTACCCTCCCCAACCTGGTCATTTCTTGGGATGGGAGGAGGGCTTCATTTCCCATACCCCAAAAGAGCCAAAAACAGTTATTTCCTAAGGAAACCTGCCGCCACTTGAAAAAAATAAGTGCTTTGTCCCTTGACAGCATCCTACTCCAAACTCTCATACCTTTTTTTTTTTGAGAAGGAGCTTCATTCGCCCTCATTCACCCTCATGTCACCCAGGCTGGAGTGCAGTGGCACAATCTCGGTTCACTGCAACCTCCGCCTTCTGGGTTCAAACGATTCTCCTGCCTGAGCCTCCCAGGTAGCTGGGATTACAGGTTAGCTGGGATTACAGGTGGCTGCCACCACACCAGACCCATTTTTTACTTTTGGTAGAGACCAGGTTTCACCATGTCGGCCAGACTGACCTAAGACTATCCACCTGCCTTGGCCTCCCAAAGTGCTGGGATTACAGGCTCCCATAGCGTTTTGTCGGAACCTCTCCTGCATCCTTGCCCCACTGTTATCCGAGTATGTGTGTATCCTTCCTTATGAGCTTCTGAGCTCCTAAGGGGTGGGATGTGGTTCTTACCTGCAGAGGCAGGTGCTTGGCATTTGATGAATGAGTGAATGGATGCCTGAATTTGGTGAGTTCAAGGTAGGAGCCATTGACAGAGAGGCTGGACAACTGGGATTTGGACATTGTGGGAAGAGGGATTGAAGGGCAGCTGAACAGGGTCTTGAATGCCATGGTCAGGAATTTATTCTGTGGATGCTAGGAACCCTTGCAGGGCTTTGAGGAGGAGAATAACAGCATAAACTCTGGTCTCAGGACCCACACTCTTTGGTCTCAGGAGTCCTTTGCATTTTTAAAAGTTATTAAGTACTCTCGAAGAACACTTGTTTATGTGGGTTAAATTTGTTGATATTTATACCATATTAGAAATTAAAATGGAGATACTTAAAAATGATTTACTAATCTATTTTAAAATAAAATATTTATTACATATTAACATAAATATTTTTAAATAAAAAATAATTCTATTTTCCAAAATGAAAAAAAATTAGTGGGAAGAGTGGTATTGTTTTATAGGTTCATAGGAGAGGAGAAATACCTTTTCTTCAACCATCACTACATTTATGGCCAAGGGCCTTTTGACAAAAGACAGATTAACAAGAGAAAAGCATACACATTTATTTAATATAAGTTTTGCTTGATGTGATGGTCTTCATAAGGAAATAAAGACCTGAAGAAACAGATAAACTTGTGTACTTTTTATGCTAGGTTTGATGAGGACGTGAATAATTGTGAAGTATGATTAAATAAAAAACCATGACTTAATGGTAATAAACTGGGATGAAATTAGCAAGGCCTATTTGTTTAATATCATTTTGTAACCACATTTATTCAGAGATAAGGATGTTCCTTTCCTCTCGGTGTAGGGAGGGCACTTTTCTTTTCTACTTTTTTTTTTTTTTTTTGTCTTTGAGCTCCCATTCTGTCATCTAGGCTGTAATGTAGTGATACAATCATAGCTCACTGCAGCCTCGAACTCCTGGCCTCAGGTGATCCTCCTGCCTCAGCCTCCCAAAGGGTTGGGAGGGTACCTTTCGAATTAGGGTCTTATGAGTTGCTTCAGGGAAGAAGTGGTAGGGAAAGGTGAGCATGACTTTCCTGTTTCTGCTGTTTTCACCGTTGCTAGGACACTACATTTTGTGGCTGTGTGACCTGAACCATATCAGGTATGTATACCTCTTTCCTGTTTGGATTACTGGAAGAGAGCTAGATTTTCACATCTGCTTATATATTGTCTGTTTTGATATGTTGTTTTGGTTGAAGTATATGAAGAAAATCAGATCGGTAGTTAGAAAAGTGAGTATTTTAATAGCCTTTTCAGATAATTACTGGTAGTCTTCTTTCTTAGCCCTCAACATTAATGCCACTTTGGGCTAGACAATTCTTTGATGAAGGGGCTGTCCTGTGCATTGTAGGATGTTCAGCATTATCCTTGGCTTCTACCCACTAGATGCCAATAGCACCCTTTCCCTCAACTCCAGTTGTGGCAACAAAAAATACATCCAGACGTTACCAAATTCACCTCTTCCCGCTTCTTAAGAACCCCTGATACACCGAACTCAAGTGTTAGTTCCCGAAAGGTTACTTGCAGTGTGGAATCTGAAGCTGTATCAATAAGCTTTTTGTACTCTGTGCTATAGACTGAACGTTTTTGTCATCCTAAAATTCCTATGTTAAAACCTAGTCCTCAATGTAATGATATTTGGAGGTGGGTTTTTTGGGAGGTGATTACGTCATGAGGGGCTCATGAATAAGATTAGTGGCTTTATATAATAAAAGACTCCAGAGAGCTCCCTTGGCCCCTCTGCCATGTGAGGACATAGTGAGAGCACTGCTGTCTACGAACCAGGAAGCAGCCCCTCACCAGACACCAAATCTGCTGGTACTTTGGTCTTGGGCTTCCCAGCCTCCAGAACTGTGAGAGATACATTTTGCAGTGGCAAAAGAGCATGGGATTTGGAGTGAGGAGACATGAATTAAGACCCAGCTCTATCATTTACTAGCAGTGCAGACTTGGGCAAATTACTTAACCTCTCTGAGCCCCAGATTTTTCATATTTCTCTTTCCTAAAGCATAGATAATGCCACTCTGTATTTTTGCAATACAAAATGAGATCATGCAGCTGAAAGGTGTTAAAGCAAACTAAATATGGCCTGAGAAGGACTCTGTACTTCTATATTTGAGTCCTTGTGGATGAACTGTAACCTAGCTTAATAGTCAGACAAAATCGAAAACCTAACTTAATAGTATGCATCAGTAACAATAGCTGAGCATTGGCCAATCCCAGCGGCCATACTTCAACCATTCATAGACCACTGACTATTCAAGCTGCCTTCAACTAAGGCAAATGCGGAGCTATAACCAATCTCACTGTTTCTGTACCTCACTTCCAATTCCAGTACATTGTGTTTCCTTTTTGTGTATAAATTTGTTCTGAACACGAGGCACTCATGGAGTCTCTGAGAATCTGCTGTGATTCTGGGGGCTTCCCGATTTGTGAATTGTTCATTGCTCAGTTAAACTCCTTTAAATTTAATTCGGCTGAGGTTTTTCTTTTATCAAAGGGCATTGAACAGAATAAGTTGTCAGACATTAAAGACTCAATAAATGTTAATTACTTCCATTTTCATAAGATTGTGTTCATTTGACAGACATTTATTGAGCACTACCAGTCCCGTGGCCAGCACGCTGGCAGTGTTCAGTAGTGGAGGTGGGGAGTGCTCAGTTGCCTGATGCTTCTGGCAGTCTGTGGATTGGCCCACTGGGTTGTCCTTTATGGAATTTTATTACCCTCTTACCTGGGTGAAGTCGAATGTTGCTGCTTTTGCCTTTATTGCCCTCTGTATCTATATAGTTTGTATTGACTCCTGGTTGTTGATTTAACTTTATGAGACATAAAAAGTGTACCTGATACTAGCCTTGCTGGGGTGAGAAGGGGGAGAAGGTTGACCAAAGGGAACATGGGGGACGTAACCTACCAGAGACTGTCAGCAAGTGGTTGGGCTGAGACAGAGTCTTATCTAATACTCTGATTCCGCAAGTCTAAAGGTGAAGGGTCATCTTTTTTTTTTTTAATCTTCCACATGAAAACTTGATGTAATTCATTCCGTTTTGACATAGTTCATTCTTAAGAAGAGCCTCTCAGTACAATTGTCTACAGATGGCATGGGCTGCCTCTGTAAACACCATCATAATGTATGCCATCACGTTAGAAGGTACTCAAAATGAGAAAAACAGTCATTTGAGAAGATGCTGTGGAGCAGTGGTTCTCAAACCTGAGAGTGTGCATCAGAATCACCCAGCAGGCTTGTTCAAAAACAGATTGCTGGATCCTGTCCCCAGAGTGCTAATTCAGTAAGTCTGGGATGGGGCTAAAGCCCATAAAACCTCTGGACTCAGCCACGTGGGACTACCCACCTCTGGGTAGGGGCTACCTGCTTTGGGGCCCTTCTCCACTAAGAGCTGTTTTATTGCTCAGTAAAACTCTTCTCTGCCTTGCTCACTCTCTGGTTGTCCATGTAACCTCATTCTTCCTGGACACAGGACAAAAACCCAGCACCCGTGGAATGGCAGCTGCGAAAGGAGCTGTAACATTGTATCCCTCCTGCCTTCTACTGACGCTGGGCAGCTGCTCTGCATGATGGGAAGCAGGGCAGGGCCAGGCCAGCCCAGGAACTGTGGGCTGGAGCAGGGCAGCAGGACCAAACAAGCTGTAAAACAACCAAGCTGAAACACGTTTCTGGCCAGATTGCCGAGCTATGGGTGGTGACATGCTCTCGTTTGCCGGACTATGAGAGAAGAGCTGTGACCCTTATGGGAGCCCAGATCTTGGTACTCCCTGAGCCAGAGCTGTGACATGCTGTAACACCCATTTGGGGCTCTGCAGTTGCTGGCATCTCTAAGTGTTCAGGCACCATGTGTTCCCCTTGTCCAAATGCCAGTGCTCAAGGTGGAAGCCACTTAAGGCATGCCTTGTCCAGCCATAGCCTTGCACAGAGCTTGTGCCTGTGCTGGCCCCTGGAGCTGCCTGCCCCACCACAGCAGCCAGCACAGGTGTACCATGGCCAGACCCCACTCTCACTCACTTGCTCACACACCCCTTTCTGCTCCATGCCTAACTTGCCCATGGTGGGTGTGAGATCCGGGCTGGTAGCATGAGCTGAGCGCAGCCTGCTGGGCCAAGTGGGAGGAGCCAGCTCAGCAGTCATGAGCAAAACTCTAGCAGAGGTGCTGCTGGCTGCGGAAGTCTCTGGCTGGTGAAGTGGCACCCGAAGGATCCTGTGTCATTTCAAGCTAAGGAAGTGAAGACAGTGTTTTAATCTTAGTCACCCTGATTTTTTTTTACCACATGCTCCTCCTTCTGCAAGGAGCCCTGAACCGGCCATCTGAAGTCCTGGTTCTGGACCTGGCTATACCTCTAGCTGGGTTGATGACCTTGGGCAAATTTCCATCTCTACCTGTCTTAGTCTGTTTTACATTGCTATAACAGAATACCAGAGACTGGGTAATTCATAAAGAAAATAAATTTATTTCTCACAGTTCTGGAGGCTGGGAAGTCCAAGAGCATGGTGCCAGTATCTGCTGAGGGCCCTGATGCATCATAACATGGCTGAAGGGCAAATGAGCACATGAGGCGGAGAGAGGACAAGGACCAAAATTTATCCTTCTATCAGAAGCCCACTCCTGTGATAACTAACCCACTCCCAAAATAATGGCATTACTCCATTCATGAGGGCAGAGGCCTTATGATCTAATCATCTTTTAAAGACTCCACTTTTAAATACCATTACAATGGCAATTAAATTGCAACATGAGTTTTGGAGGGGAGATTTAAACCATTGCACTGCCACAGTGCTATGGTTAAATAGTTGGGTGGGCTACAGATCTCTGAGATCTCTTCCGGGTTTTATGTTCCATTGTTATGGAGTGGATAGGGAGGGGATGGAGCCCTGTGGGTGGAGGGCTTGTGGGGTGGTGCAGAGAATGCATAACATTTTATGCAATGAGCTGTCACCCTAGGTTGGCAATTGGTCCCCCCAGGACAAGGGCCTAGAACACAGGACTAATATAGTAGGTGATAAGATAGGAAAGAATCTGTTCCAACAAGCCCTGTGGTGATTTCAGGAGGGCAGGGTCAGGTGCCCCCATATGGAGAGGCACCAGATGTATTAGAAAGTGCTTTCTCTGGGATGACCCACACTGCAGGAAGCGAGCTATGTTAGCAATATCTGAATTAACTCATAGGTCAGAAATGTCAGGAAGGAGGCTCTGTGAACAGAATGGAGGGTCAGGTTTGAGGGGTAGAGTTCTGTAGGATGAGAAGGAGGTGTGGAGTTAGATGGGGCAGCAAGAGGCAGCAATAAGAAAGGAGGTGGTGAGAGGGGCAGGCTTGCTCTGTTTACCGAGCCCTCAGAGAACGGTGCAAACAGGTGGGTCCCTTTTGGGGAGCTCAATGTCCTAACCTCCTGGCTTACAAAACAGGTATGTGAAGGACTGATCTAGAACCAGGATATTACATGCCTCATATTCCATTTGAAAAAATCAATTTTTCAGGAGGTCTGTAATTCCTAAGGCCCATTTAGTTCTAGGAAATGAAAACACTCCTGTTCCTGGCTAGCTGATGGGCATCAGAAGGATTCCTGATCAGAGAAAATGAGAAGATGCAGGTGCACAGGCGATAGACCTCTAACTGCATGCCATTTAGAAGAAACTTCTTAGATAACCCCAAGAACAAAGTTATTTACAAGAGCAAAATCACATTTTGTATTTAGTAACCAAAACAAACAACAAACAAACAAATCCTTGCAGTGCTTCTGTAGCTAAGGAAAGCTTGACAACAGCTGGATTTTAGAGATGATTGCTATAACCCCACAGAATGCAACTTCTTGGATGCCCATTGGTTATCATACATAACAATGTTTAAATTTTGCGTGTTTCAGGAAGCGACATCTAAATGGGCCATTAAAGGACAGTGAGGGATTTTCAGTATGAGGGACGACGCTGTTTGGGAGACCTTTGGAGACAGTGAGTCGTCTGCTGAAAGGATTAGTCCTTTTAGATGCTGTTACCACGGTAAATGCAGAAATGGTAATAGGAATGACATGGCCATTTCTCTTTGGAATTAGTCCTTTTACAGATAATGATGTATTGGCCTTATGTCTCTGGAAGATTCCTTCTACATTCTTGCACATTCGTGAATTTGGTTGCCTCATTGGTAACAGAATCTAAAAGGACTGATCATTCTCTCTGAAGGCCTCCTGAACCACGTGGTCCCTTATTACACGGAAAATCCTTACTGTCCTTTAATGCCCCATTCAGATGTTGCTACCCCAACCAGACCTGTCCTCTGCTCTCCTCATTCCTTCCTTTCTGCATCACAGCCAGAATAAATTCACTCTGGGCTCCTTCTGCCTCTCCCCTATGTTGCCCTTTGTCAGTGAAAATTGCTCCCGTGATGTCCTGGTGTCCTCTCTCCTAAGGCCAGAAGTTTCTTGAGGTCCAAGACTGTGTCATGTCAATGTCCAGCCCCCTCCTGCCATGAAGAGAGCCTTGAACACATTGAATGCTCAGTATCTATTTATTAAATGAATGCACAATTGAAAGAGTGAAGATTGAATGTCTAGATATTTGTTCCTCTAACCCACAAGCTCACATGCAGCAGAGCACACGAATGTGTGTGTGCCAAGGCCCCAGAGGCTGGATGCCCACATATGTGCTGATGCATGTGCCCTAGGGAGTCCCTCTTGGTTAACATCTGTTTAAAATCTCTGTCTTCTTCTTGATAGAGAAACAGCATGGTTTCCTAGACTGAATTGAAGAATGAAGGTGAGAGTACAAACAGTGGGAGAGACGTTTCCTCAGCTGTCAGAACAGGAACGACCTGGGTTATGGAAGCCCAGAAAGGGAGGAGGACTTCTTTTGGTCCCAGTGAAAGATGCTTCCAGAATCTGTAGCCTTACTTATTTGCTTGGATCTCACTGGAATAACTTGGTGGTGAGGTCACCGGTTCTGGGGTGATCACTGGGTTTGCTGCATAGATGTTTGGATAGATGACACTCACCTGGAAAACACAGGCACACAGGGGGCATGCTAAGAAGGACGGGCCATGCACCAAAGGCCTCGGACACCGAGGAACTACTCCTGCTCCTGAGCAGGCAGTGGAAAGCACAAAGAGCTCCCTTGTCTCCACCTTTTTGGGGGCATCTTTCCACCCACTGAGGAACCCTGGGACTCACATTGCTTGATTGACAGCAGACCAACTGGCAGCCAAAGTGGGAAGATGCGCATGCGATGCCAAACTCCAGGAGGCAGAAGACCAGCAGCACGCCAGAAATCGCCATTCCAGGGTTCTGTAGGCAGAGCAGATGGGGAGGACAGGAGCACGGGACTGGGAGTCCGAACTGACCTCTCACTGGGGCCCTGCCATGGACTCTTTGTGGCTTTGCGGAAGTCCCCTATCCTCTCTCAGCCTCGTGGGGGGAAATTTCCCACCGGGTTTTTGTAAGTATCAAGTATGGGGGTAAAAGAATTGTTATTGCAACATTTACTTGGTAGTGTTCCTCTGAGAAAAAAGATGACCATGTTTAGGGAAGCCCCTTGATAGGTTGCTTTGGGTGTGGAGACCTGAGGGTGTGCTCTGGAGTCAGAGAGGGGAGCAGTGACACTGCTCTGGGGAGGCCGTCGGTAGGAATTGGAGGGTATGGACAAGACACAGAGAGAACAGGGAGATGGTTAGAGGAAAAAGAAGGAGTTGAGCGCCATGGTGGGAAGGGGGAGGCCACAGGAAAAGGCCTCCTGTGAAAAATGAAGACTTCCCAAAGCAAGGATGTCTTATCTTCAGTAATCAGTGGTTTGCTGGGCTCTGATGTAAACCTCCACCATCCCTCTGAATGTGGGGAAAAGAAAGAGAGATCAGATTGTTACTGTGTCTGTGTAGAAGGAAGTAGACATAGGAGACTCCATTTTGTTCTGTACTAAGAAAAATTCTTCTGCCTCGAGCTGCTGTTAATCTGTAACCCTACCCCCAACCCTGTGCTCCCTGAAACATGTGCTGTGTCAAGTCAGGGTTAGATGGATTAAGGGTTGTGCAGGGTGTGCTTTGTTAAACAAATGCTTGAAGGCAGCACGCTTGTTAAGAGTCATCACCGGCCGGGCGCGGTGGCTCACGCCTGTAATCCCAGCACTTTGGGAGGCCGAGGCGGGTGGATCATGAGGTCAGGAGATCGAGACCATCCTGGCTAACAAGGTGAAACCCTGTCTCTACTAAAAATACAAAAAATTAGCCGGGCGCGGTGGCGGGTGCCTGTAGTCCCAGCTACTCGGGAGGCTGAGGCAGGAGAATGGCATGAACCCGGGAAGTGGAGCTTGCAGTGAGCCGAGATTGCGCCACTGCAGTCCGCAGTCCGGCCTGGGCGACAGAGCGAGACTCCGTCTCAAAAAAAAAAAAAAAAAAAAAAAAAAGAGTCATCACCACTCCCTAATCTCAAACCACTCCCTAATCTCAAGTACCCAGAGACACAAAACACTGCGGAAGGCCACAGAGACCTCTGCCTAGGAAAGCCAGGTATTTTCCAAGGTTTCTCCCCATGTGATAGTCTGAAATATGGCCTCATGGGATGGGAAAGACCTGACCGTCCCCCAGCCCAACACCCGTAAAGGGTCTGTGCTGAGGAGGATTAGTAAAAGAGGAAGGAACGGCTCTTTGCAGTTGAGGTAAGAGGAAAGCTTCTGTCTCCTGCTCGTCTCTGGGCAATGGAATGTCTCGGTGTAAAGTCCATTGTATATTCCATTTACTGAGATAGGGGAAAACTGCCTTAGGGCTGGAGGTGGGACATGCTGGCAGCAATACTGCTCCTTAAGGCATTGAGATGTTTATGTATATGCACATCAAAAGCACAGCACTTTTTTCTTTACCTTGTTTATGATGCAGAGACATTTGTTCACGTGTTTACCTTCTGACCTTCTCTCCACTATTATCCTATTACCCATGCCCAATAATGATCAATAAATACTAAGGGAACTCAGAGGCCAGTGCCCACGTGGATCCTCTGTATGCTGAACGCCGGTCCCCTAGGCCCCCTTTTTCTTTCTCTGTACTTTATCTCTGTGTCTCTTTCTTTTCCAAGTCTCTTGTTCCACCTAACGAGAAACACCCACAGGTGTGAAGGGGCAACCCACCCCTTCATCTGAACCTTTGGGAAAATGTCAGCCTCTGAAAAGACTTTCTTGGCTTGTGACAGTGGTGTTTTGTGGAGGGCAGGAATTGGGGCTGTTTCTCTGGCTTGGGAAGAACAGTCAGTGAAAGGATCCCCAAAATGAAGTAAATTAACCATAGCAGGAGGTAACCGGGAGAAATAGAAACCCTCCATTTGCTGTTACCCAAGAATACCCAGGAGTATGGAGTCTTCCAGTGTATCTGGGAAGCGAGTTTCAATCTAAAAGGTCCATCCAGGAGACTCCCATTACCATTTGGGTTCCAATTATGTGACATGAGAACATTTCATAGTGAAGGTGGATGGCATGCAGTAGGTACCAAAGAAATGCCTCTCAATTATGATTTTTTAATTTTTTTTTTTTTTGAGACAGAGTGTTGCTCTGCCACTCAGGTTGGAGAGCAGTGGCATGAGCTCAGCATTGTGAGCTCCGCCTCCTGGGTTGAAGCGATTCTCCTGCCTCAGCCTCCCGAGTAGCTGGGATTACAGGCACGCGCTACCATGCCTGGCTAATTTTTGTATATTTTGTATAGATGGGATTTCGCCATGTTGCCCAGGCTGGTCTTGAACTCCTGAGCTCAAGTGATCCACCTGCCTCGGTCTCCCAAAGTGCTGGGATTACAGGTGTGAGCCACCGTGACCGGCCTCAATTATCTCAATTATGATTTTTAAAAACAGCATTGGTGACAGCCAGATGCTTGGAGAATTCTCTCTTCTGGAGAGGCCTCTCCTTAGCCCCTTTTCTTCTCCTTCCTCTCCATTTAGCAAGTGGTTATTAAACATCTGCTTGGTAGAAGCGGCTAAGAAATGCATCCTGAGAGGCACAATCTAGTAGGAAAACAGATGCAGATGATAATTATAATTCACATCAGATAGGGTAAGAGCTACAGAACAGCAAAAAGGTATCCCAGAGCACTGAGGAGGGAGAGGTTCATTGTCATGAAGGGATTTAGAGAGGGTGAGGGTAGAGGCAGTTGTCCCAGGAAAAGGGGAGTGCAGGATGTCTAAGTCAACGGATCACAGAGACTTAGAGTAGAATGGCCTGGGCAAAGTATGCTGGTCTTTTTCAATTTTTTTTAAATAAAATTTTTTTACACATAAAATATTTCATGGAAAAGGGGTCCCTCAAGCAGCTGAGATTTTTTTTATTTGATGAAAAATAATTCCTGATGTGGAAACCCCGGAGTATCTCCATTCCTTGGGTCATTATTTGCAAAGCTCAGATGCAGTCCGACCCTCCATGTTCAGATGGGATGACTGAGGCTTGAAGGTGGAATGGGTGGTGGGCATGGGGCGAGTTCTCATTCCAAGATCAATCATTGGCAGAACTAAGATTAAAAGCCAAGTTTTCTGAATCAAAAATTGCTGCTCCCTCTACTCCAGGGCACCTGGCTGTGCTGCTTGGGGTTTAGTCTTTCCTAAACTCTTCTCCCATCTTCCTTTCCCTTAGTTCCTCCACCAGCATTTGCTTCTTAATTTCTTCTATTGGGCAGTCCATGCCTCCCTGATTGGTTCTTTCCCAGCAGGAAAATTCCCAAGTACTCGCTTGTGCCTGTCTCTCGCAGTGGACGGGAGTAGCTGGGGTTCAGGGTGAGTGAGAGATTCGAAGGGAGGTGAACTGTAGGGCACAGTGAGATAGAGCCAGATCCCCCAGGGAGGGCAAATACCTGGCTGAGGAATTTGGACTTTAATCCTAAAGTATCTGGGAGCCATAAAATGTTTCTGGGAGGGGAGAAACTCAAGGTACTTTTGATAAATGACATGGACTTGGTCCATAGGATCTCTAGGGAGAGGCTTTGCCTAAGAATCTTGGAAAGATAAGTCTTTAAGTCTCTTGAAGATAAAAGGATCTGGTCAAATACAAACAACAGTTAATGGCTGTTGATGTTTACTGAGTATGCATCACAGCTGGCACATTCATTTATTCCTTGACAAATGCTTATGAAGTGTCAACCGTGTGCCAGACACAGTTCTAGGTATTTGAGGTATGACAGTGAGTGAAACCAAAAACATCCCTGTCCTTAAGAATCTCATTCTAGGGACAGGCAGTAAGCATGAAATGTAACAAATAAGTCAGTTGCAGAGGGTGTTAGATGCATAGACTACAGGAAAGATAGATAAGGGGAAGGGAAGCGGGTTACTGGGAGAGTGTGGGTGTTGGGTTGTTCAGGTAGGCCTCATTGGGAAGGTGGTTGCAGATTAGTGATCTGAAGGAGGTGAGGAAGGGACAGAGGAAGCTGTGGGAACATCTGAGGGAAGAGTTCCCCAGTCGGAGGGAACATTCCAGGCCCAAAGGTGGAAAGATGCCTGGAGTGTTGGAGAAAACATCATGGAGGTTCCCGTGGTTCAGCAGCAGAACCAGAGGATGGCAGCAGAGCCAGGGGCGGGGGGCACCAGAGGGCCAGCATCTTCAGGCTGCTGGAAGGACATTGGCTTTTTTTCTGAGTAAGATGCCAGCAGAGAAGTGATGGGATCTTGTGTTTCCAAAGGATCCCTCTGGTGGCCATGCTATAAACAGCTGCAGTGAGCCCAGAGTAGGAGAAAGGGAACAGTCAGGAGGCTGTTTCCATGATTAGATGAGAGATGCGGTGGCTCAGGCCAGCGTGGGAGTAGAGGGGCTGGGGGAAAATGGTGGGATTCTGAATGCATTTTGAAAGTAGAACCAACAGGATTGCCCGAGGGATTGGCTGTGAGGTGTGAGAGAAAGACAGGGTCAATGACGACTCCAAGGTTTTGTCCCGAGCAACTGGAAGGATGGAGTTGCCATCAACTGGAATCAGGAAAACTGAGTAGAGAAGGTTTGGGAAGTGAAATCTGGAGATCAGACTTGGATGTATGAACTATGAGCTATTGAGTTGACCATTGGACATGCTAGACTGGTGTATAGGGGAGAAGATTTGGCTGGAGCCATGTATTCTAGAACAATTGTCATAGACAAGGTGTTTCAAGTTGCCAGACTAAATGAGATAGACAAATGAGTACAGAAAGAAAACCAGAGAACCAATTATTGAGCCTAAGAGATTGGGAAAAACAGAACTAGCAGAGGAGACAGAGAAGAGGGCAACCAGTGAGGGTGGAGCCTGGAAGTCAAGCAAAGTCCCTCCGAGAAGAAGGATCAATCACCCCATTGGGGATTTGGAGAAGAGCAGGTGTTTAGGGAAGTGAGGCTGAAAGTCTAATTGGAGCAGGTTCAGAGAGAATATGAGAGAAGAGGATTGGACTCACTAAAGTGTAGACAATTCTTTTAAGAATTTGTCTGCAAAGAGGGCCAGAGAGATACAGTGGTAGTGGATAAAGGAAGTACAACGAAGAGGAGGTGGGTTGGTTTGTTTTTTAAGAAACAAAAGCATGCTTAATGCTGATGCAAAAGCCCCAGCAAAGGGGGAAAGACTGATGATGTAGAGGAGAGACGGGATGAGGGAGAGGGGAGGAGAACTTGAGCAGGTAGGAGAGGAGGGACTCAGTTGCGCAGACAGAGGATTGAATTTACGTGGGACACAGGTAGCTCATCTGTAGCTGCCCTGTTCTATTCAGCAACCACAATTCCCATGTGGCTTTTAAACACTTGAGATGTAGCTGGTCCCAAATCGAGATGTGCCATAGCACAAAATATAAACTGGATTTCAAAGATTTAGTTCCCCAAATGCAAAATAGCAAACCAAGTTTTTATACTGATTACATGTTGAAATGACAATATTTTAGATATACGGGGTTAAATAAAATAGATTATTAAAATCAATTTCACCTGTTGCTTTCACTCTCTCTCTCTTTTAAATGTGGCAACTAGAAAATTTAAAATAACATGTGGCTTGCATATTTCTATTGGACAGTGCTAGTGTATAGCAGAGGTGGGTGAATTATGATCCATGGGTCAAATCCTGCCTGCTGCCTGTTTTGTAAATAAAGTTTTATCAGAACACAGCCATATTCATTTGTTTAGTGCTTTCTGTGGCTGCTGTAAGGCAGCTATAGCTACATGACAGAGACTGTAGGCCTGCAAAACCTTAACTGCTTACTATTGGCTCTTTAGAGAATAAGTTTGCTAACCTCTGGCTTATAGTAATGGGCAAGAAGGCAGAGAATGTGAGGAGAGGTGCTGGTTGGTGGGCACATATGCATTCTTTGTAAAATTGCATTTAATTCTCTCAACATTGCCACAAGGTAGGTATTGTTCTACAAAGGCAGAAACCCAAACTGGGAAAGGTCATGTGCTTAAAGCTATGGGTCAAGGACTTTAAAATTTGTTCCTATGCTGAAAGCACCTCCTTTTCCTACCATGTTCAGTGAGGTAGCTTGGTTGTCAAGCCCTTTCTGGGAGTTTTCTAAATGTAGCTAATTCAGAACTTAGAGGATCTTTGGTTGAGAGGGATACTCACCACACCCCAGGCGTAAGGATAATAGTCGGGGTAGGCATATGGGTGGGGAATACTTAGATCTGTGATGAAGAGTATGACTCCAACTGCAGAGCAGATTGCACTGACGATGTTCAAGCCCAAACTGCCAGACAGCTGAAGAAGACACAGAGGGTCAGGATGGGCGAGAAAAGCTGTTATAGCTGAGATGAATGGAGACCCAACAAGTGTTTCTTTTTCCCCCCAATTTCTAAAATTGTGTTAACATATATGTAACATAAAATTTAACATCCTAATCATTTTCAAGTGTTACAGTTCAGTAGCATTAAACACATCTACAATGCTGTGCAACCATTGCCACCATCCATCTCTATAACTCTTTTCATCAAAAAGTGTTTCTTAATGTGAATCCCAGGAACCCTATTTCCACTGCAAGTAAAGGGGTGTTCTGTGCAAGAAAGGTTTTGGGGTAAGTTAGCTTTGAAAATAGCTGGGTTGGGCAAAGGTAAACAGATCATCGTGGTGGGACTTCTCAGAGCCTTTAATGAGGACTTTAGATCTTTCAGAGAGGAAACAATACATAGAGATTTTCCCAAGTTCATGTAACTATCTTCATTGAGCATATCATGGGAGAAGTGTTCTCAAGAATAATCTTTGGGGCTGGACGCGGATGCTCACATCTGTAATCCCAGCACTTTGGGAGGCTGAGGCAGGTGGATCACCTGAGGTCAGGAGTTCAAGACCAGCCTGGCCAAAATGGCAAAACTCCGTCTCTACCAAAATACCAAAAAATACAAAAAATACAATAATTAGCTGGGCATGGTGGTGTGCACCTGTAATCCCAGCTACTAGGGAGGCTGAGGCAGGAGAATTGCTTGAACCCAGGAGGCAGATGCTGCAGTGAGTTGAGATCAAACCACTGCATTCCAGCCTGGGGGACACAGTGAGACTCTGTCTCACACACACACACAAAAAAAAAAAAAAAAAAAAAAAGAAAAAGAAAAAGAAAAAAGAATAATCTCTGGGAAACACTTGACCTATTTGTCCCATAGGATAAATAGAATCTTAGCCCAAGTGTCTTGGGATGTGATAAGCTCAGATGCTCCATGATTCTGGGCCATGTGCAGAAAGATACGCTTCCACATTTTGAGCTTTCTTTTGAAGACTTTCAAATAGATCTCATCTGGTTGTAGGGACCTGGTCACCCTTTACCCTTCGTAACCTGATTATGAGACAAATGAAGGTATTTCTTGGTCTGTTGCTAGGGGAGCACAAAGCTTTGTCCATGTTGATTATCAGAGTTCTGTTGGCTGGATTCCTTAGGAAAGCGAGTGACTGAGCCTCCTTCGGCTTCCCCGGAGTCCTCTTCTCTGTACTGGAAGTACTCTTGGCTCCTGGTCTGCTAGAGGGCAGCCCTGGGCCCCTGGGAGCTCTGTGCCTCTCTGTGGCAGGGCTTCTTAGGAAAGCTGTTATCTCTCTCTCTCTCTCTCTCTCTCGCTCTCCATACTCTGATGCCTTAACTAAGGTGACTGTATTGCCCCTTCTCACTTCTGCATCCTCTTGGGACTTTTCCACATGTGACTCCAGGGCCAGGCTCCTGTGGCCAGTCTGTATGAGCGGGAATGTGTGTGAGCACCGTGTGTCTGGTTATAGTAGGTGCAAGGCTGGGGGAGGAATCGTATGTGACCTTATTTTCCCCTTTGTGACACCATTCTATAGGTCTCCAGTTGGAAGAGCTGGTCTCAGAATGTAACTTACCAGGCAATAAGAATATGGCTGATTTTCTGCTGCCACGGAGAGAGATCCTGAAATGATAAACTGGTACAGAACAGAGTGGGTTTAGAAAGAGGTCAGGGGCTAGGGTGCCCTTCCCCAGGCTTCTGTGATTCTGGTCACACACAGTGGGTACCTTTGCTGGAACCATCAGCTCAACATGGGCAACAGAAAAAATGAGCTGTTTTGCACTGCCTGAAAAGGCACTGGGGTGGGATAAATATATATTCTAGGATCCAGCAAACCTGGTTTTAAATTCTGGCTAGAAACTCTTGACCTTGGGTAAGTTATTAACTTCTCTAAGTCTTTATTTCCTCATCTACAAAATGGAAAAATTTATAGCTCTTCCCAAGTGTCATTGTCATGAGACAACTTATGCCCTACATCTGGCATTTAGTATATCTTTACACTTAGTAGATGCTCAAATGTTGGATTATTTCCTTGTATTTTATTTTCCCACAAGTACACCCTATTGTTTTCCAATCTTTATATCAAGATTCAGTTAGGTTTGGGGGCTCTGGAGGGGAGAAGGAAGGGGTTACCAGCGTCTTCTCTGCTGCTTTTAGATAGAAGCCTGACATCAATCCTTGCCTGCCTGCATATCTGGACAAATAACTTTTAGTTACTCAGATAAACATTGTGTCGCTATGATGCTGAACATCAAATACGAGGATGATGATGTCAATTGCGTGCATTTCATCCAACATGGTATTCCGCAGGCACTGTGGCTGATGGGATTGCCTGCCATCATTTGCCCAGTGGGCTAGCAAGAGTGGTATGAGAGGGCATGAGCTATATTTAATAGGAGCTACCATTTGTGGGGCACTATAGAAAATGCTTTTTTAGAAAAGGCTTCATTGACATATAATTCATGTATCATATAATTCACCCATTTAAAGTATATTATGCAATTATTTTTAGTATATTTATAAAGTTGTGCAATCATCACTACAATGTAAGTTAGAACATTTGCAACGGCCCCAAAAGAAGCCACGTACCGACTAGCAACCCATCACCGCCCTCCCCCCAACAGATGAAGTACTTGTTCAACCTCGCCTCATTTAACCACATGGTGGCCCATCAAGCAGTATTACTCTTGCCATTTTATCAATGAGGAGACTGAGGCTTAGAGATTTTGAACAACTCACACAACATCATCCAGCGGAGTTTTCATTGTAAATAAGTGTTTCCACTCTATGGCACATGCATTTGAGAATCAAATCCAGACAGCTTGATTTCAGACTCCATGTTCCTAACCCTCACTCCATACTCCCTCCCACCCACGGCAGATGCATGTGCCATAGAGTGGACATAGTTATTTACAGTGAAAACTTATTCCAGCTGTTTCTGCCTTCCAAGGCCAAGGCCATATTCTCCTATGAGTGGAAAAACAAATCTCAGGCTCACACCCTTCTGTTTATAGAGATTTGATGGGGAGGAAGGGCTGGACTTTTGGTATCCCTCTCAGTCCTTCTGAGGTGCCAGAGGAGATGAGCCTTTGTTTCAGAAGAGGATATTGATGATCTTTGGGAAATAGAAAGACAGTCCTGGGATCAAGAAGGCAGCAAAGAGCACAACTGCCCTGCAGAGCAAAAGGAGGAAGGTCATGAGGGCTGAAGGGACTCAGCAGCCTGGTGGGAGGAGGCGTGGTCAGTGAGGCATTTGAGATGCCAGGACAACTGCCTGCTGCTCACTGGCACTTGGTGGAATCCAGTGCTCCGTGGTAGGCATTGTGTGCTCAATGGTAGGCCTGGGTGGCCGTGATGCTAGCCCTCTCCATAGCCCCACATTCCACGAAGGTCAGAGATACAGGAACAGGTATCTTGTGAGTGGTTGTGGGAGGGAAAGGGGCTGAGTTCTGAGTTTGGGTGTGTGCAGAGCCTCGCTAGAGGAGCCCTGTTCATTTGCAGAACTTGTGTGGCTGTCGGGGATGGAGATAGCTCTAGGCTATTTTATTTAACTCTTATAAGGTAGAGGGACTTGGGCTGGCACCTAGGTTACTCTGGAGTTGTGCCATTTATGAGGAAAGTTGCATTAGTGTCACATGTAGGTGTGTGAGTCAGGAGGAAGACTGTAACAGAAGGGAGAGAAAGGAGAAAGGAAGGTGGAGAGGGGAGGAGAAGGAGAGAGAGAGAGAGTGTGTGTGTGTATGTGTGTGTGTGTGTATGTGTGTTTGTTTGTATGTGTGTGTGTGTATGTGTGTGTGTGTGTGTGTGTGTGGGCAGGGGGACACTGCAAAGGAACCATAAAGGTAATAAACTGATGTGGAAGAAGGACTGTAGTTCTTAACACTTTATGGAGTCACGGATCACTCTGATAATCTGATGAAAGCTATGGACCCTTCCAGAAAAATAATACACATTTAGCATATTAGGTATTTTGCCAAAATGGAGCCCCCAAAGCCCATCTGCAGATCTAGATTGAGTCCCCAGTGCTCAAGCACTCAAACCCTTGCTGTTCTACAGCTGGGAAGCCACTCTTCACCTTTGCTGAGTGTTTTTCTCCTGGAGCTCAGGCTTGTGGGCCTATGTCCAACAATGCCAGGGGCTATTCCCAGTGTATTTTTTACATGTGGATGTTTTCTTTGTGAATTAAGAAAACACATCCCTTTTGGCCGGGTGTGGTGGCTCACACCTGTAATCCCAGCACTTTGGGAGGCTGAGGCAAGTGGATCACCTGAGGTCAGGAGTTTGAGACCAGCCTGGCCAACGTGGTGAAATCTTGTCACTACTAAAAATACAAAAATTAGCCGGGCGTGGTGGTGCGCGTCTGTAATCCCAGCTACTAGGGAGGCTGAGGCAGGAGAATTGCTTGAATCCGGGAGGGGGAGGTTGCGGTGAGCCGAGATTGCACCACTGCGCTCCAGCTTGGGCGACAGAGTGAGACTCCATCTCAAAAAAAAAAAAAAAAAAAAAAGTAAAAAGAAAATACATCCCTTTTGAGGGGATGTCACCTTGCGGGGTTGTAGCTTGATATTATGGGCTGAATTGTGTCCACACCCTCTATCCCCCACCAAATTTCGTAGATTGAAGCCCTAATCTGTAGTGCTCCAGAATCTGACTGTGTTTGGAGATAGGGTTGTTAAAACCGTCATTCAGGTTAAATGAGGTCATCAGGGGGGACCCTAATCCAAAATGACTGGTGTCCTCATAGGAAGAGGAGACTAGGGCACAGGCATGGAGGAAGGCCGTGGAAAGGCTCAGGGAGAAGACGACCTTCTGCAAGCCAAGGAGAGAGACCTTAGGGGAAAACATCTGCTAACATCTCCATCGCAGACTTTCAGCCGCCAGAACTGTGAGATAACAAATTTCTGTTGTTTAAGCCATCCAACCTGTGGTGCTATACTCTGTTGGGCCGGCCCTACCAAACTAATATGCTTGCGGAACGAGGCCAGGGCTGGCTGGTTTCCTATCCCCCACATTTGGGTGGCTGGGAACCTTCTGCAGGGCACAGCTGCACAACTTGGCAAGGTGGCCTTGAGTGCCTTGGCACCTTCTGGGAGCTCATCGGCAGGAGGACTTGAGTTACTCACCCACAAGCCTCCCCAGAAGGGAAAGCCTCCGTAGAATGAAATAGACAGGTATTCCCCTACGAGAACCGTCGCCATGATGGAGCCGAGGCCGATGTGAGCCAGGCCAATGATGATCTGGATGGCCTGTCAGGAGAGCCACAAGCTGAAGTCTTGTTTCTGAGGCTGGGTCCTGCCTCCCCTATGAGCCTCCTTTTAATTTTAATAAATGTTTTATTTTCATGGTCTAAAAAGTAATATGGGAAATACAAAAATGAAATAAAAACTACCTGTAATCTCCCCTCCGCCTGGAGAAAACAACTGTTTACATTTTGGTGTATTCTCCCATTATTCTTTTCAAATATATACCTTGATAGCACAACATGGCCCCCTGAATTTTATTAACTTAATATTTCATCATGAATGTGTCCTCATGGCATTAAGTATTCTTGGAACATATGTTTTTTCAGGGCTGCTCAGATCCCATTATGGATGGTCTGTGGAGTAGTTGAGACAGAGTTATTGGACAGGTAAGATTATTTCTACTTTTTTCTATTATATGTAACATTGTGATAAACATCCTTCTATGTAAATCTTTGCCTTCATCTCTTATTTCTTTAGGATATTGTTATGTGTTAAATTATGCTCCCCTCCCCCAACCCTCCTCCAAATTCATGTGTTGAAATTCTAATGCTGAGTGCCTCAGAATGTGACTCTATTTGAAAACAGAGTTGTTGCAGATATAATCAGCCAAGATGAGGTCACACTGGAGTAGAGTGGGTCTCCAATCCAATATGATTGGTGTCCTTATAAAAAATGCCATGTGGGCCAGGCACAGTGGCTCACACCTGTAATCTCAGCACTTTGGGAAGCTGAGACGGGCGGATCACAGGTCAGGAGTTCAAGACCAGCCTGGCCAACATGGTGAAACCCTGTCTCTACAAAAATACAAAAACTAGCTCGGCATGATGGTGGGTGCCTGTAATCCCAGCTACTTGGGAGGCTGAGGCGGGAGAATCGCTTAAACCCAGGAGGCAGAGGTTGCAGTGAGCCAAGACTGCGCCACTGCGCTCCAGCCTGGGTGACAGAGTGAGACTCTGTCTCAAAAAAACAAAGTTTTCAACTTTATTATGGTGTGAAAGTGACATGAATTCAGTAGAAACCGTATTTGGAGTACCCATACAATCATTCTGCTTTTCATTTTCAGTCCAGTGTTCAGTAAACTACATTAGATATTCAAGAACACTATTAAATAGGCTTTGTGTTAGATGATTTTGCCCAGCTGTAAGCTAACCTAAGTGTTCTGAACTTGTTTAAGGTAGGCGAGGCTAAGCTATGATGTTTGGTAGGCTACATGTATTAAATGTATTTTTTACTTATGATATTTTTAATTTACGATGGGTACACTGGGACATAATCCCATTGTAAATGAAAGAACATCTGTGTATGTTTGTATATTACACACGTGGTAGCAAATACAAATATATTACTTCCTTAAATTCACATAAATGTAAGCAAATTATACACAGTGTCTGCCCCTTACTTTCTTCCATTAACTCCATATCTTGGGGTGTGTCCCTATCATTACACAAAGAGCTTTCTTGTTCTTTTCATAGCTCCACTACATTTTATTCTTTGGATGCACTGACTTAACCAGTATATTACACTGACTTAACCAATATACTGACTTAACCGGTATTATATTGATGGATATTACAATATTTTTGTTATCACAAACCACGCTGCAATGAATAAGCTCATACATATCACAGTTTTTGTGGGCACAGGCATATCTGGAGGATGAAGTTCCAGCAATGGAATTATTGGATATTTTGTAAATTTGGCAGATACAAATTTCCCTCCCTAAGGGTTGTATCAATTTTTGTTCCCATGAGCACTATCTGAGGGTGGAGCTAGGGTTGGAGCTCGGGCAGTCTGCATCCAAATTCATGCCCATCATTCAGCTACACAGTGAAATGGGCCTTTCTTTGTCCAGCGCAGGACAGCCTCTCAGGGGTTGCGGTGACCATTTATGTTGTTGGTTGCCTAACCTGCTTTGTTTCCTGTTGGGCAAATATTTGATTCGATCTTATTGGATTCTGACTCCACCTTGTGGTCTATTTTGGTCTTGCTGGGACCCCTTTCTTCAGAGGCCACAGGGCTGGGCGTGGATCCTGGCAACAGGATCAACCTTCAAGCGTGCTGCTTTTTTGTTGCTTTTCTTTCTCTTTCCGAAAATGCCTAAATCAGAAAATACAAGGTCTGAGCAGAGGCCGCCTGTGATGTTGTGCAGCTGAGCTTTCTAATAGACCTGTGCTTGGCAAGGCGCGATCAACTCAGCCCCACTTGCGGGATGTAGTGTTTGTGTATTTCCCAGGCCTTCCCTTCCCCCTGCCATCACTCCAGCTGTGCAGTCTGTGGCCTGCAAAGGGAAATCTCACTTACCCCCAAGGTTTTGCCTTCTTTCAGAGCTTTCTGCACAGGCTGCCCATTCACATTCGACACCAAACTAGGTGGGTTCCCAGGAACTAGGTGGACTTGCGGCTGGCTGTTTGGATACAGGGGCACGTGAGACATAATTCCTGGGGTCACAGGATAACCATTGTGGGGTGCCACCACCAACACAGAATTGGCCACCGGAACTGCTGAAGTCATCGAATTCATGCTGCCAAGAAATAAATGCGAGAGAATTTTCCCTCACATATGGACTTGTCCTTTAAAAAGGACTTTTGCTTCTTCTAGCTCATTGGAGCATCTTAACCCTCTACAAGTTTATGAATCCCATGTTACAAATAATAGATATCAGTTATAGGGCACTTAAGAGGTGCTTTACAAATACATTTCCTTTCATCCTCTCACCCGCCCAGTTTTACAGATGAGAAAACTAAGACTCAAAGAGGCTAAAGGCTACCAGAGGGCAAGGGGTCCATCTTTTCCATCTTTGTGTCTCTCATAGTGTTTATTTTTTAATTTTTTTTTGAGACAGAGTCTGGCTCTGTCACCCAGGCTGGAGTGCAGTGGTACGATCTTGGCTCACTGCAACCTCCGCCTCCCAGGTTCAAGCAATTCTCCTGCCTCAGCCTCCTGAGTATCTGGGATTACAGGCCCCCGCCACCACACCCAGCTAATTTTTGTATTTTTAGTAGAGATGGGGTTTCCCCCTGTTGGCCAGGCTGGTCTCGAACTCCTGACCTCAGGCGATCCGCTTGCCTCGGCCTCCCAAAGTGCTGGGATTACAGATGTGAACCACCGCACCCGGCCTCTCATAGTGTTTAGAGTGCTGCTTTGCATATGTTAGTACTGGCTGAAAGCAAAAGTTCAGAACTAGAAAATCTCTTGGACAACATTGAGTTCAATTCTCTCATTTTCTGGAAAAGGAAACAGGGTGAGAGAGTGGACAAGAATCCTCCAAGGTCCCAGGTATGTCAATATTAGTTAAATGGAGATTATCCTTCTCAAGGGAAGCCCCATTGCCAAGGCAGTGTCTGTTCATTGGGTGGCTTCCACTGCTCAATTTTCTAGGCTACTTATACATTCTAATGTGGTTTTAAAAATTCTTTTTCTTTTTGTTTCTCCCATCCCCCTCCATGTCCTATCTTTCTCTTTCTTTCTCTTGGAGCAGACTCAATAAAGCTAGTACAATACACTCTGTCTATCCCTCATCCACACTGGTTCGCCGTAAGTCTCACTTGGTAGAAAAACCTTATCACCAACTCCCAGTTACCAACCACCAGATTAAGCAGACTCACCTTGCTCTGCCAGCAGCCACGTATCTCTTGATCCTATTCCTTTTCTTTGCTGTGGGGACCTTGTTTTTTTTCCTGAGAGAATGAATGTACTGGGGCCAGTTGGGTGGTAGGGTTAGAAGGATCCGAAGTCCTCTATTTCCTGGATGCAGGCCAGGTTACATGCTGCTTAGAGCTCAGTTTCATTCGTATTTATTTCCTGTTTTGGTTAATGAGCCAGTTAAATATGGTTTGATTTGACAAGAGTCTATGGTATAATCTCCATGGAGAAGAAAGGGTTGGGCTGGTTGCTCTGGGAGACACAGAAATGAACTGGGCACCCAGGGTGTGCTGTATTTAGCTGTAACATGAGACAGGATGAAATAAACACCACAGAAGAGAGATAAATGTCCCCACAGGAGAACAGAGGAGAAAATGATTTGTTGGACTTGAAGAGATTAGGGAAGACTTCAAACAGAAGGTGGCATATGAAATCAATAAACTGCAGTCCAGAAAGGGATAGAATCACAGCGAGTGAAATGAGACTTGTAATCAACTTAGATCTATTTTCATCCAAGTCAGAGCCAATAGAAAATCAGAAGCCATCCATGGGAGGGCATTCCACATATCTATGACATACATCGTGTGAATTGCACAGTACAAAAACAGCTGCATGTAATAGTCCATGACAGATTTACCGTTGAAGAAGGTGAACAATGAAGAACAAATGAAGTTGATGGGATGGCTAGAACATTGTAAGATGGTCAAAACAAAAAGAACACCGTTGAGGGTATGGAAAGGGAAAAGTCTTGGGGAAGAGAAGGTAGAGATATGTTGGGAATGGCTCACAGTGAAGGACATTGAATGTAAAAAAGATGAAAAGGTAGCTGGAGTCAGACTTCACTTTTTTGTTGTTGTTTGTATTTTTTAGAGACAGGGTCTTGCTCAGGCTGGAGTGCAGTGATAGTTCACTGCAGCCTCAAACTCCCAGGCTCAAGCAATCCACCTGCCTCAGCCTCCTGAATAGCTGGGACTGCAGGCACGCACTACTGTGGCCAGCTAAATCTTAAAATTTTTTGTAGAGACAGGATTTCACTATGCTGCCCAGGCTGGTCTTCAATTCCTGGCCTCAAATGATTCTCCTGCCTCGGCCTCCCAAAGTGCAGGGATTACAGGAGTGAGCCACCATGCCTAACCCAAATTTTACTTCTTTACCCATTTTTTCTATCAGATTCCTGGACCTTTGTCCCTTAATTTTTAAAGAGTTCTTTACATACTAGGGATTTTAGGTCTTTGTCTTTGGTATATTCTCCAATTTTGACAGTGTCTTTTGATTTTGTTTAGGGTGGTTTTCTGTCAAGAAAAATTTTAAAAATTTTTGTAGTAAAATTTATCAGTCTTATCTTTTATTACCTATGCATTTGAGTCATTGTTTGAAAGCCTTTCCTAACACTAAGATTAAACAGGAATTTAGCTGTGTTTTCTTCTAATACTTGTATTGTTTTACTTTTTACATTTTGATTCTTAATACATGTAAAATGTATTTTTTTGTGAATGCTATGAGATGTGGGTCTAATTTTAAATTTTTCCAAAAGTCTACCTGGCTGCCCCAGGGCAATTTATTAAATAGCTCATCTTCTCTTCAGCGGCATTTGAAATGCCACCTTTGTCACAGCCTAAATTTCTATATGCATTTGGTTCTAATTCTGGTCTTTCTTTTACTTTCTATTGGTCTATTTGTCTATTCATGTGTTATTTCAACAATGTTTTAATTATAGAGGCTTTCCAGTGTACTTCAATGTCCTGTAGGGTTAGTCTCCTGTGTAATTTTTCCTTTTTCATTATATTTTATGGCTATTCTTGCATGTTTGTTTTTCCAAATGAACTTTAGCATTTGTCTAACTCTATAAAGTAACTCAATAGCTTTTTGTAAAGACGAATAACATGAACCAAACTGTATTGACAGAAATAATAAGAGGCATCTGAATGAGGACATATAGGTGGCTAAGCCCTAGTGCACGTGGGACATTCAGGACCAGGTTTAACCAGATATTGTAGAAGATGAAATTTGTCACCTTTTAATTGAGTTTATAGAAGTGGTGCCAACTTTCTAGAAGGGACCGGAGACATACAAGGGAGATTATTATTGTCCAAACCTACTTCAGCAAATGCTGTTGATGCAGCATCTATATCCCCTTGATCCACTCTGGAGGTCTTGAGACAGGGTCTTGCTCAAGCTAGAGTACAGTAACGTGATCATAGCTCACTGCAGCCTCAAACTCTGAGCAAACTCTGCAGCAAATGCTGTATTGATGCTGCATCTTCAGCCAGTCTCCACATCTATGGACAACTCCTTTCTTTTCCGAGGATGCATAGGTATGGGGCAGGCCATAGGTGCTGGGAAGTTAATCCCACAAGAATTTTTCCTATCCAGTGTAACGTGCATATGCTGGATAACTACCCTAGCTTCTCTGTCCCCTAAGAGAAATAATTTTGAAGTGTGTTTCAACTGTCTCTTAGAGAGTCTCCAACAGGATTAAGCACCAGTTCCCTATAACAGAACTCATTCATTAATACATAGTCTATTGACTTTCTTCCTTTTTTTGGTATCACTTTTCCATTTTTTTTCACAGTGAGTCTTGGGTCACTTCCCAAGTAAGCACCCAAATCCTTATGTCAGAGCCTTTTGTATTGCTGTGGTATCAATTGTAATGTCTTCATTTTCAATTCTGATTGTGTTTATTTGAATCTTCTCTCCCTTTTATTAGTCTAGCTAGTGGTTTATCAATTTTATCTTTTCAAGGAACAAACTTTTCATTTCGTTGATCCTTTTTATTCTTTTTTCATTTCTGATTTATTTAGTCCTGCCTTGATCTTTTTTTTTTTCTTCTGCCAATTTCGGGTTTGATTTCTCCTTGTTTCTCTACATCCTTGAGATACAATATTAAGCTGTTAATTTGTCATCTTTCTGCTTTTTTTGATGTAGGCATTTAATGCTATAAATTTCCCTCATAGAACTACTTTCACTGTATCCCACAGGTTTTGGTAAGATGTGTTTTTCTTTTCATTTCATAAAAATTTTAAATTTCTGTCTTAATTTCTTCATTGACCCAGTGATTGTTCAGGAGCATGCTGTTTAGTTTCCATGTATTTGTATACTTTCTGAAATTTCTCTTGGTACTGATTTTTACCTTTATTGCATTGTCATCTGAGAAGATAGTTGACATGATTTCAATTTTTAAAAATTTCTTAAGGCTAGTTTTGTGGCCTAACATGTAGTCTATCTTGGGGAATGGTCCATGTGCTGATAAAAATAATGCATATTCTGGGCCAGGCGCAGTGACTCATGCCTGTAAACCCAGCATTTTGGGAGGCCGAGGAGGGTGGATCATCTGAGGTCAGTAGTTCAAGACCAGCCTGACCAACATGCTGAAACCCCGTCTCTACTAAAAACACAAAAAAGTAGCCGGGCATGGTGGTGCATGCCTGTAGTCCCAGCTACTTGGGAGGCTGAGGCAGGAGAATCACTTGAACCCAGGAAGTGGAGGTTGCAGTGAGCCAAGATTGCACCACTGCACAAATACCTGTTAAATCCATTTGGTCTAAAGTCCAATTTAAGGCCAATGTTTCTTTGTTAATTTTTTCTCCCTATGATCTGTCTAGTGCTGCAAGTGGGGTGGTTAAGTCCCCCACTATTATTGTGTTGCTGCCTTTCTCGTCTTTCTCTTTCTTTAGGTGTAGTAATATTTGTGTGTGTTTTTTTAGGTTTGGGGGTACACATGAAGGTTTATTACATAGGTAAACTTATGTCATGGGGGTTCATTGTACAGATTATTTCATCACCCAGGTATTAAGCCCAGTACCCAATAGTTATGTTACTGCTCCTCTTCCTCGTCCTACCCTTCACCCTCAAATAGATCTCAGTGTCTATTGTTCCCTTTGTGTTGATGAGTTTTCATCATTTAGCTCCCACTTATAAGTGAGAACATGTGGTATTTGGTTTTCTGCAGTAATATTTGTTTTGTAAATTTGGGTGCTCCAATGTTGGGTGCATATATATTTAGGATTGTTACATCTTCTTGATCACTTTATCACTATGTAATGCCCTTCTGTGTTCTTTCTTACTGTTTTTGATTTAAAGTCTATTTTATCTGACATAAGGATAACTACTCCTGCTTGCTTTTATTTCTGTTTGCTTGGAATATCTTTTCCACCTCTTTACTTTCAACCTATATGTGTTTTTGTGGGTAAGGTGAGTTTCTTGTAGGCAGCATATACTTGGATTATTTTTTAAACCCATTCTGCCAATCTGCATCTTTTCAGTGGAGCATTTAGTCCATTTACTTTCGGGGTTAATATTGATATGTGAAGCTTTGTTCCTGTCATATTGTTGATCGATTTCAAGTTATAGATTCTTTGTTTCTGTCTTTTTGTCTTTGTGGTTTAGTAAAATTTTGTCATGTTGCCATTTGATTCCTTTCTTTTCCTCCTTTGTGTGATTGTTTTATACAAACTGTAAGTTTTATATTTCCATGGGTTTTAATGATGATGGATATTGACTTTTCATTCACATGTTTAAGACCTCTTTGAGCATTTCCTGTAGGGTGACCATTTGTAGGGGTGACAAATTCCCTCAGTGTTTGCTTGCCTGGAAAGGACTTTATTTATGAAACCTATTTTGGCAGGACACAAAATTCTTGGCTGATAGTTCTTTTGTTCAAGCACTTTGAAAATACCATTCCCTTCTCTTCTGGCCTGTAAGATTTCTGCTGAAAAGTCTGCTGTTAGTCTAATGGAGTTTTCTTTATAGGTGACTAGAAACTTTTGTATTGTTACTGACAAAATTCTTTCTTTCTCATTGACTTTAGACATTCTGAATATAATATTGCCATGGTGAGATCCTTTTTGCAATGTGTTTGCCTGGGTATCACTGGACTTCCTGTATCTTTATGTCTAACTCTCTTGATATTCTTGGGACATTTTTATTGATTATTTCCTCAAATATGTTTTCTAAGCTTTTGTTTTGTTTTGTTTCACTCTGTCACCCAGGTTGGAGTGCAGTGGCACAATCATGGCCCATTGCAACCTCAAACTCCTGGGCTCAAGCAATCCTCCCACCTTAGCCCTTCAAGTAGCTGGGATGACACACATGAGCCACCATGCCTGGCTAATTTAAAAAAAAAAATTTGTAAAGGCAGATTCTTGTTTTCTTGCTTAGGCTAGTCTTGAACTCTTGATCTCAAGCAGTCCTCCCACTTTGGCCTCCCAAATTGCTGGGAGTACAGGCATGAGCCGCTACACCTGGCCATTTCTAAACTTTTGAATCTCTCTACCCCCTTGGGTGTACTGATAATTTGTAAGTTTGGTTGTTTTATATCATCTCAGATATCTTAAAGGCTTTGTTTATCCTTTGTAATTCTTTTTTCCTTATTTTTGTCTGGCTGAATTACTTCAAAAGACATGTCTTCAGGTACTGAGATTTTATTTTCTTTCATTTTCTGAATTGATTTACTGATTTTCTTGTATTAGCTTACATTTTTTTTTGTATTTTTAGTAGAAAGACAGGGTTTCAGTATGGTGCCCAGGCTGGTCTTGAACTCCTGGCCTCATGTGATCTACCTGCCATGGCCTCCCAAAGTGCTGGGATTACAGTGGGATTACAGGCACGAGACACTATGCCTGGCCTGATTTTCAGATATCCTTTGCATCTCATTAAGCTTCTTTAAAAATCAATATTTTAAATTATTTATCTGGCATTTCAAGGGATTCATTTTGTTGGAATCTGTTGCTGGACAATTATGGTCCTTTGATGATATCCCATTTCCCTGCTTTTTCATGCTTCCTGTGTTTTTCCATTGATGTCTTTGCATCTAGTGTAGCAGTTGCTTGTTCCAATTTTTTGAAATTGCTTTGGTAGGGGAATTTTTTTTTTTTTTCTGAGGTTGTGTACGTGTTGTTGATTAAGATACTTCGACTTTGATTTTGCATGCTGGCAGTAGTGTGATCTTTGTTTGACTTCTTTCGCAGTACACAAAGTCAGTGGTCTCTGGGATTGCCTTGGTGACTTATGGTACAGTTAAGGTTGTGGTGACTTTTAGCTGGGGACTTAGATGCCAACTGATGTGGTTTTGGTCTGTGTCCCTGCCCAAATCTCATGTTGAATTGCAATCCCCAGTGTTGGAGGTGGGGCCTGGTGACAGGCGATTGAATCACAGGAGCAGATTTTCCCCTTGGTACTGTGTCACAATAGTGAGTGAGTTTGTGTGATATCTGGTTGTTTAAAAGTGTGGGGCACCCCCCCGCCTCGGTTCTGCTCCTACCATGTAAGATGCCTGTTCCCATGTTGCCTTCTGTCATGAGGAAAAGCTCCCTGAGGCCTCTGCAGAAGCATATGCTGCCATGCTTCCTGTACAGTCCGTGGAACCACCAGGCAATTAAACCTATTTTCTTTTAAATTACCCAGTCTCAGGTCTTTCCTTTCTTTCTTTCTTTCTCTTTCTTTTTCTTTCTTTCTTTCTTTCTTTCTTTCTTTCTTTCTTTCTTTCTTTCTTTCTTTCTTTCTTTCTTTCTTTCTTTCTTTTTCTTTCCTTCTTTCTTTCTTTCTTTCTTTCTTTCTTTCTTTCTTTCTTTCTTTCTTTCCTTTCTCTTTCTTTCTTTCTTTTTTTCTTTCTCTTCCTTCCTTCCTTCCTTTCTCTCTTTCTCTCTTTCTTTCTCTCTCTCCCTCTCTCTCTTTCTTTCTTCTTTTTTTTTTTTAGACAGGGTCTCACTCTGTCACCCAGGCTGGAGTGCAGTGTTGCGATCTCAGCTCACTGCAGCCTCCGCCTTCCAGGTTCAAGTGATTCTCATGCCTCAGCCTCCCAAGTAGCTGGAATTACAGGTGTGCACCACCACACCCATCTAATTTTTGTATTTTAGTAGAGACAGGGTTTCACCATGTTGTCCAGGCTGGTCTCAAACTCCTGGCCTCAAGTGATCTGTCTGCCTCACCCTCCCAAATACTGTGCCTGGCCATCAGGTATTTCTCTATAGCAGTGTGAGAACAAACTAATACACCAACTGAGCCAGTCTTTGGGCCCGAGTAGTGGCAGCATTGGGGTGAGCGAGCCTGTTTTAAGGCTCCAGAGTGGCTTATACTGGCCCTTGTGTTAGCGGTCCTAGAGGGCTCATTCTTGGGCCTCCAAGCTGCTTGCTTAGAAGTGGGCAGTGGGAGCAGTGGGCCTGGTGTGTGGGTGGAGTCTCAGGCCCCTGGGAAGCTGGCGTGGTGTGGCAGTAGCAGTGGTGGAGGAAACCACAGTGACCCATGCCATCTGTGTTGGTGTTGCTGGAAGCTGCAATGGATTGGGTGGGTTACTCCCTGGTCCCACAGCTGCCTTTAGCAGGGCAGTGGGTATTGTTCTAAGTGTGCTTTGGAGACCTTGGTCTTCCTTGTCTCTCTCTCAGTTGGGTGGCGACTGCTGTTGTGTCACCTTGACCTTGGCCCAAGGGTGGGGCACAGCTTAGTGTTAAACTCTCAAAATAGTGCCAGCTGTGGGCTTGTGACCAGAGAGGGTCAGGCCCTTCTCAGGCGAACAGTATGGGCAAGACTCTGTGAGAAGTGTGGTTCGCTTGAGTGTTGGTCTTGCAGCAGCCTATGGCAGGGCATTGAATATTGTCCTAGGTATGCGTCGGAAAGCCTGGCTGCCCTATCCCTCCTTGACTGGGCAGTAGTTGCAGCCATGTCAACTTGAATTTGGCCTGACCGTGGGGCATAGCCCAGCATTAAACTCTCAAAATGGCACCTTAGGCCTGTGGCCAGGGAGGGTGGGGTCCCTCCTAGGCAAGAAGCATATGTAAGAAGCTGTGGGGAGTGTCATCCCCTCACGTCTCAGTCTCACAGCAGCCTGTTGCAGATCAGTGGGTATTGTCCTATATTTGCATGAGATAGCCTGGTTTCCCCGTCACTCCTTGGCTAGGCAGCAGCTGTAATTGTGTTAGTTTGACCTCAGCCCAAGGGCAGGGCACAGTCCAGCACTCAACTCTTAAGATGGTGCCTTGGGGTTTAGACCAGAGACGGTGGGGCATCTCCCAGGCAAGCAGTGTGAGCAAGAAGCTGTGGGGAACGTGGCTCATTTATGTCTCAGTCTCAACTGCAGCCCATAGCAGGGCGGCAGGTACCCTCTCATTGGTGCATGGGAGCACCTGTTCTTCCCTCTCCCTCCTTGGAGCTGCTCAGTGGCAGCAGCTGTGTCTGTAGATACCCGGTATCCAGGCTCTCAAAATGGCTCCCAGCTGAGGCTGCTCTGGGTGCTGAAGCTTGTGGGATTCTGTGTGGGTTCCCTTTCTGGGGCAACATCTCTGTGCAATCTTTAGGAAGCTCCATATGCCAGGCCTGATGCTGTCGTGAATCCACTACAGGGTTTCTCCCATAGCCAAGATCATAAAAGCCCATTTTGGAGTTCTAGGGGTTTCTCTCTTCCTGTTTCCCTAGGTCCAGGAGCCTCTCTTGGCTCTTGGTCAGTTCCTGGCTGGGCAAGCTTCCTCACACCATGTCCTTTCTTACTGCTGGTGTTTCTCGTCTGTTCTCTGCTGTATCCAAGTGTTCTTTCCTAGATGATCTGTTCAAAATGTGAGGATCTGGGTACTATTCTCTTTCCTCTCCTTGGAGGAGGCACACCAGCAATTACATTTTTGCAGATCATCTTGCATCCTGATTTTAGGCTTTGTTAGGGTGCGTCTTTTTCTCCCTTTTTCTTATTCCAAGGTGTAGCCTGTACTCCTAGTTCATCGTTCTTAATTAGAAGCTGTAGCATCTCTGGAGTATCCTTTGAATGTCAGGGATGATCAAGAAGGTTTCTCTCTTTTGGCTGCGCCTGCACTTCACCACTCACCACACTGTGTAGGATCAAGAATCCATGCTCAGCTCTCAGTCTCCCTGGAATTTACTTCCTTTTTTTTTTCTTTTTTTTTTTTTTTTTAAGACAGGGTCTTGCTCTGTCACCCAGGCTGGTCTGCAGTGGCAGGATCTCGGCTCACTGCAACCTCCGTCTCCTGTTTCAAGTGATTCTTCTGCCTCAGCCACCTGAGTAGCTGGGACTACAGGCGCCCACCACCATGCCTGAGTAATTTTTGTGTTTTTAGTAGAGATGGGGTTTTACTATGTTGGCCAGGCTGGTCTCAAACCCCTGACCTCAAGTGATCTGCCCTCTTCGGCCTCCCTTACAAAGTGCTGTGATTACAGGCGTGAGCCACCACACCCGGCCAGGAATTTACTTTCTGTTAGGCCTTCTGAAGTTGTATTAAAGGATATGGCCAGGATTCAGCTAAGGACCTAAGGAAAATTTCTTTGTAGACTTCTGAGGTATCTGTTCAGTAGCTTCCCTATCTCTGTAGGTATGCCCATCGAATTCCAGCTACTTTAGCAGTTTCAAACTTAATCTCTGCTTCCATCCAGCAAGACCACTGTAACTATTTGGGTTCTACGTTCCTACCACATGGCCTGGAAAATGTTCCCAAGGGGAAGTCTGGGTGAATGTGGGGGCTCACCTTGTATGTTTCCCATTTCCAAAGAATGGAAACCTTCTGTTGGTTTTTGTACAGTGCCTAAAAATTGATGTTTTATGCATTTTCCCCAGTTTTTGTAGCTAGTTTCAGTATATCTGATATCAGTTATTTCACATTGGATGGAATTAAAAGTCTGTACTAAGACTTTTAGTCAAAATCTAGATGGTTTAAAAATTTCTCAGTAAAATAAATGTAGAGTTAATATTTTTCATATCCTGAGATACAAACTACAAATAATGAGATCTACATAATTTAAGAGATCAATATAATGCTTAACTGTAATATAAAGGGCAAGTAAATTTATTATAAAATATCCATTTTATTATATAAAATGTCAGACCTGAATATACTGAAATACATAATAATTAGATATGCCTGTACATTTTTATAATAATACTTTGTATGTAAGAGAAAAAGATCAGAAGTCATATGTACAAAAAATATATAAAAAAGAAAGAGCAGAGGTATTAATGGGAATTACTATTATAAATAATAAAGAATAGAATGAGATAATAAAAGAACAGACTTATTCATCTAATATAGGAGGAAGGAGGATATAATGTTAATCTGTGTAGGCAGAACAGGCTGAGGCCAATTACAGAGTGCTGAAGTAGAAAAAGTGAGAAATAGTCTCATAATTAACCAGGGCAAATACAGTATTAATTTCTTTTGTTATTACATGGAATGGGGAATTAGAAAACTATCCCACACAAAGTTTGAACTATGAGAGATCCCACTATCTGTAGAGATATATGTTCAGTCTCTAGTACTTAACATGATCTTGGGTGCTGTTATCTTTAAAAGTGTATCAAGGATGGATTGGAAGAAGATAGATGTAACAGAGGCTCTGGAGAAATTGTATGGTGGACTCCTGGAGATAACATCAGAATAAGACTGAAAAACAACAGACAACCCAAACATATACATTCAATATGTAATGTTCACAGCAGAGGCTTTAAAAATTATGTTACAAAATATGCACATTTAAAATATGCATATAAATTATACAATTATGATATAAATTAAAATATCCACATTTAAAATATGCCTATAAAATGACAAATTTTATACATATAAAAAAACCTTTATTTTAAAAAAATTAAATGAAATTAAATGAGCTCCCATGTCAGAATATAGTTCTCTTTCTGTGGATTATATTCCTAACCTAGGCAGGTATGTGGAAGCTTCTACTGGCCACAGTTAAGAGCCACTCAATTCTGAGAAGCTCTCTCCTAGGCATTAGTGCTTCTTTGGTAATTTGGCTACACCTTCGTACTGACCCTCCATTGGCAGCATTTTGCTGAAGTGCTTTCATATGCCTTGCTCCCCATGCTACAGCAATTCTCAGGTAACCTGAGGCTTCCAGTCTCATTTCCCTCTAGTGTTCCAGGGTTGGGGCCTGCAGGCAGTGGTGATAGGTATCTTTCTTTTTTACCTCTTGCAAGCTCCGACTTTTAGGAGTGGTCCATGGTCCCTCTCTGCAGGCTCCTATACCATGCCTTCTTTTTAACATTGCTGGCTTTTGCTCTGGCTTTTCTAGATCAGGTCAGCAAGTCCCACCTGGGTCCCAAAGACTATCGTTGGGGAGTGGGATGCTTCCTGTAAACAGCCACACACTTTACAGCTGCTTCTTCTCTCCCCGAGCTTCAGAGAGTAGAGCCGTTCGAATGCTGCACTCCTACTGTGGAATGCTGAGGTGAGAGGATAACCTGCTTTCATAAACACCTAACATGTTCCATGGGGTGGGGGAAATCTAGTGCCCCTTATAGTGAAAAGCCACCTGCATTAGTTTCCCCGAGCTAATGTAACAAGGTGTTAAAACGAGTGGTTAAAACGAGTGGTTAAAACAAGGTGTTAAAATGAGAAATTTATTATCTCACTGTTCTGGAGGTTGGAAGTCCAAAATCAAGGTGCTCTCAGGGTCATGCTCCCTCAGAAACCTGGAGGAGAAGGATCCTTCCTGACGTCCTCCTGATTTGCTAGAAATCTTTGGCACTTCTTGGCTTGTCGATGCATCACCCAATCCTTCATCTTTACATGGTTTTCTCTTTGTGTGTCTTCACATCGTTTTCCCTCTGTGCATATCTGTGTCTGTGTCTAATTTCCCCTTTTCTTTGTTTTGAGATGAGAGTCTCACTCTGTCGCCCAGGCTGGAGTGCAATGGTGCGATCTAGTCTCATCACAATCTCTGCCTCCTGGGTTCAAGTGATTCTCCTGCCTCAGCCTCCCGAGTAGGTGGGATTACAGGTGCGCACCACTATGCCCGGCTAATTTTTGTATTTTTAGTAGAGACAGGATTTCACCATGTTGGTCAGGCTAGTCTTGAACTCCTGACCTCAAGCAATCCACCTGCCTCGGCCTCCCAAAGTGTTGGGATTACAGGCGTGAGCCACTGCGCCTGGCCCAATTTTCTCTTTTTATAAGGAAACCAGTGATATTGGATTAGACTCTCTCCTAATGACTTCATTTTAATTCGATTGGTTATTTAAAGACCCTACTTCTAAATTAGGTCATATTCTGAGTACTGGGGATTAGGACCTCAATATATTTTTTTGAGGGGGACACAACTCAATACATAACATTTTCATCAAGATTTTAAGTAGTTTTGTGGCCTCATTTCAGTACATCTGCTTTCAGAGGGAGGTTCTAGTCACCAATTCTTGGAAAACAAGAAAAATTCAATCTGGCTTCATATATCATTATGCTACTGATACAATGATAAGAGCTGATAAATAATAAATAATAAAAACTTATTGAGGGACAACTATGAGTTAGGAGCTGTTGTAAGCTCTTTTAATGATATATTGTCATTTAATCCTCCCATCTACTCTGTGGGTTAGAGACTATTATTTCTGTTTTACAGATGAGAAAACAAAAGTACAGAGAGAGCAAGAGTATTGACATTATCACATGAACATTATGCCAACTTCCAAAATCAGAGTATTTTCTCCTCTTGGATGAAGGAGTTCCTTAATTCAAGCCAATCTCCTCCAACCTAAGATAAAGTGGGCATTCAACACTACTCTCCTACATCCCTTCAACCACAGGGATTGCAGGGGCTATATTTATCCGTGTTAACCCATACTGGCTTTTAAAAAGGGAAGAGTCAATTTGTGATCAAATCGCATGCTTTATTGAAGAACTAAGAAAAAAGAGCAATGGAAAGGATTTCATTAGAATGCGTTTTCCATGTGGCTGCTTGAAAAAATTAGAGTTCTTCGCTAATTCACAATTAATCTTTTGTTCTTGACTGGAGTCACACTGGTTCTTTGCAAATTATGAAGAAATAGAAGTTGTGCGTGGTGTGATTTCCAAGGATTCCGACAGTGAGATTTCCGAGGGCAAAGTGCCTGAGATGAATTGAGATAGCAAATTGATCATTATTACAGTCTAAAATAAAAGCCTTATCCTGAGACATTGAGTTAAAGTAAGACAAAACAACAACAAAAAATGAACAAATATGTAAACCTGGAATGTGGTTAGTTAAAAGTGTACTGAGAAGACAGTACCTACTCAGTTCTGGGGGGCCTAGCCAAAGGCATATCAGACCTATAACTCATCAGATACCAGAGGTTTCAATGAACTACAACAAACATATTAAACTAAATTATTCTTCTTAAAATGATTTTAACTGGACTCTGGTGAGTCCTGATTCCTCTTGGGTACTCTACTTCATATTCTAGATCAGAAGAGAACAACCATTGGAGCGGAGAGCCATCTGGCTCATACTACAGGATTTTTGGGAGCCACTGTAGAAGCCATTCTAATGGGAACAGTGTCATTCTTTTCTTGAGTAAACCTCTGTTTTTCTATTTTGTTTTTAAGTTCACAGCAGAATATTATATCGTATAAGCGCATACACACAAAACTGAAAATACATGATTTAAAAAATAGTTTCCTAATCAAGTAAAATACAGGTTAGTATTTAAAGCTATGTTCAATAGTTATTGAGCAGTATGGGAAATAGAAATAAGGGATAAGCAGTTTATTAAACTAATTTTATTTAATCTAAGATTTAACATTGAGTGTGAAACGAACATACAAGACATTAATAAGCCTCCTAAATATCTTTCAAATTTATCATCTTCTCTTTATTCTTCATTGTTTAGGTTTAGGTACTCATTGTTTGGCTTGCCTGTTGGGGCAACCAGCTAATTATATTCATCTCTAGCTTTGTTCTTCTTTTTCCTATCTCTATCTCTATTTTCCTCCCAGAATGACTGAGGACACTGGTTGACTCCCTCAAAATTATCCTGCTACAAATGATTTGTCTGAATCCTTCATGGTAATCCTATTCCCTTTGCTATTACTCAACTCAGAGATTAGCAGATCTGAGGCAATTAAGCCAAGTGAAGTAAAGAGAGGTCTCCTTGTAGCTTCTGAGAAAGGCCAGTTTCTCCTGCTGGATGTGAACCGGAAATTATGCTGCCTAAGCCGTCTTATGATCATGAGATGATTCCTGATTGATTTAGCAGTTTGAGTTGAGGGTAGGGGGGAAGGGCTGTAACTTGCTGCAGGAAATATTCTAATGAAAATAATTATATAAATGAAAAGTTTGATCAAGAAACACTGTTGTTAAAAACCCTGCAAGAGCACCCTGGTATCTATAGACTAAATTCAAAATTCTTTAATAAGGTATAGTTAAGCCCCATTAAGATCTGGTCTCAAGGTACTTCTACAGCCTCATTTCCTGCCATGATCCCCCACATATTATCCTACAGGAATTCCACAAACAAGCCATTCCTTTGGCTCCTGACAGAGTTTTAGGTTGACACCAAACTACAGATTTTTGTTTTTGGAATTAATTATCTATTTTGAAAGGATTTAGGGAAGATAGATAAGTAAGGAGATAAAATCATCAGCCATTACAATCTATTTCCTTTCATCACTTTGTTTAGTGAGCATGTTTTTGCCCTTTATTATTTTAATGAAATATATTGCATTGATTGATTTTGGTATGTTAAACTAACTTTGAATTCCTGTAATAAATCTCACTTGACCCTGTTGTATAATCATATTTATATGTTGCTAGATTTGGTTTGCTAGTTTTTTTTTTGAAGATTTTTGTATCCGTAGTCATCAGACATGTTGGTCTGTAGTTTTCTTCCCTTGGTCAATTTATCTATGATTTTTCTTTTGTTAAATATGCTTTTGGTGTGATAGCTAATATACCATTAACTAATTCAGGCCAGAAATAATTATGCCTGTATTTTCTTCTAAGAGTTTTGTAATGTTAGCTCTTAAATCTAGGTCTATGCATTTTTAGTTAATTTGTGTATATTCTGTGAGGTAGTGGTCTAACTTCATTCTTTTGTATGCAGATATCCAGTTGTCCTGGCACCATTTGTTGAAGAGACCACTATTTCTCCATTGAATTGTCTTGTCATGCTAGTCAAAAATCAAGTAGCTACGTATGAACTTATTTTTGGGTTTTTGATCCTATTCTACTGATTTTTATGTCTATCATTATGGCAGTATCACTGAGAGAAGAAAGAAAGAGACCCCCCCATATTGTTCTATACTGTTTTATACTCAGTACCTGTTTTAAGAAGAAACAAGGAAGCGAAACCAAAGGCAGGCAGCCTGGCGCCAGGCACCAGACCCAAAACCAGACCCAAAACCAGGCCTGGGCCTGCCTGACCTTAGCCTGATGGTTAAAATTCAACCCATGACTTAGCAACTGATGTTATCCATAGATTCCAGACATTGTGTGGAAGGACATACAACAAATTTTCCATTCTGTTCTGTTTCACTCTGATTACTGGTGCATGTAGCTGCAGCCCCTGTCCGGTACCACCCTAGACTGCTCAATCAATCACAACCCTTTCATGCGAAACCTTTAGTATTGTGAGCGCTAAAAAAAAAAAAGGGACAGAAATTGTGCACTCAACAAGCTTGGATTTTAAGACGCTAGTCTGCCGATGCTTCCAGCTGATTAAAGCTACTTCCTTCACTTTCTCAGTGTCTGTGGAGTTTTGTCCACGGCTCATCCTGCTACACCACAATTTCTTGATTACTGTAATTTTTTAGTAACTTTTGAAACTAGGAAGTGCGAGCCTTCCTGTTAGTCCAAACTGCACCATTTTGTAAATTCTCTGCTATTTTGCAGACCTTGGTCAAAGTGAAACATTTCACAGGAGTTCGGGCCGTGAGAAACATTCTGCCTAACCACATGACCACAAGGCAGACAAAGGCCCAACTAAAGAAACATCCCTATTATATCTTGCTGGGCAAAGGTCCAAGGAACACCATAATGACATTCTGCCAAACCAAGGGCCAGAACCACCTCATCATGGGAACATCTTATCAATATCCTGCTGGGTAGCAAGCCGTACTGCCTAGACCCCTCCCACCCATACCTATAAGTACCCCCAGGCTATAAGCAGCGGTGGGCTCTGGCATTACACTGGTTCCCCACTTCTGTAGGTTTTATGCTGGATGTAAAGCCTGCATTTGCTGCTGAGGTGCCCTTTTTATATGTGTGTGTGTGTGTGTGTGTGTGTGTGTGTGTGTGTGTGTGTGTCTTTCTTTAACCCTTACCTTCCCTTCAAAACCTAACACCTCCTACTTTGTTTTTCTTTTTTAATATTGGTTTGACTATTTTGGGTCTTTTCCATGTTCATATGAATGTTAGGATAAGCTTGTCAATTTCTGAAAAATGCCAGCTGTAATTTAACAGGGGTTGTGTTAAATTGGTTGGGGAGTATTACCATCATAATATTGTCTTCAAATATTGTCTTTTATCAATGAACATGGGATGTCTTTTCATTTGTTTGTATCTTCTTAAATTTCTTTCAATAATGTTTTAGAGTTTGTGGTAGACAAGTCTCGCACTTCTTTTTAAAAATTTATTCCTGAATGTGAAGTATATGTATATTTATTCCTTTTGATGTTACTGTAACTGTGTTTTTGTATACAAAAATACAGTTGGTTTCTGTATATTGGCCATGTATTCTGCCATTTTGTTAAACTTATTTATTAGTTCGACTAGATTTTTATGGATTTTTTTAGCATTTTATACGAGATCAGATAATGTCATTTGTAAAGAGTGTTAGTTTTAATTTTTCCTTGATTAAACTAAATTCTTTATTTTTTATTGCCTGATTTTCCTGGATAGAACCTACAATACAATGTTGAATGTAAGTGACAAGATATCTTGTTTCTTATCTTAAGAAGAAAATGATTCAGTGTCTCTTTATCAAGTATTATGTTAACTATAAATTTTTAATAAACGCCCATATTTAGGTTGAGAAAATTCCATTCTATTCCTAGTTTTTCAACTTTTTTAATCATAAAAGGGTGTTCAATTTTCTTAAATGCTTCTTCTATGTCTTTTGAGGTGATCATGTGGTTTCTGGCTTTTATTCTATTAGTAAGGTGGAATACATTGATTAGTTTTCATATATTGAACCAGCTCTGTACTCTTAGGATAAATCCTAACTGGTCATGATATATAATACTTTTTGTATGTTGCTAGATTCCATTTGTTAATAGTTTTTGAGGATTTATGCATCTATATTCATAATGGATATTAGTCTATAGTTTCCTTTTATTATAATGTCTTTGTTTTATTTTAGTACCAAACTAGTGTTAGCCTTATAGAATGAGTTAGGAAGTATTTATTCCTCCTCTTTTTTTTGGGAAAAAGTTTGTGAATAACTAGTATTAATGCTTTAAACCTTTGGTAGAGTTCACAATGTAGCTATCTGAGACTGGGCTATTCTTTATGGAAAGTTTTTGATTATTAATTTGATTCTTTAACTTGTGATAGGTGTACTTAGATTTCTATTTCTTCTTGAGTCAGTTTCAGTCATGTCTGTATTTCTAGAAATTTGTCCATTTTATGTAGGTTATCTAATTTGTTGCCATATGATTGTTCAATATTTTTACTTCTATAACATTGTCAGTAATGTTCTTTCTTTATAATTATAGTAAATTAAGTCTTCTTTCTTTTTTTCTTGGTCAGTGTGGTTAATGGTTTGTTATTTTGGGATTCTTTTTAAAGAAGGAACTTCTGGTTTTATTGTTTTTCTCTATTGTTTTCCTATCTTCTATTTCATTTAGTTCTACTCTAGTCTTTATTATTTTCACTTTAGGTTTAGTTTTCTTTTCCTGATTTTTTAAGGGGGAAAGTTGGGTTTTTGATTTCAGATACTTATTCAAAATATAGTCTTTACAGCTATACATTTTCCAATATTTCTTCACAAACTCACTGTGCCATTTTTTTATTTCTTTCTCTCTTCTTTCCTTATGTGTTCACCATTATGCACATTTTGGTATGCTTGCTGATGTTTCAAAGGTGTCTGAAGCTCTGTTCTTTTTTCTTCATTCTGTTTCATAGATTAGGTAATTCCAATTGACCTACTGTCAAGTTTGTGGATTATTTCTTCTGCCAGCTCAAATTTTCTGTTGAGACCCTTGAGTAAAATTTTCATTTTAGTTATTATAATTTTCTGCTCTACAATTTCTATTTGGTTCTTTTGGAAAAATAGTTCCTATTTTATGTCACTATTAATATTCTCTTTTTGGTGAGACATTGCGTTCATACTTTTAGTTTTTTTAGACATGGTTTTTAAAAGTTCTTTATACTTATTTATACTTGCTGAGTTAAAATACCTTTTTTTTCTAGTAACCTCAACATTTAGACTTCTTTGGGGAAAATTTTTATTGACTGTTTTTTTCTCCTGTATTTAAGCCATACTTCTCTGTTTCCTTGCATATTTTATATTTTTACTTGTTAAAAATTGAACATTTAAAATAATATAGTGTGGCAACATTGTAAATCATAGCCCTCTAGGGGTTGGTTTTATCATTGTCTTTGTTATTCTGCTTTGTTAACTTAGTGGTCAGCTAGTGATTGGACAAAGATTTCCTTAATTCTTTTGAACCAGTAAGTTTCCTAGACTTTGCTGAGAGATTGTGTGTGTGCGTGTTTGCATGTGTTTGTGTTGGGGTAAGGTTTTAAAGCTCTGGGAGAGTTTGCAACTCTGCCTTAGCTATCACTTCCTGCTTTTATCATAAAAGCAGGAGATGGGTTGTGAGGGATGGGAATAGGACAAGTTACAATACCACAAAGCTCACTGTTCTTACCATGATTCGGCCATTTAACTTGAATGGTTGAATTGGATTTTCTTCAGGTCAGCCAGAGGTGGGAGGTTAGGACATTTTTCAGGTCTTTTCTTGGCATGTACACATCCCAGCATATGCATGTGACCTTTTATGTTTCCAGATATTGTCATAATTTCAAAATACTCTATGGACATCTTACTGCTCAGATTTTTTTTTAAAATGTGACCTTTTGTTTGGCACAACTGTTATCTCTGCCTCAGGCAGCTGTGTTGTTAAATGCTATTGATTGTTCTGACAAATATCCCAGAAAGAAAAGCTGTTTACAGTGACTGAGTTCTGAATGAAATCAAATTAAAGAGTCTTGCCAGTGGGGATGTCTGGGGAGCTGCCAGACAAGTTAACAACAATTCTCTGAGAATGGGGCTTTTTTGGGGCACTTAAATCCTATTTTATCCTTTCCTGTTGTTGTTAGGCCGTTTTTTCCCACAGGTACTATGGTTGCAAGGCTGTTACTTTTAAAGGCTACTGAGGAGATAGGGTAAGACGGATGGGAATAGGGCACGCTGCAATACCATAGAGCTCACTGTTCTTACCATGATTTGGCCATTTAACTTGAATAAATGCTTATTGGATTTTCATAGGTCTTTGACTAATTTCCAAAGTTCTGAAAAAGTTGATTTTGACAAATTTTTCAGTATTCTCATTGCTTTTATTGAGAGATGGGTTTTTGGAGGTTCTTACTGTTCTATTCTAGAAGTACTCTTTTCAGTGTCCTCTAAAATGTTTATTTTCTGAAGGCATTTGATATTCCAAATGTTGGAAACCAACATTTCAGAACTAAATTTGAATTTTTGGGTTTATAGCAGTCAGTATCCCCATATCACAAGTATGATCTCTGAAACCCTTTTAGTCTATATATTTCCTCTGTTAATCTCCTGGGAGATGTAAGTCTAAAAGACTTCTACATAGTTTTGCCAGGGCAAGTTGTTTGACTTCAATTCCACACAATATCAAGCAGAAGATATTTCAGCATGTTTTCAGATACACTTGACCTTACTTCTGAAGCAACACTCCTGTTCACCAAGTCTAAACTTTGAACTCTCAGAGAGGGCCCTTATTATAAACTGCCTTTATCTTGATTTGACTGCCAGAAACAAAGTTACTCACTTTCTTCAGTGTGTTTTTCATGATGAAATGCTCTTACAACCCACTGGATGATTATGATTACAATGGTCATCTCTAAGATGGTGCAGAGTAGTAAATATTGTAAAAGCATCATACCAACCATCTGAATAAAAAAATCTTCATATTAATTAACCATTTAAAATTATATAAGATCAACATTTAGAAAATCAGGAGTAAATATTCATCCTAGCAGTCTCACACAATTATGATTATTTTTGGGTATTTTCATAACAACTAAGTATGTTTTAAATTTATTGAGTACTTACATATTGTCCTCATGTATTCATTTCCTAGGGCAATATAATAAAGTACCACAAACTGGGTGGCTTAACACAACAGAAGTTTATTGTTTTATGGGTCTGGATGCCAAAAGTTCAAAATAAATGTATTGGCAGGATCATGCTCTTTCTAAGGCATATAGGAGAGAATCCTCCCTTGTCTCATCCAGGTTCTGGTAGCCCCAGGTGTTTTTGACTTGTAATAGTATAACTCCTATCTCTGCCTCTATGTTCAGATGGTGATATGGTTCATCTCTGTGTCCCCACTTAAATCTCATTTCAAACTGTAATCCCCATGTGTTGAGGGGGGATCTGGTGGGAGGTGATTAGATCATGGGGGCAGTTTCACCCATGCTGTTCTCATGATAGTGAGTGAGTTCTCATGAGACTTGATGGTTGAAAAGTCTGTGGAAGTTCCCCCTTTACTCTCTCTCTCCTGCTTCCTTTTGAAGAAGGTACTTGTTTCTCCTTTGCCTTCCGCCATGATTGTACATTTCCTGAGGCTTCCCCAGCCATGTGAAACTGTGAGCCAATTAACCCTCTTTACTTTATAAATTACCCAGTCTCAGGCAGCTCTTTATAGCAGTGTGAAAATGGACTAACACAGGAAATTGGTACCAGGAGTGGGGTACTGGTATAAAGATAGCCTGAAAATGTGGAAGCAACTTTGGAACTGGGAAATAGGCAGAAGTTGGAAGAGTTTGAAGGGCTTAAAAGAAGACAGGAAGATGTGGGAAAGTTAGGAACTTCCTAGAGACTCGTTGAATGCTTTTGACTGAAATGCTGATAGTGATATGGACAATGAAGTCCAGGCTGAGGTGGTTTCAGATGGAGATGAGGAACTTTTTGGGAACTGGAGCAAAGGTCAGTCTTGCTATGCTTTAGCAGAGAGACTGGTGGCATTTTGCCCTGCCCTAGAGATTTGTGGAACTTTGAACTTGAGAGAGATGATTTAGGGTATCTGGTGGAAGAAATTTCTAAGCAGCAAAGTGTTTAAGAGGTGACCTGTTTTTTTCTAGAGGTGTGTTCACATATGTGTGAGCAAAGAGATTATCTGAAACTGGAAGTTGTGTTTAAAAGGGAAGCAAAGCATAGAAATTTGGAAAATTTGCAGCCTGATACATGGTATAAAAGAAAAACTCATTTTCTGGGGATAAATTCAAGCCAGCTGCAGAAATTTGCATAAGTAACAAGGAACCAAATATTAATAGCCAAGACAATGGGGAAAATGTCTCCAGGGCATGTCAAACATCTTCACTGTAGCCCCTCCCATCACAGGCCTGGAGGCCTAGGAGGAAAAAATGGTTTTGTGGCCCAGGTCCAGGGCCCCTGCTGCTGCTCTGTGCAGTCTCGGGACTTGGGGCCCTGCTTCCCAGCCACACCAGCTCCAGCTGTGGCTAAAAGGGGCCAAGGTACAGCTTGGGCTGTTGCTTCAGAGGGAGCAAGCCCCAAGCCTTGGTGGCTTTCACATGGTGTTGGGCCTGTGGGTGCACCGAGGTCAGGAGTTGAGGCTTGGTGGGCTCCACCTAGATTTCAGAGGATGTATGAAAATGCCTGGATGTCCAGGAAGAAGGCTGTGACAGGGTTGGAGCCCTCATGGAGAACTTCTACTAGGGCACTGCAGAGGGGAAATGTGGGGTTGAGGCCCCCACAGAGTCCCCACTGGGGCACTGCCCACTAGACCCGTGAGAAGAGGGCCACCATTCTCCAGACCCAAGAATGGTAAATCCACTGACAGCCTCTACAACGCACCTGGAAAAGCTGCAGGCACTCAGCATCAGCCTATGAAAACAGCTGCAGAGGCTTTACCCTGCAGAGCCACAGGGGTGGAGCTGCCCAAGGCCTTGGGAGCCCACCTCTTGCATCTGTGTACCCCAGATGTGAGACATGGAGCCAAAGGAGATCATTTTGAAGCTTTAGAATTTAATAACAGCCCTACTGGGTTTCAGACTTGCATGGGACCTGTGGCCCCTTTGTTTTGGCCAATTTGTCCCATTTGGAATGGGAACATTTACCTAATGCTTGTACCCCCATTGTACCTTGGAAGTAACTAACTTGTTTTTGATTTTACAGGCTCAGTGGAAGGAAATTTCCTTGTCTCAGGTGAGACTTTGAACTTAGACTTTTGAATTAATGCTGGAATGAGTTAAGACTTTGGAGGACTGCTGGGAGGGCATGATTGTGTTTTGAAATGTGAGCAGGAGATGAAGTTTGGGAGGGGCCAGGGATGGAATAATATGGTTTGGCTCTGTGTCCCCACCCAAATCTCATCTCGAATTGTAATCCCCACGTGTTGAGGGAGGGACCTGGTGGGAGGTAATTGGATCATGGGAGTGGCTCCCCCATGCTGTTTCATGGTAGTGAGTGAGTTCTCATGAGATATGGTGGTTTAAAAGTCTGTAGCTGTTCCCCTTTTGCTCTCTCTCCTGCCTCCTTGTGAAGAAGGTACTTGCTTCTCCTTTGCCTTCTGTCATGACTATAAGTTTTGTGAGACCTCCCGAGCCATGCAAAACTGTGAGTCAATTAAACCTCTTTCCTTTATAAATTACTCTGTCTCAGTCAGTTCTTTATAGCAGTGTAAAAATGAACTAATACACAGTGCCATCTTCCTTATGTACCTATGTCCAAATTTCTCTCTTATAAGAATACCAATCATACTGGATTAATGACCTACCTACCCCTGTATGACCTCATCTTAATTTAGCTTATTATACCTGGAATAATCCCATTCCCCCAAAATGTCACATTCTGAGGTGCCATGGGTTAGGACTGCAACATATATGTTTCGGTATCACAATTCAACCCATAACAGTCTGCCTCTAGTTCCCCTCAATTCATGTCCTTCCCATGTGCAAAATATATTCAGCTAATTTCAACATCTCCGAAAGTTGTAACCCACTCTAGAATCAACTCTATGTCCAAACTTTTCCTAAATATTATAAAATCAAAAATCCTCAAATCTCATCATCTAAATCAGTTATAGCATCTAGATTCATGCTAGAAATCATCACTTATAGCATGATTCATCTTGGGGCAAAAATTCCTCACTATCTGTGGACTTGTGAAGCCAGAAAACTAGTAATCTACTTCTAAAATACAATGGTGGGACTGGCAGAGGATAGTCATTTCGATTTCCAATAGAGAAAATAAGAAAGAAAGAAGTGGGCAGCAGACCTAAGCAAGTCCAAAACCCAATAGAGAAAATTTTGTTAGATTTTTGAGGCCTGAGGATAATCCTCTGTGGTTCTGTCTTCTGAGTCAGCTAGGGGACAGCCCTATTCTTTGTCACCCTGGGGTGGGGACCCCACTCCCTCAGCCCACTGGGGCAGTATTTTAACTCTTTAGGCTATTGTTGTCTCAGCCTGTATTGTATAAAAAGTGCAAATATTTGTGACATAAAATGTCTTTCTATCTTTCCTCCTTCTTGGTTTTCTCTGTTGCTTATGTAAATAATATATTAGTTCTATATTTTATGCTAATTTTAATGGTTTTTATGTACACATACTTCATCTGTGATTTATTTTTATTTGTGGTACAAAGTAGGTGTCCATTATTATTTTCTTGGAAATCAATAGCTTATTGATTTAATACTGTTTTTTTCCAATTTCATCTTTTCTCTATTGACTGGTCATGTTATCACCTACAAAATAATATGTGTTCACTTATACTTAGATTTATTTTTCAACTCTCTATTCTGTGCTTAGTTAAATTTTCCTTTTAGTGTGTAAATACTGTACTATTTTTATTATAATAGCCTAATAACAAGTTTTAATATCTAGTGCAGCAAATTATCTGATCCTCCTCAATCACTATGTAACTTCTAGACTTTCTTGGCATTTTTATGCAATTATTCATCTATCTATATGCATTTTAGAGTAATTTTATTGCATGACTTCCGAAATGCTGTTGAGATTCTAAATGGAATTGCATCACAATTATGTGTTAATTTGCAGAAACTTGCAATTTTATGATTTTGTAAATTCGCATTCAAGAACATAATTTTTCAAAGTATTCAGTCCTTTTAAAATGCTTCTTATTAAACATTTATAGTTTTGCTGTTATTTTGATTTTTTTAAAAATTTCAATATTTAAGTGGTTATTTCTAGTGTAAAGACAATCTATTAATTTTTGCAGGTTTTTCTTTTGTCCAGCCACCTCTCTAAACTGTTTGACTTCTGCAGTTGTTTTTCAGGTAGGTCTTTGGGGTTTCTAAGTATTCTATCATTTTATCTTAACGATAATTTTAATCTCTCTTTGAGGTTTATAGTGCATCACGATTTTTGAGAAAAACTTATTTTTCAATGTGCTTATAGCAAGAATATAGAGAAAATACAGTTTATCTTTACATTTCTATGCCAAAGATAATTGACACATTTGGTGGCCTTTTCTATGCCTTACTCACTTCAACATACATCATTCACCATAATTTTTCATTTATATTAAAATTTTGATCTAATTATTATTAAAATTGGTACTTACGTTTGACCAATTGTATGTGGTTGCATTTAATGCAAAAGTTGCAATCTCCATGCTTAATAGAATTATACCAAGTGTAGTCACACAAATAGTTATGCTGTTCATTACAATTGCTAAAGTAAGGTGTAATAGACATACAAAGAAAAATTGGTTATGGACAGCATAAACAGATGTTGCTGAAGCAATCAGTCTGTCCTACTGGCTAGAACATTCAAGTTAAAGTTTTAAAAATCTGACTTTCTTTGATTGTCACAGAGGTTGATATCAGGAGTCCACCTCAAATTTGTCTAGAAGCTAGTAGGATAATTTTTTTTTCAGAGGGAATATTTATTTATTCATTAATTATACAATGCCTACAATGTACTAAACCTCAGGTTTCTACTCAAGGAGCTTTTAATCTAATGGGGGAGATATAATTACAAGCACAATTTCATTTAATAAAATTTAATACATTTAATACATTTAATACATGTCATGTATTAATACATATATGTATTAGTCATGTATAAATAATACATTTAATACATGGCATACTAAAGGAGGAATAATCTAGTATATTGTGATTAGGATTTTCAATTTTAGCTTTGTGAATATGTAGAACTATGCTGCTGGAGTTGTCAACTAAAAAGATTCATCCTTAGTACAAAGTCAGATTGTGGTATGCTTAGAATGCCTCTGCACACTTATCCTATGTCCATTAATGAGGATAGAGAGGCTTATGAACCAGGATCACTTAAGAAGGTATCTATGTTCCTAAAAATTCTAATAAATTATTTATAGAATTAAGTGTACAGCATTATTATTTTTGGAGAGTCCCACTTCCAGCATAAGAATGGGAGGAACTCAACCAGCTCCCCAGCCAAATTTGTAAAAATTATTTCAAAAATCTTAATCCTTTAAAACCTCTGTACTCTGTAAACCTTTTTAATGGAATATAGCAAATAAAGGAACATTTATTCAAGAAAATCTACTCAGTAAATGCTGTAAGAGTTTCTGGTATGGTATCTGAACCAAGATCTGCACCCTCCCTCCCTCCTCTCAGATCAGCAAGACCACTCTAGATTGGAATAGCCAAAAACACAGGGCTCCCTTTTCTCAAAGATCCCAGTCAGAGTGCTATACTATCTTCTCAGGAAGGGTAGGCCATCTAATTAGCCTTTCTGGTCCTGCCCAAATACTAACACTGAGGCTAAGTACCAAGTGAATGCAGCCAAGAGATGGGTGATCTCTTCTACCCAGCTTTTACTCATGGGATGAAGACTCTATAATACTGGGCTCTAATTGACCTTTTTCTGGCTTTGGGGTAAGGGTTTCACATCATGAGAGGCAAGTTGAGAGGAACTGGGGCTTCTGTCCCCTCCCCCATTCACCAAACCCTCAACTCTTAAAGAGAAAGACTCCGTTGTCCCTACCCACTTCCTCACCCCTGCACCAGATCCTTAGCTCAGAGATGTTGGGAGAGAAATAGGCTATGGAATAGAAATCTCCACTCTGTTCCCAAAGGAGGTGACTTCATTTGTAGCATGTGGAGAAGTTTAGGCTTACAAGTACTCTCAAAAACAGTGGAAGTTGTGGTAAAAGGCACTTGGTAGGTGTTCACAGATACATTTTAGATACAGGCTAAACTGTAGGCCCACGAGTTTCCCAGAGAGAAATGGGAAAAGGGGAAGCTAGGAAGAGCCCTTTTGGAGTCAGAACAAATCTCAAACACTGATTTTGGGAGCTATCCCCTCAAAGGAGCTCAAATTTGTTTGGGTTAGTCTGTGAAGCAGTTTTTGCCTCAGAACAACCAGCAAGCACTAGCAGAGCTTAACAGCTGGGTATGGTTAGGGAAAGAGACAAAGAGCCTTTCCAAGATAAATGTCATCCCAGGGTGACTGTGGGCATCACAAGCCTGTACCCTATAAGGGGCAACATCAAAGCTTAACAGTGAGGACGGAGAAATAGACTTCACTGAAACAACCTAGACAGTTTTTTTCTAATCAAGTAAATAACAATAAGTCCTGGTGTGGGGGATGAGTACCCAGAGTTGCTATAATATATTATCGAAAATGCCCAGTTTCCAGCAAAACAATTATATAATAGGCAACAATATAAAACAGACAATGAAACAGGCAAGTTTGACCCATAGATGATATAAACTGTAGGCAACAAAAACTGTGAGAGACCAGATATAATATTTAATAAACAAATGTTTCAAAATAGTCATTATAAAGATGTTTGAGCACTTAAGTAAGCCACGATTAAGGAAGTAAAGGAAGGTGTGATAACAATATTGCATCAAATAGAGAATATCAGTAAAGATATATAAATCATTTTTAAAACACCAAATGGAAATTCTGGAGTTGAAAATTATAACAGCTAAAATAAAAAATTCGTTAGAGTGGCACAACAGTAGATTTGAAGTGGCAGAAGAAAGAATTAGTGAATTTCAAGATAGATTGATAGAGATTATGCAATCTGAAAGACAGAGAGAAAAGTGAATGAAGAAATATGAATAGAGACTTAGAGAAATGTGAAATACCATTAAGGAAACAACATATACATAATGAAAGTACCAGAAAGGGGGAGAAAGAGAAAGAAGCAGAAAATATATTCAAAGAAATAATGCCTGAAAATTTTCCATATTTATTCAAAGCCATTAATCTATACCGCCTAGGAATCTCAACAAATCCCAAGGAAGAAACTCACAAAGAAATCCACAAGTAGACATATCACAGTAAAAACGCTGAAAGCCAACAAAGAGAAAATCTCGAAAGCAGCAAGAGAAAAATGACTTGAGACATACAAGGGAACTCCAATAAGATTAACAGCTGACTTCTAATCAGAAACATTGAAACCCAGAAGGTAGTGGGATAACAAATTCAAAGGGTTCAAAGAAAAAAAAGACCTATCAACCAAGAATCCTACTTCTAGCAAAGCTGTCTTTCAAAAATGAAAACAAAATAAAGACATTTGCAGATGAACAAAATCTGAAAGAATTTGTTGCTAGCATGCCTTACAAAAAATACTAAAGAAAATTCTTCAGACCAAAAGCAAGTGACTACAGACAGTAATTTGAATCTCATGAAAATATAAAGATCACTGACAAAAGAAAATTATACAAATATAAAAGAAAGTGTAAATGCAAATTTATCCTCTTTCTTCTACTAACTTATTTAAAAAGCAATCATATGAAACAATATGTATGTAACGTATTGTTGGGTCTATAACATAGGGAAATGCAATATATTTGCCAATAACAGCAAAAGTGGGGGGAGAGGAGCAAATGTATTTTAAGCTAAGGAATCAACATCTAGGAGTTTAACTCTAGATGTTAAATTTGAACCCACAGGAACAAATGAGGAGAACAAGAAATTATAAATAAAAAATTTCTGGTAAATAATAAATTGTAATGGTAAATAGATAAATGGTAAATAACAAAAACTGTAAATGTATACTTGTTCCTTTTCTTCTCTTTGCTTCTTTAAAAGAGATAGAATTATATAAAGTAATAATCATAATGTTATCTTATGTTTGTAACATTCATAGATGTAATACATCAATAATATCACATAAAGAGGTATTGAAATAGAGCTATACAGGGATAATGTTTCTATATTTCACTGGAATTAAATTAGTATAAATGTGAAGCAGATTTTGATAAGTTAAAATATGATGAGCCTTAGAGCGACAATTAATGAAATAACTGAAATATACAGTAAAAAATTATTAAAAATTAAAATACTACATTAGAAAATATCCACTTAGCCAAAAAATAAAGCAGTCAAGGCAGAATAGAGAAACAAAAAACATAAAACATGGAGAAAAAGTAAAATGTCAAATGCAAGCCTAACTATTTCAATATAAGATTAAATGTGAATTAATAAAACAATTCAATTAAAGGCAGAGATTGTCAGATTGGATACAAAAACCAGATCCAACTATGTGCTGTCTATGGGAGACACACTTTAGATTCAAAGACACAAAAAGAATGAAAACAAAAAAATAGAAAAATATTTGTAATCCAAAGAACAAACACAAGAAAGCTAGAATGGCTATACTAATACCAGACAAAATATATTTTAAAAATGTTGGCCGGGCATGGTGGCTCATGCCTGTAATCCCAGCACTTTGGGAGGCCGAGGCGGGCAGATCACGAGGTCAGGAGATGGAGACCATCCTGGCTAACATGGTGAAACCCCATCTCTACTAAAAATACAAAAAATTAGCTGGGCGTGGTGGTGGGCGCCTGTGGTCCCAGCTACTCGGGAGGCTGTGGCAGGAGAATGGTGTGAACCCAGGAGGCGGAACTGGCAGTGAGCAGAGATGGGGCCACTGCACTCCAACCTGGGCAACAGAGTGAGACTCCGTCTCAAAAAAAAAAAAATGCTACTAGAGATAGAGAGGAACATTTTATAATGGTTATAAACATATATTTTCTAAGAACAGAGGCTTGAAACACGCAAAGCAGAACCAGACAGAAACAAAGAAAGAAACAGACAATTTAACAATAATAGTTAGGGACTTCAATGACCCACTTTTAATGATGAGTAGAGCAACAAGGCAGAAGATAAACAAGGAAATAGAAGATTTGAACAACATTATAAACCAACTAAACCTAACAGACATCTATAGAACATTTCACCCAACAACAGAAGAATACACGGTTTTCTGAACTGCACATGGGACATTCTTTGGAATAGACCAGAGTTTAGGGCATAACACATTTTAATAAATTTAAAAGGCTAGAAATAGTAAAGTATTTTCTCTAAGTACAATGGAACAAAATTAAAATTAATAACACAAATTTGGGAAACCCCAAATATGTGGAAATTAACAACATACTCCTAAATAACCAAGGGATTAAAGAAGAAATAAAAAGAAAATTAGAAAATACTTTGCGATGAATGAAAATGAAGATACAGCATATCAATGCTTATAGGATGCAGCTAAATTAGTGCTTAGATAGAAATTTATAGCTGTAAATGCCTATACTAACAAAGAAGAAAGACCCCAAATCAATAACCTAACTTTCCATCTTAAGATAATGAAAATAAAAAAAACCCATATCAAACCTGAAGAAAGCAGAAGGAAATAAAGTAGTAAAGATTAAAGTGAAAATTATTTAGAAGCAAAATAGAAAAACAGTAGATAAAATCAATGAACACAAAAGTTGATTCTTTGAAAGATGAACAAAATGGAAAAGCCTTTAATGAGACTAAAGAAAAATAGAGAAGTCTCAAATTAGTACAATCAGAAATGAATGTGGAAACATTACTACAAACCTTATAGAAATAAATGTGATTATGAAAGAATACTATGAACAATTATATGCCAACAAATTAGATAACCTGCTGAAATGGACAAGTTCCTAGAAACATGCAAACTACTAAAACTAAGGAAGAAATAGAAAATCTGAATAGACTATAAAGAATTAAGGTATTTAAATTTATAATCAGATCTTCTATGAAGAAAAGTGCAGACCCAGATTACTTCAGTGGTGACTTCTACCAAATATTTAAAGAATTACCTTCTTCACAAACTCTTCTAAGAATAGAAGAGGAGGGAACACTTCCTAACTCGTTCTGTGAGGCCACTATTACCCTGAGATCAAAATCAGACTAATGCATCACAACAAAAGAAAACTAAAAACCATGATCTCTTATGAACATGGACACAAAAATCTTCAACAAAATGTTAGCAAACTCAATACAGCAACACAGAAAAAGAAATATGCAGGCATACTTTGGAGATATTGCAGGTTCAGATTCAGGCCACTGCAATAAAATGAATACTTTAATAACGTAACAGATGAATTTTTTAGTTTCCCAATGCATATAAAAGTTATGCTGGCTGGGCGCAGTGGCTCACACCTGTAATCCCAGCACTTTGGGAGGCCGAGGCAGGTGGATCACAAGGTCAGGAGATCAAGACCATCCTGGCTAACATGGCGAAACCCCATCTCTACTAAAAATACAAAAAAATTAGCCGGGCGTGGTGGCAGGTGCCTGTAATCCCAGCTACTTGGGAGGCTGAGGCAGGAGAATGGCATGAACCCAGGAGGCGGAGCTTGCAGTGAGCCGAGATTGTGCCACTGCACTCCAGCCTGGGGGACAGAGAGAGACTCCGCCTTAAAAAAAAAAAAGTTATGCTACTGTTTACAGTTTATTGTCGTCTATTAAGTGTGCAAGTGTGCAATAGCTTTATGTCTAAAAATGTACTTAATTTAAGAATATTTTATTGCTAAAAAAAGCTAATGATCACCTAAGCCTCAGTGAGCTGTAATGTTTTTGCTGGTGGAGGGTCTTGCCTTGATGTTGTTGGCTGCTGACTGATTAGGGTGGTGTTTACTGAAGGTTGGGGTCCCTGTGGCAATTTCTTAAGATTAGATAACATGAAGTTTGCTGCACCCATCAACTCTTCTTTTCCCAAAAGTTTCCTCTGTTGTATGCAATGTTTTTTGATAGCATTTTATCCACCATACAACTTCTTCCAAAATTGGAGTCAATCCTCTCCAACCTTGACAGTGCTTTATCAACTAAGCTTATGTAATATTCTGAATTCTTCATTGTCATTTCAGCAATGTTCATAGCATCTTCACTGGAGTAGAATCCACCTGAAGAAAGCACTTTCTTTACTCATCCATAAGAAGCAACTCCTTATCCATTAAAGTTTTATCAGGAGATTACAGCAATTCAGTCACATCTTCAGGCTTCCCTTCTTGCTATTTCCATCCCATCTGCAGTGATTTCCTCCGCCGAGGTCTTGAACCCCTCAAAGTTATTCATGAGAGGTAGTATCAACTTTTTCCAAAGTCCTGCTAATGTTGCTATCTTGACCTCCTCCTGTATGTCATTAATGCTCTTAATGTCATCTAGAATGGTGAATCTTCCAGAAGCTCTTCAATTTACTTTGCCGAGATCTATCAGAGGAATCACTAGCTATGACAGCTGTAGTCTTACAAAATGTATTTCTTAAATAACAAGACTTGAAAGTACAAATTACTCCTTGATTCATCACTGCAAATTGGATGTTATGTTAACAGACATGAAAACACATGTGACCAGGTGCACTGTCAATGAGCAGTAATATTTTAAAAGGAAGCTTTTTTTCCTGAGTAGTAGTTCTTAATATTGAATTTAAAATATTCTGTAAATCATGCTGTAAACAGATGTGCTGTTATCCATGCTTTCTTATGCCATTTACAGACCATAAGCAGAGTAGATTAATTCTTAAGGGCCCTAGAATTTTCAGTATAGTAAATGAGCATTAGCTTCAACTTACAGTCATCAGCTGCATTAGCCTCTAACAAGAGAGTCAGCCTGTCCTTTGAAGCTCTGAGCCCAAGCATTGTCTCTAGCTGGGAAAGTCCTATAAGACGTCTTCTTCCAATATAAGGCTGTTTTATCTACATTGAAAATCTGTTGTTTAATACAGCCACCTTCATCAATTATTTTAGCTAGATCTTCTGGATAACTTGCTGCAGCTCCTACATTATCACTTGCTGTTTCACCTTGTATTTTTATGTTATGGAGACAACTTCTTTCCTTAAACCTCATGAATCAACCTTGCTAGCTTCAAACTCTTCTTCTGAAGCTTCTTCATCTCTCTCGGTCTTCACAGAATTGAAAAGAGCCAATTAGGGCCTTGCTAGGGATTAGGCTTTGGCTTAAGGAAATGCTGTAGTTGGTTTGATCTGTCCAGACAACTAAAACTTTCTCCACATCAGCAACAAGCTTGTTTTGTTTTCTTATCACTTGTGTGTTAACTCAAGCAGCACTTTTAATTTCCTTCAAGAATTTTTCCTTTACATTCACACCTATGTTAATGGTTGGGTGCAAGAGGATTAACTTTGGCCTATCTCACCTTTCTATATGCCTTCCTCATAAGCTTAATCATTTATAACTTTTGACTTAAGAGAGAGATGTGTGGCTCTTCTTTTCACTTAAAATTTAGAGGCCATTGTATGGTTATTAATTGGCCTAATTTCAATGTTGTTGTATCTCAGAAAATAGAGAAGCCCAAGGAGATGGAGAGAGACAGGGGTAAGGATGGTTGGTAGAGCAGTCAGAACACACATATTTATCAATTAAATTTGTTATCTTATATAGACACAGTTTATGGTATGCCAAAACAATAACAATGTTAATATCAAAGGTCACCGATCACAGATCACTATGACAAATATAATAATCATAAAGGTCACTGATCACAGATCACTATGACAAATATAATTAATTGGCCTAATTTCAATGTTGTTGTATATTAGAAAATAGAGAAGCCCAAGGAGATGGAGAGAGACAAGGGTAAGTGTGGTTGGTAGAGCAGTCAGAACGCACATATTTATCAATTAAATTTGTTGTCTTATATAGACACAGTTTATGGTATGCCAAAACAATAACAATGTTAATATCGAAGGTCACCAATCACAGATCACTATGACAAATATAATAATCATAAAGGTCACTGATCACAGATCACTATGACAAATATAATAATCATAAAAAAGTTTGAAATATTGTGAGAATTACTAAAAGGTGACACGGAGACATGAAGTGAGCACGTGATGTTGAAGAAACAGCTTTGCTTGATGCAGTGTTATTATAAACCTTCACTTTGTAAAAAACCTCATTATCTGTGAGGTGCAATATAGCAAAGCACAATAAAACGAGGTATGCTTGTACACTGTAAGCAAGTGTGATTTATTCCACAAATGCAAGGCTGGTTTTATCTTATACAATTAATGTCATATGCCATATCAGTAAAATAGAAAAACACACATATGATCATCTCAATTGATGTAGACAAAGCATTTGGTGAAAATTCTTCACTGTTTTATGATAAAAACACTCAAAATACTCAAAATAGATGGGATCTTTCTCAACCTGATAAGGAGCATCTAATAAAAATCCACACCTAACACACCTATTGGTGAAAGACTCAATGCTTTCATGAGGAATAAGACGGTGAGATATACTCTCATTATATCTATTCAACCTTGTATTAGAAATTCTAACCAGGGCAGTTCGGCAGTAAAGAAAACCCAAAAGGCATTCAGAGGGTCCAGTTTTATTATTCTGTGTATGGATGGCCAATGATCCCAGCACCATTATTGAATAGGGACTCCTTACCCCATTGCTTATTTTTGTTGACTTTGTTGAATACCAGTTGGTTGTGGGTGTGCAGATTTATTTCTGAATAAACTATAGAAATAAAACAATATCTATTCACGTTCTTTAAAAAAAATTCAACTTTCATTTTAGATTCAGGGGGCATATGTACAGTTTTGTTATTTGGGTGTATTTTATAATGCTGAGGTTTGGGGTATGATTGATCCCATCACCCAGTTAGTACCCAAGAGGTAGTTTTTAAAACTTTCTTCCCTCCTGCCTTCCCCCAGTAGCATTCATCAATGTCTATTTTCTTATCTTTATGTGCATATGTACCCAACGTTTTGCTCCCACTTATTATAACCCCACTGGCATTTGGTTTTCTGTTTCTGCATTAATTCACCTAGGACAATGGCCTCCAGCTGCATCCATATTGCTGCAAAGGACATGATTTCACTCTTTTTTATGGCTGTGTAGTATTCCATGGTATGCATATATATATATATATATATATATATATATATATATATATATATATATGTATATATATATATATATCACATTTTCTTTACCCAATTCACCATTGATGGGCACCTGGATTTATCCCATGTCTTTGCTATTGTGAATAGTGCTGTGATGAACATGTAAATGCATGTCTTTTTGGTAAAATGATTTATTTTCCTTTGGGTGTATATGCAGTAATGGGATTGCTGGGTCAAGTGGTAGTTTTATTTTTAGTTCTTTAGAAATTTCCAGATGCTTTCCATAGGGACTGAGCTAATTTACTTTTCCACCAGCAGTGTATAAGTGTTCCTTTTGTCCGCATTCTCACCAATATCTATTTTTTGACTTTTTAGTAATAGCCATTCTGACTGGTATGAGATGTTATCTCATTTGGTTTTGGTTTACATTTTCCTGACAATTAGTGATATTAAGCATTTTTCATGTTTGTTGGCTGCTTGTATGTCTTCTTTTTAAGAAGTGACTGTTCATGTCATTTGCCCACTTTTTAATTTGGTTATTTGTTTTTTGCTTGTTGAATTGTTTAAGTTACTTATAGATTCTGAGTATTTGTCCTTTGTAGGACGTATAGTTTGCAAATATTTTCTCCCATTCTGCAGGTTGTCTGTTTAGTTTAATAGTTTCTTTTTTTTGCTGTGCAGAAAGTCTTTAGTTTAATTAGGTCCCATTTGTCAATTTTTGTTTTTGTTGCAATTGCTTTTGAGGGTTCGGTTTTATTATTCTGTATATGGATGGCCACTTATCCCAGCACCATTACTGAATGGGGAATCCTTACCCAATTGCTTATTTTTGTTGACTTTGTTGAATATAAGTTGGTTTTGGGTGTGCAGATGTATTTCCAAATTCTCTATTTGGTTCCACTGATCTATGTGCCTGTTTTTGCACCAGTACCAGCATGGTACTGGTTAGTTACTATACCCTTGTAGTATACTTTGAAGTCAGGTAATGTGGATGCTTCTGGCTTTATTCCTTTTGATTAAGATTGCTTTTGCTATTTGGGTTCTTTTTTGATTCCATATGAATTTTAGAAATACTTTTTCTAATTGTGCTAAAAATGATAATTGGTGGTTTGATAGAAATAGCATTGAATCTGTAGCTTGCTTTGCGCAGTATGGCCATTTTAATGATTTTGATTCTTCTAATCCATGAGTATAAAATGTTTTTCCATTTGTTTGTGTCATATATGATTTCTTTAAGCAATATTTTGTATTAACTAGTTTTCCTTGTAGAGATCTTTCACCTCCTTGGTTAGATGTATTTCTAGGTATTTTATTACTTTTGTGGCTATTGTAAATGCAATTGCATTCTTGATTTGACTCTCAGCTTGAATGTTATGGTGTATAGAAATGTTTAGTCATAAAAAGAATAAAGTACTGATATATGCTACAACATGAGTGAACTTTTACCACAATATATTGAGTGAAATAAGCCAGTTAACAAGAAATTACATATGATGTGATTCATTTTTAATGAAATGTCTGGAGTAGGAAAATATATGGAGACCCTATGTAGATTAGTGGCTGCCTAAGGTTGGGGAGAATGGGAAGTTGGGGATGGGAGTGATAGCCAAGGGGTACAGAGTTGCTTTTTGAGGTGATGAAAATGTTTTTGAATGGACTGTGTTAATAATTGCACATATCAGTGAATATACTAAAAACTATTGAGTTGTATGCTTAAGAAAAGAATCAATTAAGATAATACTTACATAGACAGCTAAAGATTTTCCCAGGTTTACATGAAAATAAATATATATGTTTTCAGAAAAAAGTTCCTGAACTCAAATATCTGCACCCCAAAAGGAAGTCACTTAATGTATATTGTTTGAAAAAACAATTTAAAAATTATGGTACAAAAGACATATATTCTGGTGGGGCACGGTGGCTAATGACTGTAATTCCAGCATTTTGGGAGGCTGAAGTGGGTAGATCACTTGAGGTCAGGAGTTTGAGACCAGCCTGGCCAATATGATGAAACACCGTCTCCACTAAAAATACAAAAATTAGCAGGGCGTGGTGGTGGGAGCCTGTAGTCCCAGCTACTTGGGAGGCTGAGTTGGGAGGATTGCTTGTACCTGGGAGGCAGAGGTTGCAGTGAGCTGAGACTGCACCACTGCACTCCAGCCTGGGTAACAGAGCAAGATTCTGTCTCAAAAAACAAACAAACAAGCAAAAAACAAAAAAAAAAATTCAAACAAAAACATATATTCTACATTTATTTTCTGCTTTAACTTGAAAACATGCACACGAATAAGATATAATATTTTACTCTTTAGAACATGATTAAACCAAGAAACTTTTCAAGTAAAAAAATTATTATTTTCTCCCCTTTTTTCTATTTTTCATGTTGGAGTGCCCTAGGGCTCAGTTCTTGTTTCTCTTTTCGTCTTTGTTGTGTTCTTTCCACTGGAGATCTCAACAAGTCTCCTGGCTTTAAATATCTTCATGTCTAAGATTCTCAACTGAATCCGTCCAAATGTTCAAGACGAAACTATGGCAGCCCTTATTACGTTTTCTTTTTTTCATCACACCTATCACCTTCTAACATATTATATTATTTCCCTGTTTGTCCTGTTTATTGTTATTGCTTTTATCCTGCTATTAGAATGTAAGCTCCCTAAGGGTAATAAATTTTCATCTGTTTGTTCACTGATGCATCCTACATACATAGAACATGCCTGACATGCAGCAAATTATATATATATATATCTACACACACACACACACACACACACACACATATATGTATATGTATAGATTGATTGATTGAGGTGGAGTGGGGAGATGGAAAAAGAAGGGCAGAAGACGGAGTGATGGGGATTAGGGAGAGAGTTACAAAGGGATCTAGGTTGTGACTGGAACTTGGAAATTACAATCATAATCTTCCCCCACCAATCCTCGAGTAAAAAAACCCAAAACTTTTTGTGAGTTTTTGTGAAAATCAGTCAAGGGGCTGAGTTTATTCACAACTGTTTCTTTGGGTGTTGTGGAGAAAATTTGGGACAGTATGCACCAATACAGAAACTAAACTATGAGAATGCTAGTTCTGGGAGTTTACCAAATCACATGGGGGCTTTATGGGCTTTCATGTCATCTGTACTTATATCTCTGTGGATGTAAGGTTTTCCGTGGAAAAGCAACACCAGGTGACTTCTAAGTCACATGTTCACTCTGCTTGCAAACAAATTACAAAAAAAAAAAAAAAAAAAAAGCTTAGAAAAAGGCCTAGAATGAAAAATGATATTAACAGTGGCTACCTTGGGAATAGAAGTTAAAAAAAGTGTAATAGCTTAATGCCCATAATTATAGCTTCCAATCTGGGGCTGAGAAAAATGGCCTCTCATACCACTCTGACCCTATTCTACTGAAAGAAAAAATAGGAGGACCCCTTTATCTGAAATATGAAATACAATTTCAATTTCTTCTCTTACCAGTCCCTGAAAGCAGATTTTCCCCTGGGGAAAGAGGAGAATCCACCTGTTTTTTCTCAGCGGGTTTTGATAAGCAGAGTGGTATCTTTGTGCCAGTTACTGTTCTTTTTTCTTGAGATGGAGACTTGCTCTGTCACTCAGGCTGGAGAGCAGTGGCAGGATCTCAGCTCACGGCAACCTTTGCCTCCCAGGTTCAAGCGATTCTCGTGCCTCAGCCTCCTGAGTAGCTGGGATTACAGACGTGCGCCATCACACCCAGCTAATTTTTGTATTTTTAGTAGAGACGGGGCTTTGCCATGTTGACCAGGCTGGTCTCGAACACGCGACTTCAGCTGATCCACCTGCCTTTGGCTTCCCAAAGGGCTGAGATTATAGGCATGAGCCACCCTGTGTGGCCCCAGGTACTGTTCTTTATGCTTACATACTAATTTAATCCTCACAGCAACCCTTTGAGGCAGTTACTATTATTAACCACATTTTATTTTTTAAATGAGGAGAGTGAGGCACAGAGTAAAGTAATTTGCTCAGGGTTACACAGGCACTAGTAAGGCAGTCAGAATTGGAAAATTCAGGCTATCTGCCTCCAGAGCTGTGATCCTAATCACAAGGGGGGCTGTGAGAGACAGGAGGGAAGTTCTAAAAGAAAAAGGACCATCCTTCGTTAGATGTGTTGTCATGATATCTGGTTTGTGTTCTAATTGATATTTCCTGACCTGGTTTTGCTGAAGGCAATTCTCTTTTCACACATTATTTTGTCTTATCCATTCTCCTTAACTAGACACTAATTTTCTAATCTTATCCTAATTACATTTCTTCGCTTCCCAATGCTTTGATTCTCAGGGTCGAAGTTTTGTTTGGTGGCTAGGTTTAGTGGCTCATGTCTATAATCCCTGCACTTTCGGAGACCAAGGCAGGAGTATGCCTTGAGGCCAGGAGTCCAAAACCAGCCTGGGAAACATAGCAAGACCCTTATCTCTGCAAAAAATGAAAAAACCAGGTGTGGTGGCACACACCTGCAGTCCCAGCTATTTGGGAGGCAGAGGCTGGAGGATCACTTGAGCCCAGGAGCTCCAGGTTGCATTGAGCTGTGATCACCCACTGCACACCAGCCTGGGTGACAGAGTAAGGCCTTGTCTTAAGTTTTATTTGGTTATATATGCTCGTTGAGATAGCTTGAAATGATTTATTTCATGGAAACTCTCACGTCTGTCTCTGTATACAATATTATTGCTCACACTGTATCCTCCTCCAACATTCATGCACAGAGGATGCACTGGAGGATATCTTTACAAAAATTAAATAATTTTTTTTCATTTAAACATTTGGAAAAGTTTTTTTTCCCCAAAAATGTTGGCCCAGCAATAATTTCTTTTTTTGTTTGTTTGCACCAAGTAACATTTTAATCTTTAGAGTTGCTCCGAATATTCTGACATACCTTATATCTCGTAACAGGCTTCTGTATTACACTACTGGATCCTGAGTTGATGAACTGGGGATAGAAATAAGCATTTATAAACACACAATGCCTTATGATAATCCCCTCAATAGCTTCTTTCCCTAGAGCCAGTGGCATTCCTAATATCCAAAGTGGCACTGAATGCATTTCTGAAGAAAGTGATTTTAACATGAAAAACCCCATTCGAAGTCTGTAGTGACCGCTAGTACAATTTCTAAAGCATGGATTCACTATTTCTCTGTTATAGGGATGAAAAATGTTTTAAAGTCTCCGGTCATTAATGAGACCTTTGCATAGGTGATGGGACTTAGGGAGCTCACAATGATTTTATGAGGACAAGTTGTAGGCACTTCACTTGTTTTAATTGTCATTTATTGATCCCTTGAAATGAATTATTAGAAAATATTTCCTAGTGGCTAGTGTGGTGGCTCTCACTTGCAAGAACTACGTTTCTCCCATAATGTTATAAAAAAAATTTCATCAGTGGGAATAGTTTCAGAAAACATTACATCTGAAGATTTATAGGTTGCCTTCCACAAATATCATACCCTAAGTGCTATCATCACCTTCTGGCACTAATTGAAAGGATTGTTGTTTCTGGAATACCAAGAATTAATTTTTTTCCAGTAAATCATATACCTGTCTTCAATCTGCCTGCGGCAATAACAAAAGATGATTCAAACATACTAAGAAGGGGACTGGGGATCCTTCAGCCCAGGAAAATGAAATCCTGTCATGAAGGCAGAATCATCTTAGCTTGTGTTTGTTTGTTTTTACCTCTGACACTTCATTGCTGTGTCACTCTGTGAGAGTCACTTAAGTTCTCCAAGCCTCAGTTTCCCTGTTTGTCAAATGGAGATGAATGATAGCTATCTCATGGGGTTGTCGTGGCAATTAAGGTAAAATGAACTTGGAGTGCCTTTTGGAGATGCCTGATACATAATAGGTATAAAATTGAGTAATTATTATCTATGGCTAAATATCTGTCATATGCTCCTCTTTCATATCTTGGGCTGAGGATTCTTTCTAGATGATTTGCAATAAGTGATTAATTGTATTATTTCAGTTTAAATGATTTGTCTTTATTACATACACTCTTTCCAGAAAGTTCTCGGTGTTTGTAAATGTCTTCCACTTGAGGACTCCCACTATAAGAAAGCCTTAGAGAAAATAATGTCTTTTATCCAGAGCAGAGATCACCAGGCCCTTCTCTGGGTGAAATGACTGTACAGGGATGTCTCAGAGGCCTTTTCACAAAGCAAAAGGGAATGTGTTATACTAAATCTTCTCTCCCTTGAAGCCCTGTTTTTGGTTGAAAAGTACAAAGTTGTGGGTAAGGAGGTAATAAAACTCTCTTCTATGGAGAAATTTAACCTTGGGTAAACTTTCTGCTTCTGTAATTGGGCATGCCCTTGGTGGGAGTTTTGGCAACTGCTACCATGGAATTATTATAATACCCTTATTCAGAACATCTACTTTAGAAATCTCTGTTTAATTTCCCCAAATTCCTCCTGTGCCTCTAGGTCTCCTTTTTTTTTTTTTTCTGTATACATGCTCTCTAAAAATTGCCTCTGTAGCCCCAGACATTAAGCTAAGGCCTTTGGATTTTTCATTCTGCAAAAGATAAGCCTTGTAGTTACCCAAATAGCCACTCTCTTTATTATTCTTCAAGCATCCTCCTTTAATATATTTTCCATATAGGCACCTCAACCTCTCAAGAAAATTATTAAAATATACAACAAACATAAGGCATTTCTAAGTCTGTATTCACACAAAAATGGGCTCCTTTAAGTTAGAGATTGGGTCTTTAGCCCATTTCTAGACACCTGAATTCAATAGAAAAAAATAAATGAATTGAAAGCAATAATACCATGGTTTACTCACAAAAAATAATGACAAAAATGAGTAAATTACTACAGCAATTATAGGGATAGGACCAGAACCACTTGAATCCTCTCTTAGCAAAATCCAATGAATTCAGAGAGTTCCCAGTGCACTGTGAATCAGGCCAATCATTATTTGCACAGCCTGTGAGAAGAGAGAGCCAACATTATTACTCAAGTCAAATCTACCACAGATGATTACAGTCTGGGTGACTGAGAGGTTAGGAGAATGTTTGCTTTACCCTGGTACTTCTGAAGCAGTAGTGAAAGAATTGTGTGTCAGAGAGAAAGCAGGCTGAATAGAGAAATGGCAGCCACAGTTAGGTGGTGCGGTCTCCTCATGTATTTAAACAGGGAGTATTTGCTTTTGTTTCATAGCAACCTTTAGAGACAACTAATATTTATTTTTCTAGTTGGTTCTAGTTAAGTAAAAAGCAGAGGCCTATTTGTTTGGCCCAGGACACACAACAAAAGGAGAGCTGTTGGCTCTGAGGATCCTTAAGGTTCTCCTTGATATTTGTCTCCGTCCCATGGTTGGTTCTCTGAGGCCAGCTCCAGCCTGTAGACTCAGCTCTTGTTCTCCACTGTGAATCCCAAATAGGAACTTTTGATCTTGCCTTACTTCCCTCATCCTCTCTTGTTTGTGACTTGGACCTCAGTTTCTCTCTGCTCTGCCTGCTCCTGCAACCAGTGCTGACCTTTGTAACCAATCTGGATCACAGCTCTAGACCTTGTTCAAAAAAGCAGGCAAGCAGGCCCTCTAGTGACTCCTGGTTTTCTATAGCTCTTATGTGAAGTGGTTCTCTGGGGCCTGCTTGGAGCTGGGCTTTATTTTCCAGCCGGAGTAGAGCCACCTGCGCACACCAGTGACTAGGATGTGTGCAACCACCGAAGGGGCCGTATTGGAGATTAAAACCCAACATCATCTGCCCTGCAACTACTTTATCCCCTGGTGCCCATTCTTTCTTTCTGATCTATTTAGGTAGTTTTAAGTGAATTAAAGCTACTTCAATCAGATTACCTTAAAATTCATGTTCATAGGGAATATATGGGTTTCTGTTCTGGTATTGAGATTATGTAAAAGTATATTATTCAGAGTTCTCCAGAGAAACAGACCCTATATATTTTATATATACATATATGTGTGTATAATATATATGTTAGTAAAAGGAAAATAAATCTTAGGACCTTATCTTCACAGGTGTGGGACGAAGGACAGAACTCAGTCATCTCTCTGCTCACCTGAGACAAATGCATATCTGATTGCTTCCTCTGCCCTATGTTTATTTTATCTTATGTGAAAAGGCAGATTTATTGGACTAGACAAATGTATAAGTAACTATTCCTGTACCCCCCTGTCATGCGTACATTGTGTATTCAGGGAATGGCTGATGAAACACTCAAGAGGATGCAACTGCTTGCCTCTTATCTAGTCACACCCTTTAAAAAATTTCTTCCTCTTTCCTCATACCTGCGCTTTTGCCTTTGAATACTGAGGTCTCCAGACCCTCTTCAGAAAAAGTATGGGTCACAATTTTCCCTGTGGTTCTGGGTTCTTTCTCAGGCATGTCCTTAACCTTGGCAAACAAACATCTTAAAATGATTTAGACTTGCCTCAGTCGTTTTGATTTACTCTGTATCTGTACATGTACTCTGTAAATTTTGGCTGGCAAGTCCAAAATTTATAGTGTGGGCCAGCAGGCTGGAGATACGGAAGAGCTGATGGTGCAGATGAAGCTTGAAGGCAGTCTTCTGGAAAATTCCTCTTGCTCCATGAGGGGAGGGATGAGGGAAATGGAGGGGGGAAGGTCAGCCTTTTGTTTCACTCAGACCTTCAACTGATTGAATAAAATCTACCCACATTATGAAGGGCAATCTGCTTTACTCAAAGACCAGCGACTTAAATGTTAATGTCATCCACAAACACCCTCACAGGAACAGCCAGAATAATGTTTGAACAACTATCTAGGCATATTTTGACAGAGATAAGTTGACACATAAAATTACCCATCACAAGTCAACTTCATGTCCACTTAGCAGTCCACTTAGCAGTCCACTTACACATCTCGTGAAACCATACTTAATCTCCAAAGAAAGATGTACTTTTGCCTAACAGCTGTCATGCATACAACAAAAAATGCACTAACACTTTTCCAGAAGAGGATGCAAAATTCTTGAGTGACGTTTACTCTTCTGTTGAAATACCACAACTTAAAAGCCATAACATAAAGTCAACACATCTTATGTTACATAATAAGGGGATAAGAGAGGGAAGAAAACAAAGGTATGTAATACACACAAACACACAAACATGTTCATAACAAAATAAGGAAAAATACTCATGACAATTACAGTCCTTATTTCTGTAACTGGCCACATGGTTATAGCTGGTATTTATGATTATTTTCTCCCACTACCCATTCCATATTTCCTTTGCTTTCAGCAAGCACCTCAGCAGGCTGTGATTATTGACTTGGTGGGTTGACCCAAACCATCACTCCTGAAGAGTCTGGGCCATCAGTAGTCCTGTTCTAATTGGGTTGTTGTAGTTTTCCATTGACCTTAATCACAGGACATGGTAATACTGAGGATACCCTAGGGGGCTTCCTGTATTACTAATATACACTTCCTTAACTGTGAAGTAATAGGCCAAATTTCCTTATGGTAGTCAGTATCGATAACCCCTTCCAGCACAATAACTCCCTTCTTTGCCAACTGATTCAGAGATAAAAAGTCCAAAATGGCTAGTTGGGAGTCCTAACTTCCAGTTCAATGAAATCATTATTATGTCTCCTGGTAGAAGCATTTCTTCCATTGGAATAAAGACATCTGACAAGCACAGTATAATGTTTCAGGACAGGAAGCAAATTTTTGCTAGTAGGTAACTATGGGTAATAGTGAGTGGTGTCACTCCCATTTTCACTCCCTGATTTCTGGACCTGTGAATCCTAGCTGTGGGAGAAACACTCTGCTAGTGAACCTTCCCCCAGTTATGCAGGATATTGCCAGCTAGCTGGTGCTGTAATTGTCTTCAAAAGTTCATTCCATCATCCTGTCAAACCAGCTGCTTCATAATGGTGGGGAACATAGTAAGACCAGCAAATTACATGAGCTTGAGCTTATTGTTGCACTTCATTTGCTCTGAAGTGAGTTCGCTGATCAAAAACAATGCTGTGTGGCATTACCATGGCAATAGATATGGCATTCTGTAAGTCCATGGATGGTAGTTTTTGCAGAGGCATTGAATGCAGGGAAGGTAAAACCATATCTAGAATAAGTATCTATTCCAGTAAGAAGAAAACACTGCCCTCTCCATGACAGAAATGGTCCAATGTAGCCATTCTGCCACCAGGCTAATCACCCCAGGGAATAGTACCATATCAGGAACCTAATGTTCATCTCTGCTGCTGGCATTTTGGGCACCTATCAGTGACTGTAGCCAAGTCAGCCTTGGTGAGTGGAAGCCCATGTGGCTGAGCTCATGCATAACCTCCATCCCTGCCACTGCCACCATGGCCACTTTGTTAATGGGCCCATTGGACAATGATGGGGTGGCTGAGGAAAGAGGCTGAGTGGTATCCACAGAATGGGCCATCCTATCTACTTGATTATTAAGATCTTCCTCTGCTGGCTGGGCATGGTGGCTCATGCCTGTAATCCCAGCACTTTGGGAGGCCGAGGCGGGTGGATTTCCTGAAGTCAGGAGTTCAAGACTAGCCTGGCCAACATGGTGAAACCCCATCTCTACTAAAAATACAAAAATTAGCTGGGCATAGTGGTGTGCACCTGTAATCCCAGCTACTTGGGAGGCTGAGGCAGGAGAATCATGCTCTTTGGTGGACATTAACATGGGACACAAATATCTTTATGTGTTTTGCCTATTCAGAAGTCTATCCACAAACCTGTTCTCTAGACTCCTATGTCACCACTTTTCTAATCATATTCGTTTCAAGTCCCTGACATTCCAGCCACACCATTGGCCACAGCCCATGAATTAGTATATAGTCACACACCCGGCTATTTCTCCTTCCAAGCAAAATATACAACCTCGTGTACTGCTTGAAGTTCTGTCCACTGGGAAGATTTTTCTTCATTATTTTCTTCAGGAATGCCTCAGAAAGGGGCTACAGTGCTACAGCTGTCTACTTTGGGGTTGTGCCTGGGTATTATGCAACCTTGGCTGGTCATGTTTCTTTACCTGACAGGATAACCCAAACCTTTAATCCTGAAGAGTCTGGGCCATTCATAGGCTTGCCTGGATTGGGTTGTTGTAATTTCCCATTGACCTTAATCATGGGGCATGACAGTACTAAGAGACATCTTAAAGGATCTCCTGTATTCCAGACATATTCATTTTTGCCTCTATTCATTGTGAAGTAGTGGTCCAATTTCCCCTTGGCATCCTGGATTGATCACCCTAGCTAACATCGTTAACTCTCATTTTTGCCTGTTGACTCAGAGGCATGTAGGTATGCCCTGCATTCTGATAGTGTACTGGGTAGGTCTCAACCAGCTGGAGATAATAATATATTTGATACGTTGAGAATTTTCCTAGTGCAAGGTTTAATGTTGCTGACTTAAATGCAAATGTGATTCAAGGTCCCACAAATATTGGATAATACAAAAGGGTATAGTATTCTAAGATTGAGGAGAGCTGAGCGGGAGATCATTGAAGCAGAATGTGACCCACCTGAGCTGAATGTAAGGGGCACATGTTGACAGTACAGTGCCCCAGGGTCTACAGCCTTTTCTGGTTTTAAGCCCATTACCTGACCACTTTATGATTGATGAGCTTTGATTCAAACTGTTTACAGACACAGGCAGAAAATGGACCTCTCATATATCAGCAAACACAGAATGTATTTGTTAGAACCCTGGGTGGATTGTGGTAACGTTGAACTATTCCGGAATGTTTTTTTGGGTCCGTCACATTTGAGTCCAATTAGCTTTAGGCTAGTTATCATCACCTTAGGACACTTTTGTCAATTCTCCTTCCTTTGGGGAAGATGTGGTCAATGTCTTTTCCTTTTTCTATTAGGAAGAAGCAACACTAGTCATTTATTAACCCAAGTAGCACTTAGTCCTTACCCCCATTGCTTTGGTGCCTTCTTTTAGGATAAATCTTCTCAGCATTTTAACAGAGATATTGTATAGCAGTTATAGAGGATGAATGGACTCCTTTGCTATAGAGAAATATAGAGAACAAGTAATACTAATGATTATTTTGAGATAAGGCACTTGAAATGGAAGCCTCTGATTTTCCACTGCTTAGCAATTCCTTGCAAAAAGCTTTTTGCATCAACCCACTGACACTATTCTCTGCTAAACAGCAATAACTTCCTGGCAAAAGCCAAAAGCTACCTCTTAGATTTTATTCTTCTGTAATGACCTTAAAATGAGACTGAGTAGATACCTTTTGATGTAGCTGACCCACTCCCATTATTTTCGTCTTTCCTAGAGAAGTAAACTGTAACAGAAAAATGTAAAATGTGGTATGGGGTGTAAAAGTGTAGAGGTTTTGTATGCAAGTGAGGTTGGGTTGTCATCAGCTTAAAATAGGTATATCTACAAGATTTTTTATTTAAGCCTCATGGTAAATACAAAAGAAAGCCTATAGCAGCAACCTACAGAATGGGAGAAAATCTTTGCAATCTACCCATCTGACAAAGGGCTTAATATCCAGATTCTACAAAGAACTTAAACCAATTTACAAGAAAAAAAAAACCCCATCAAAAAGTGGGCAAAGGATATGAACAGACACTTCTCAAAAGAAGACATTTATGCAGCCAACAGACACATGAAAAAATGCTCATCATCACTGTTCATCAGAGAAATGCGAATCAAAACCACAATGAGGTACCATCTCACACCAGTTAGAATGGTGTTCATAAAAAAGTCAGGAAACAACAGGTGCTGGAGAGGATGTGGAGAAATAGGAACACTTTTACACTGTTGGTGGGACTGTAAACTAGTTCAACCATTATGGAAGACAGTGTGGCGATTCCTCAGGGATCTAGAACTAGAAATACCATTTGACCCAGCAATCCCACTACTGGGTATACACCCAAAGGATTATAAATCATGCTACTGTAAAGACACATGCACACGTATGTTTATTGTGGCACTATTCACAATGGCAGAGACTTGGAACCAACCCAAATGTCCATCAATGATAGACTGGATTAAGAAAATGTGGCACATATACACCGTGGAATACTATGCAGCCATAAAAAAGGATAAGTTCATGTCCTTTGCCAGGACATGGATGAAGCTGGAAACCATCATTCTCAGCAAACTATCACAAGGACAGAAAACTAAACACCTCATGTTCTCACTCATAGGTGAGAGTTGAACAACTAGAACACGTGGACACAGGGTGGGGAACATCACACACCAGGGCCTGTCAGGGGGCTGGGGGAGGAATAGCATTAGGAGAAATACCTAATGTAAATGATGAGTTGATCGGTGCAGCAAACCAACATGGCACATGTGTACCTATGTAACAAACTTGCACGTTGTGCACATGTACCCTAGAACTTAAAGTATTAGAAAAACCAAAAAAAACCCAAAACAAAACAAAGAAAGCCTATAGCAGATGTGAAAAAGATAAAAAAAAAATCAAAGCATATCACTACAAAAATTCAACAAATCACAAAGGAAACCAGCAAGATTGGAAGAACAAAGGAACTACAAAACAGTCAGTAAACAAATACCAAAATGGCAATACTAACTCTTCACTTGTCAAACATTACCTTAAATGTAAATAGATTAAATTCTCCAATCAAAAGACAGAGTGGTTGAATGAATAAACAAATAAGACCCAACTCTATGGAACCTATAAGAGACTCACTTCACCTTTAAAGACACTCTTAGACTAAAAGTGAAGGGATGGAAAAAGATATTCCACACAAAGGGAGACCAGTGCATGGGTAGCTATCTTATATGTGTCAAGATAGACTTTAAGTAAAAAATCGTAAAAAGAGACAAAGTAATTATATAGTGATAAAGGGGTCAATTCATCAAAAGGACATAACAATTGTAAATATATATGCACCCGACATTGGAGCACCATATAAATGTGTGCATATATATAATATTAATAGATATGAAGGGAGCAATAAACTGCAATTCAATAATAGTAGGCAACTTCAATATCCCACTTTCAGCAATGGACAGATCATCCAGACAGAAAATCATTAAGGAAATCCTGGACTTGAACTACACTGTAGACCTAATAGACCTAATATACAAATAAAGAACATTTCTTCTAATAGTAGCAGAATACACATTCTTCTCAAGTACTAATGGAACATTCTCCAGGATACATCATATATTAGGCTCCTCTCAAGTTGTATTAGTCCATTTTGTGCTGTAATAGAATACCACAGACTGTGTAATTTATTGGCTCAAAGTTTTGGAAGCTGGGAAGTCTAAGATTGAGGAGTTGGCATCTGGCAAGGGTCTTACTGTTGTGTCATCCCATGGTGGAAAGGCAAAGAGATGGTGAGAGATAGAGAGGCAAAAGAGGACCAAACTCTTCCTTTTATAATGAACCGATTCCCTCAATAACAAAGCCACTCCAGTGATAAGGCATTAATCCATTCATGAGAGCAGAGACATCATGGATGAATCACTCTTAAAGGTCTTGCCTCTTAATATTGATAAAACGGCAACTAAATTTCAACACGATTTGGGAGGGGACAAACCTTCAAACCATAGCATTTATCCCATAGTCCCCCAAAACATATGTCCTAATATACAAAATGCAGTCATTCTATCCCTAGAGACCCAAAGTCTTAACTTGTTCCAGCAACAGCTCAAAAGTCCAAAGTCAAGAGTATCATCTAAATCAGATATAGGCATGAGATTCAAGGCATGATTCATCCTGAGATAAGTTTCCCTCCAGCTGTGGGCCTGTGAAATCGAATAAGTTTTGTGCTTCCAAAACACAATAGTGTGACAGGCATAGGATAGATATTTTCATTCTAAAAGGGAGAAATAGCAACAAAGAAAAACTCAACTGGGTAAAGAATGTTAAATCTCAAGTCTACAGAATAATCTTGCTTGACTCCATGTTCCACTTCCTGGACACATTGGCATCCAGATAGGAAATGAATCCTATGTATAGAAAACCCCATAGACATGATGACATGATCCTATATATAGAAAATCCCATAGATTCCACCAAAAAACTATTAGAACTAATAAGCAAATTCAGTAAGGTTTCAAGGTTAAAAACCAACATGCGGCTGGATGTGGTGGCTCATGTCTATAATCCCAGCACTCTGGGAGGCCAAGGCAGGTGGATCGCTTGAGGTCAGGAGTTCGAGACCAGCCTGGCCAACATGGTGAAACCTTGTCTCTACTAAAAATACAAAAATTAGCTGGGCATGGTGGCACACATCTGTAATCACAGCTACTCAGGAGGCTGAGGCATAAGAATCACTTGAACCTGGGAGGTGGAGGTTGCAGTGAGCTAAGATCATGCCACTGCATTCCAGCCTGGGGTGACAGAACAAGACTCCATCTCAAAAAAAAAAAAAAAAAAAAAGAAAGAAAAAAAGAAAAAGAAAAAATCAACATGCAAGAATCAGAAGGTTTTCTTTGTACTAACAATGAACTATCCAAAAAATAAATTAAGGAAACAAACCCAGTTACAGTAGTATAAAAAATATGTAGAAACAAATTTAACCAAGGAGTTAAATGATTTATATACTGAAAACTACAAACCATTGATAAAAGGAATGGAAGAAAACACAAATAAATGAAAAGCTATTTCATGTTCATGGATTGGATGAGTTAATATTGTTGAAATATCCATACTACCCAAATCAGTCTATGGATTCAATGCAATCTCTATCAAAATTCAATCTATTTCTCACAGAAATAGAGAAAAAATCTGAAATTTGTGTGGAATCACAAAAGACCCCAACTAGCCAAAGCAATCTTCAGCAAAATGAACAAAGCTGAAGTCATCACACTATATAATCTTGAAATATATTACAAAGCTATAATAATCAAAACAACATGGTATTGCCATGAAAACAGACTCAGTGACCAATGGAACAGACTGAAGAACTCACAAATAAACCTGCACATTTATGGTCAACAGATTTTTGGCAAAGATGCCAAAAGCACACAATGGAGAAAGGACAGCCTCTTCAATAAATGGTGTTGAGACAACTGGGTATCCACATGCAGAATAATGAAATTGGACCCTTTTCTCACACCATATACAAAAATCAACTCAAAATGCATTAAAGACCACTCTGCTTATCCTTTACTTCCTACTTGTGCAGAGTCTGAACATTATCCGAAGGTGAGACCTTAGGATGTTTTCAGGTCTTTTCTGAGCATGTGTCTAGCCCAGGGCATGTCTGTGGCCTTCTAGATTATCAGAAATATGTGGGAGTTTGTTACTCAAAGCATCTCATTCCCTGGCCTTTTCTCCCAAACTTTTCAGTTAGTCTATTATTTGTCCCAACCATTATTCCTTGCCTCAGAAATCAATGACTATTATGTTTTTTCCTTTACATGTTTTTGACAAATGCCACTGCTTACCTGAGCTCCGGGATAGTTCTGTTTTAGGCGAGGTAAAGGCAGGTTCTCTGAGCAGTTTCTCTATGGAACCACCAGGTAGATCTAACAAGCAGCTGCAGTTCTTTGAGGATAAGATTTGCTTTGCTCCCTCTGTTACTGGGTACCTATACAGAGAATGAAGGCTGTTTTATTCAAGGGCACTGACGAGCTGGGGAGTGGGAAATGAGACTAGGATAAATTAAAATGTCACAAAAATCTGTTTCCAACATTTCCTTGTGTTTTCTTGATCAAGCATCCCTTGGTTGCTGCAAGTTTTCGTTAATTTTCAGAGTTGTGAGAATGTTGCTTCTGAAAGTTTTTTCCAGCTTATTAATTGCTTGGTGTTCCCCACTGTGCCATTTTCACTGATGTCACCTCTAACCATGTCGTTTTAGATTACTTTCACTGACATAAGTCTTATATCTTAGGAATGAGTCTTTTGGGTTCCCACATGCTCACTGCATTGGAACTCTCCTCTAACCTTCTCCATGAGCTTTCCATATCCTGCACTTGGCTTTTGTCCCATTCCTAATTTAAACTTCTATTCCTCAGTGGAATTAAAATGGTGCCCAGAAATCCAACTGAAGTATTGTTAAACTTGAATACCTCACTGCTCCCTTCCAACTTCCTCCCCTTTAGTCTTCCCCCAAAGCCAGTCCAACCCAGCTGAACCAAATCAACCAACCCATTAAAACATGGAAAACTCCAAATCCAAATCTGTTACTATATTGAGGGGTGGGTGTAGAGATAGAAATGGTAGACAAAGATCACTGGCTCAGTTCGCAAGGAGCTCATTTTTTTGCTTGGACTATTATGAAGATTTCTTATTCGGTCATCTGTCCTCTAATATTCATTATTCATTTCATTGCTCCTTCAGCCTATTCCCCACATCTCAGCCACAGCAATTCTTCATATATCATCATACCATTTTAGAGGCTCCCTACTGACTTTAGAATAGTCTGCAAACATACAAGAGGCTTTCACGATGTGCCCTCCAGCTTCCTTTCCAGGCTAATTTCTCAAACCATACTCCAGCCATTTCTGGTCAGTTTCAGTTCCACCAATAAGTCATTTTTTTGTATGTTTTTGTCATATTCATCTTTGTAACTGTAGATTCTAAGCACTGTGCATGGTACATTTTTTTTTTTTTTTGGAGCTCAGTGACTGTCAAATAAATGTATAAGTACAACGAAGTTTCTATGTGTTCCTGCAGTTTGCAAACAGCTAAACTGACTGGATTTCATTTCATGCTATTTGAGGTCTTAGTATAGGAGCTCATGGCATTCATAAAATTAGTATTAATAGATAATTTAGAAAAGTGTCTAGTATGTAACATTGTGCAATAAATGTAGTCATGATTGTAGTTTTATTACTACTGTCCTAAAGAGCAAGCTGAAACTCCAAATTTGAATGGTAAGTCTGGAATGCAACGACTTAAAATCTAGGCTATGTGAATACACGAAATTCACTTCAGGGACCCTGCAGAACATCTCAAGGTGATAAACAGAGATCTTATAAAATAACTGACACTCAAGCTTAAGAGGATATCTTATGGCCACCTGAACCATTAGGAAGAGAAGGGAAACCCAACAGTGGTTTCAAACAGGAGCTCAAATTGGGCAGATGCTGAGAACTGCAGGCCTTGGTTTTTCACGGTGCCACAACTCACAAGGCCAACAGCCCCGCTGGTGTTTACTTACTTAAATGGATGGAAGATTCTCTCAGGCAATGCCAGGTAAGCCTCCTAGACGCCTGTATTGTGCCGAAATGCGTAGGACAAGAGTGGATCGTCTCAACTATACCATGGTTACTAGTAAAACATTCCTGGCAATGGGAGAACCCAGGACGAGGGAGTCGCGAATGGTAACCAGGCCAGGGCTTCGGGCACTCGCGTCACCCTCTTAGCACAGGGACAGGGGGGCGTGGTTCTGCAGGCAGCGCCCTGAGCGGGGGGCCTGGCAGCCTCGGGAGCCCGGTGGGGTCTGCTTCCTCGGTGGCGTCCTTCATCCCCCCTCGCGGGGTTCTAACGCCCAAGAGCGGGGCTGTGCTAGAGACTCGCGCGGATACGTGAGGTGCGGTGGGGCTCCCGTGGCACCACGGAGCCTGCAGGCTCCCAAGACGAGGGTGGGGTAGGGGCTGACAATGATGCCGCTCTTTCCTGGCTGCGTGGGCATCATCCTCTGTCCTTGGGCCTGGCGCACCCAGGAGGAAGAGGCTGTGCTTGATCTGTCGGCGGATTGATCACGTGGTGGCCCCACTGCTAACCCCAGACACACCCCCGCTTAGAAGCAGCATCATTGTCAGAAGCTCCTTGCCACTTAGAATCCTCTGCAAGATGTGGTGGGTACAGCACTGCACTTAAATCCTTTGGTCCTCAGTTTATTCTTTTGTAGAGTGGAGATGATACCTGCTCAGGTACCTCATATGCTCATGCTGCAGAACTTTGAAAACCAAAGATGTTTTACAAACACATTCCACTGCAATTACAAACATATTCCACTGGGATAACCAGCTCTTGAACTCCGCCAAGAGGCCTGCCCATAAACCCTGCAGAATGACTTGTCAGAGGGCTTCCCAAATAGCCAACACATTCTCCTAGCACCCTGGGAACCCCACCTTGAATAGTACCCCACACATGCCCATGCACAGCTCAGAATGAGCTCCCACAGACAGCACTTGGATCTCAACAGCAGCTGTGGATCTTACCAACTGGCTTGACACTGCTGCTTTGAAAGAAGATGAGGCAGGGCGTGGTGGCTCACGCCTGTAATCCCAGCACTTTGGGAGGCCCAGGAGGGCGGATCACCTGAGGTCAGGAGACCGAGACCATCCTGGCTAACATGGTGAAACCCTATCTCTACTAAAAATACAAAAAAATTAGCTGGGCATGGTGGCATGCCCCTGTAGCCCTAGCTACTTGGGAGGCTGAGGCAGGAGAATCTCTTGAACCTGGGAGGCAGAGGTTGCAGTGAGCCGAGATTGTGCCACTGCACTCCAGCCTGGGCAACAGAGTGAGACCCTATCTCAAAAAAAAAAAAAAAAAAAAAAAAAAAAAAAGATGCACAACCTTTAAAACTTCAGGACATTGCCTTAGGGAAAATAAATGGCAGGCTCTCAGCATCAGGCCTGACTTTGGATTGAAAGAAGGCACACAATCCTGAGACTTGCCCACTAAGAAGGAACAAGAGAAATAGAGTGTGCACATTATAGAAAAAGTACATGAGGCCCCAAGAATCTCTGGCTGGGCTCACTGTGAAGGTCTTTCTCTACTGAAGAAAACCAGTAAAGATTAGAAACATTGACTGCTTCTTCAAATGTGAAGACAGTAATGCAAAGCTTTGAGGAACACAAAGTATCAAGGAAATAGGACACCACCAAAAGAACAAAGTGAAGCTCTTGTGGTTGACCTTTAAAATTGGATATCTATGAACTGCATGACAAAGAATTCAAAATAATCATCTTAAAGAACATCAGTGAGCTGCAAGAGAACATAGAGACAATTTAACAAAACCAGGAAAACAATAAACACACACAAAATGATGTTTAACAGAGAAAAATTGTGAAAACACTGGCATACATTTAACCAAGGAAATGCCAAAGTTGTACACTGAAAACTATAAAATGTTGATGAAAGAAATTAAAGTAGACACAAATAAATGGAAAGATATCCCATGTTCATAGATTGGAAGAACTAATATTGTTAAAATGTCTATTCTATCAAAAGCAGTATACTTCACAGAAATAGAAAAAACAATCTTAAAATTTGTATGGACTCACAAAAGACTCTGAATAGCCATAGCAATCTTGAGCAAGAACAAAGCTGGAGGCATCACACTTCCTGATTTCAAACTATATTACAAAGCTATAGTAAAGAAAGCAGAGTGGTACTGACATAAAAACAGATATATAGACTAATGGAACAGAACAGAGAGAACAGAAATAAACCCATGCATAGATGGCCAGCTAATTTTCAGCAAAGGCAGAAAGACTACATAATGGGGAAAGGGTAGTCTCTTCAATAAATGTTGTTAGTAAAACTGGATATTAACATGGAAAAGGATGAATTGGAGCCTTATTTTATATCAAACACAGAAATTAAGTAAAAATGAATAAAGTAATTTATTTTAAAATCTGAAACCCTAAGACTCCTAGAAGAAAACACAGAGAGAAAGATCCTTAACATTTATCTTGGCAATGATGTCTTTTGGATATGACCTGTAAAGCATAGGCAACAAAGCAAAAATAAACAAGTGGGACTACATCAAACTAAAAAGCTTCCACACAGTAAGAAAAACAATGAAAAAGCAACCTATGGAATGAGAGAAAATATTTGCAAACCATATATCTGATAAGGGATTTAATATCCAAAATATACAAAGGACACATACAACAGAATAAAAAAAATAAAGCAACCAAATTTAAAAATGGGCAATTTAAAAAAATAGATTTATGGGGTACAAGTGCAGTTCTGTTGCATGAACATATTGTAAGTGGTGAAGTCTGGACCTCGGCTTTTAGTGTACTCATCACCCAAATACTGTGCACTGTACCCAATAGGTAGTATTTCATTCCTCAACTCCCTTCCACACTCTCACCTTTTGGAGTTTCCAATTTGTATTATTCTACTCTGTATGTCCGTGTGTAACAACTTTTTTGCTCCCACTTATAAATGAGAATGTGTGGTTTTTGACTTTCTGTTTCTGAGTCATTTCATTTAGGATAATGGCCGCAGTTTCATTCATGTTGCTGCAAAAGACATGATTTAATTCTTTTCCACAGCAAAGTAGTATTCCACAATATGTATATACACACCACATTTTAAAAATCCAATCATTTATTGATGGGCACTTAAGTTTATTCCATGACTTTCTCAATAGGCATTTCTTAAAAGAGGTCATAGAAATGGCCAAGAAGTATATGCAAATGTGCTCAACATCACTAATAATCAGGGAAATGTAAATCAAAACCATAGTGAGATAGCATCTTACATTTGTTGGGATGGCTATTATTAAAAATCAAAAGATAACAAGTGCTGGTGAGGATGTGGTGAATAGGGAACACTTACACACTGTTGGTGAGAATGTAAATTCTATAGCTGTTATTGAAAACAATATGGAGGTCCCTAGAAAAGTTAAAAATAGAACTGACATATGATCAAACAATCTCACTTTTGGATATATAGCCAAAGGATTTGAAATTTGGCACTTCCATTTTCATTGCAGCATTATTCGTAATAGTCAGATATGGAACAAGCTAAATGTTACCAATGGATGAGTGAATAAATTGTGTGTGTGTGTGTGTGTGTGTGTGTGTAATCTGGCCTTAGAAAAGAAAGAAATCCTTCCATTTGTGAGAACATGAATGGATCTGGAGGATATTAAGTGAAATAAGCCAGACACAGAAAGACAAATAGCTGTACTGTATGATCTCACTATGTGGAATCTAAACTCTTAAATTTTTTTCCATTTTATTTATGTATTTATCCATCTCAGCAATATTTTTTTAAGTTACATAATTTTATTTTTTATAATTTCAAATTTTATTTTAGATTCAGGGGTACACATGCAGGTTTGAAACATGGGTATATTGGGTGATGCTGAGGTTTGGGGTATGATTGATTCCATCACCCAGGTAGTGAGCATTGTACCCACTATGCTTTTTCAACCCTTTCCCCCTTTCTTCCTCCCCCTTTTGATAGTCTTAGTGTCTATTGTTGCAATCTTTATGTCCATGTGTGCACAATGTTTAACTCCCACTTACAAGTGAGAACACGCGGCATTTGGTTTTCTGTTTCTGTGCTAATTTGCCTAGGATAATGGTCTCCAGCTGCATCCATGTTGCTGCAAAGGACATGATTTCACCCTTTTTTATGCCTGTGTAGTATTCCATGGTGTATATATTACATTTTCTTTAGGCAATCCACCATTAATGGGCACTTGGATTGATTTCACGTCTTTGCTATTGTGAATAGTGCTGTGATGGAACTTGTGAATGCATATATCTTTTTGGTGGAATGATTTATTTCCTTTTGGATATATACTCAGTAATGGGATTGCTGAGTTAAATGGTAGTTCTGTTTAAAGTTCTTTGAGCAATCTCCAAACTGCTTTGCACAGTGGCTGAACTAATTTACATTCTCACCAACAGTGTAGAAGTGTTCCCTTTTCTCCTCAACCTCACCAGCATCTGCTGTATTTTTCTTTTAGATAATAGCCTAAAATCGCCAAACTCTTAAAAGCAGAGAGTAGAATAGTAGCTGTCAGTGGCTTGTGGGAGGGATAAATGGGAAGATGATGGTTAAAAGTCACAACATTTTAGTTATGCAAAATAACTAAGCTCTGGAGATCTACTCTATAGCATAGTGCCTGTGGTGAATAAAACTGTATTGTGTGCTTAAAATTGCTAAGGGGATAGCGGTGTGTTAAATGTTAATACCCAAAGAAAAAGTAAAAAGCAATAATAATAAAGGGTGTGGGAAGAACCTTCGGGATGTGATAAATGTGTTTATGGCCTTGATGGTGGTGATAGTTTCATAGGTGTATACCTATCCCCAAACTCACTCAGATCTATGCATTACATATGTATACATTTTTATGTATTAATCATATAAAGTAGCTTAAAATTAAAAAGTGGTTTTAAAAAACCATTTATATTAAATACAAAGGAATGGTTCCTCATGAAGGGAGATATTTGAGAGTAGAGTGTAGAGATAAAGGAAATAAAAATAGGGTAGAGATTTAACAGATCTAATGAGATAATCTCAGTAAAATATTTCATAAAATTCATATTGTGAAAAAACTATGCAGTATCATTATTTGTAGCTAGGACATTAGGCATAAAGAATGCTATAATTTTTTGGAAACTGGACCTTCTAGAAAACTGAAGGCTGAGCTGTTGTTAAAACATTTCGTGTTAACCTAGTGGGCATTAGTTTATGCAGTCTCAACTTTATAAGAATATGGATAATTGAAGTATGCCTTCTCTCTAATGGCAGGTTATGCAAATTTCAAGTGTTCATTCAGGAGAAATTACTCAGAAATAATGTAGTTAGAGTACAGTATGTTTAGAACTATTATTGATCTAGAGAAGACTAGGCTATGGGGCTGCTTATACTTCACGCTAATTTTACTCTTAGTAATGAAATAATGATTTCTTTGAGTCAGCATTTAAAATATTACGCTATCAACCTATGCTTCCTCCTTGCATCCATCTTGCTTATTATGTCTACTTTGGAGAATCTGTCACCACTCCTGGAAGTTTTCTTGGGTGAAATAATTCCTTAACTCAAGACAACCAGATCCAGACTGAGAATGCTCAGTATCTCCAAACAGAAAATGTAACCAGAGTTACGTATTCTATTTTTTTTTTTTTTTTGAGACGGAGTCTCACTCTGTCGCCCAGGCTGGAGTGCAGTGGCCCGATCTCAGCTCACTGCAAGCTCCGCCTCCTGGGTTCACGCCATTCTCCTGCCTCAACCTCCCGAGTAGCTGGGACTACGGGCGCCTGCCACCACGCCCGGCTAATTTTTTGTATTTTTAGTGGAGACGGGGTTTCACCGTGTTAGCCAGGATGGTCTCAATCTCCTGACCTCGTGATCCACTTGCCTCAGCCTCCCAAAGTGTTGGGATTACAGGCGTGAGCCACCGTGCCCCGCCATGTATTCTAATTTTTAATTATAGAACGGGGGAAAGTATATAACAGTATATATATAACTGTTATATACTGTTATATACTGCTTATTATACTGAACTATACACGAATAAATGGTTATAAAGTACTATTACAGGAATCATTTTATCCATAATGAACTGAAACATTTCTGCCTAATAGATAATTTATTCACATAATGATTGAATTTCATTTTCACTTTGCCTATCAGGAAACTTAGTGCAAAAACTGTGTCAATATTGGTAATTCATAGTATTCTAAAACCTATATATCTATGTTATTATTTTCCTCTTGATTTCACAAGGATCATATTCCAAATTGCATATATTGGAATAGTCTAATACATTGGATTGGATCATACAATACTGACAATTTTGTAGATTAAAAATGGTCTGATATCAGCAATTTCAAATGGTTCAACCTAATACAAGGGGTCTTCAAAAAGTTTGTGGGAAATGCATACTATGGAAAAACTACGCACGGATTTCAAAAAATTTTTGCACCAAAATAAACTCACACAAAATTGTTATAACATGTCTTAACAGGATTTAGTTTGAGGCACTTAGAAGGATAAGAAGTCAGTTTGAAAAGAGCCCCTACCAGAGAAACATGAATTCTGCTAAAATTGAAGAAAGAACAAGCATAAAATTGATGTCAAAGCCCGGGTGGAAGACTAATGAATTCATAAACTATTGACGCTTTACAAAAAGTTTATGAGGGGCCAGGTGTGGTGGCTCACACCTGTAATCCCAGCACTTTGGGAGGCCGAGGTGGGTGGATCACTTGAGCCCAGGAATTTGAAACCAGCCTGGGCAATATGATGAAACGGCACCTCTACAAAAAAAATTAGCTAGACCTGGTGGTGTGCACCTATAAGTCCCAGCTACTAAGAAGGCTGATGTGGGAGGATCAGTTGAGGCCAGGAGGTCCAGGCTGCAGTGAGCCATGATCACGCCACTGTGCTTCAGCCTGGGCATCAGAGCAAGACCCTGTCTCAAAAGCAAAACAAAACAAACAAAACAAAACAAAACAAAACACAAGAAAACCAAAAAGTTTATGAAGAGAATGCTCCAGAGAAATAGGCAGTTTACAAATGGAATTTTTTTTAAAGATTTTAAAAGCATCACTTTTATATTTAAATTAAATCAAATTTTAAAATTTCAATAGATTTAGGGGTACAAGTGGTTTTTGTTTATATGACTGAATTACATAGGGGTGATGTTTGGGCTTTTAGCGTACCTATCACTTCAAGAGTGTACATTGTATCCAATAGGTAATTTTTCATCCCTCACTCCCCCTCCACCCTCCCGCTTCTGAGTCTCCAGTGTCCATTATAGACCTTTATATGGCCTTGAGAACCGTAACTTAGCCACATTTATAAGTGGGAACATGTATATTTGGCTTTCTGTTCTCTTTTATTGCTGGTGTATAAATATTCCATGGTGTATATATACATATCTCCCATATTTTCTTTATCCACTCATCAGTTGATGGGCACTTAGGTACATTCCATATCTGTATTAGTCAGGGTTCTCTAGAGGCACAGAACTAATAGGATTATATATATATATATATGAGAGTTTATTAAGTAGTATTAACTCGCATGGTCACAAGGTCCCACAATAGTCTGTCTGCAATCTGAGGAGCAAGGAAGCCAGTTCAAATCCCAAAGATGAAGAACTTGGAGTCTGATGTTCGAGGGCAAGAAGCATCCAGCATGGGAGAAAGATGTAGGTTGGGAGGCTAAGCCAGTCTCTAGCCTTTTCACGTTTTTCTGCCTGCTTTATATCCGAGCTGCGCTGGCTGATTAGATGGTGCCCAGCCCACTGACTCAAATGTTAATCTCCTTTGGCAACACCCTCACAGACACACTGAGGCGCAATACTTTGCATCCTTCTATCCAAAAGAAGTTGACATTCAGTATTAACCATCACAGTATCTTTGCAATTGTGAATTGTGCTGTGATAAACATATAAGTACAGGTAACTTTTTGATATGACTTCTATTCCTTTGGATAGATACCCAGTAGTGGGATTGTTGCATTGAATGGTAGACTTACTTGTAGTTCTTTGAGAAACCTCCATACTGTTTTCCATAGAGGTTATTCTAATTTACGTCCCATCAACAGTGCATAAGCATTTCCATTTAACTGCATCCTCACCAACGTCTATGGGTTTTTGACTTTTCAATAATGGTCATTGTTACTGGGGTAAATTCTGTGAAAAATGACATTGGTTTCTTGATAGGAATTTCATTGAATCTGTACACTTCTTTGAACAGTATGGTCATTTTCACAATATTGGTTCTTCGAATCTACGAGCATGGGATGTTTTTCCATTTGTGTCATCTGTGATTTCTTTTTACCAGTGTTTTGTAATTCTCCTTGTACAGATCCTTCAACTCCTTGGTTAAGTATATTTTTAGGTGTTTTTTTCTATAGTTATTGTAAATGGGATTGAGTTCCTGATTTGATTCTCAGCTTGGTTGTTATTAGTATATAGCAGTGCTACTGATTTGTGTATGTTGATTTTGTAACCTGAGACTTTACTGAATTCATTTATCAAATCTGGGAGTCTTTTGGAGGAGTCTTTAAGGTTTTTAAGGCATAAGGTCATATTACTAGCAAAGATAAATAATTTGACTTCCTCTTTTTCAATTTGGATGCGCCTTATTTTTTTATTTTTCTTTTGCCTGATTGCTCTGGCCAGGACTTTGAGTACTATGTTGAATAGGAGTAGTGAAAGTGGGCATTCTTGTCTTGCTCCAGTTATGAAGGGGAATGCTTTTAATTTTTTCCCATTCAGTATGATGTTGGCTGTGGGTTTGTCACATATAGCTTTTATTATTATTTAATTTTTTTTTTTGAGACAAGGTTTCTCTCCCTTCGCCCAGGCTGGAGTGCAGTGGCGTGCTCTCAGCTCACTGCAGCCTCTGCCTCCTGGGTTCAAGTGATTCTCCTGCCTCAGCCTCCCGAGTAGCTGGGAGCTCAACTCCCGAGTAGCTGGGAGTACAGAAACCTGGCTAATTTTTTATTTTTAGTAAAGATAAAAATTAGCCAGGTTTGGTGGAGGGGGTTTCACCATGTTGGCCACGCTGGTCTCTAACTCTTGACCTCAAGTGATCTGCCTGCCTCAGCCTCCCAAAGTGCTGGGATTACAGGCTTAAGCCACTGCGCCCAACCTCTTTTATTATTTTGAGGTATGTTTCTTCTATGCCTAGTTTGTTGAGGGTTTTTTATCATGAAGAGATGCTGAATTTTATCAAATGCTTTTTCTGTGCCCTTTGAGTCTATCATATAGTTTTTGTTTTAAGTTCTTTTTATGTGGTGAATTACATTTATTGACTTGCATATGTTAAACTATCATTGTGTCCCTGGGATGAAATCCACCTGATCTTGGTGAATTAATTTTTTGGTGTGCTGTTGGATTCAGTTTGCTAGTATTTTGTTGAGGATTTTCACATTTAATTTTATCAGGGATTTAGGTCTGTAGTTTTCCTTTTTTTGTTGTGTCCTTTCCTGGCTTTGGTATCAGGGTGCTACCGGCTTTGTAGAATGAGTAAGAGAGAATTCCCTTTTTCTTAGTTTTTTGGGATATTTTAAGTATGTCAGTTATTTGAAGGTCTGGTAGAATTTGGCTGTGAATCTGTCTTGCCCTGGGCTCTTTTTTTGTTCTTGTTGGGAGATTTTTTAAAATTACCGATTCAATCTCAGTACTTATTATTGGTTTGTTCAGGATTTCTATTTCTTCTTGATTCAAGCTTGGGGATTGCATGTTTCCCAGAAATTGTCAATTTCCTCTAGATTTTCTAGTTTGTGTGCATAGAAATGTTCGTAGAAGTCTTGGATGATCTTCTGTATTTCCGTCTAATCACTTGTAATGTCTCTATTTTCATTTCTGATTGAGCTTATTTGAATCCTCTCTATTCTTTTTTTTTTTTTTTTTTTTGAGGCGGAGTCTTGCTCTGTCCCCCAGGCTGTAGTGCAGTGGCGCGATCTCGGCTCACTGCAAGCTCCGCCTCCCGGGTTCACGCCATTCTCCTGCCTCAGCCTCTCGAGTAGCTGGGACTACAGGCGCCCGCCACCACGCCCGGCTAATTGTTTTTTTTTTTTTTTTTTTTTTGTATTTTTAGTAGAGACGGGGTTTCACCATGTTAGCCAGGATGGTCTCGATCTCCTGACCTCGTGATCCGCCCGTCTTGGCCTCCCAAAGTGCTGGGATTACAGGCGTGAGCCACAGCGCCCGGCCTTCTTTTCTTGGTTAATCTAGATATTTGTCTGTCAATTTTGTTTATCTTTTCAAAGAATCAGCTTTTCATTTCATTGATCCTTTGTATTTTTTTTTTTTTTTAGTTTCAATTTCATTATTCTACTCTGATCTTAGTGATTTCTTTTATTCTAGCTTTGGTTTTGGTTTGCTCTTATTTTTCTAGTTCCTTCAGGCATGTTTCTAGGCTCTCAATTTGTGATCTTTCTGTCTTTTTGATGTAGACATTTAGGACTACAAACTTCCATCTTTTTTTTTTTTTTTTTTTTTTTGAGATGGAGTCTAGCTCTGTTACCCAGGCTGGAGTGCAGTGGCACAATCTCGGCTCACTGCAACCACCACCTCCCCGATTCAAGCGGTTCTTCTGCCTCAGCTTCCTGAGTAGCTGGGACTACAGATGCCCACCACCACGCCCAGCTAACTTTTGTATTCTTAGTAGAGATGGGGTTTCACCATGTTGGCCAGGCTAGTCTTGAACTCCTGACCTCAAATGATTCACCTGCCTTGGCCTCCCGAAATGCTGGGATTACAGGTGTGAGCCACTGTGCCTGGCCCAAACTTCCCTGTTAGCACTACTTTTGTGATATCCTAGAGATTTTGATAACTTGTGCCATTGTTATCAATAATTTCAAAAAATTTTTAAATTTCCATTTTTATTTCATCATTGATCCAAAGCTCATTCAGGTGCAGGTTGTTTAATTTCCATGTATTTGTATGATTTTGAGAGTCATCTTGGAATTGATTTCTAGTTTTATTTTGCTGTGGTCTGAGAAGATATGTAATATAATTTCAACCTTTTAAAAATTATTGAAGCTTTTTTGTGGCCTATCATGTGATGTATCTTGGAAAATATTCCATGTGCTGATGAGAAGAATGTATATTATGCAATTTTTTTTGCTAGAATGTTCTGTAAATGTCTGTTAGGTCCAGTGTTTCTTTGTTGACTTTCTGCCTTGATGATCTGCTTAGTGCTGCCAGTGGACTGTTGAAGTCCCCCACTATTATTATATTGGTGTCTTCTCTTTTCTTAGATCTAGTAGTTTTATGAATCTGGTAACTCTGATATTACGTGCATATATATTTGGTATTTTTATATCGTTGGGTCTATAAGACTCTTTACTAGTCTCTTGAAGGCAGTAGATATTTGGATTGTGTTTTCAAAATCCATTCCACCATTGATATCTTTCAAGTGGGGCATTTATATCATTTACATTCAAAGTTGATATTGATATGTAAGGTACTGTTCCAGTCATCATGTTGATTGTTACCTAGTTGCTTTTATTTTCCATTGTGCTACTGTTTTTTAATCCCTGTGAGTTTTATACTTTTAAGTGTTTTTATACTGGTGCATATGGATATTTCGTTTTGATGTTTAGAACTCTTTTGAGTATTTTTTGCAAGACTGATCTAATGGTGGCAAATTCCCTTAGTGTTTGCTTATCTGGGAAGGACTTCATTTATGAATCAGTTTTGCAAGATACAAAGTTCTTGGCTGACAGTTATTTTGTTTAAGAAGACTAAAGCTAGGACCCCAATTCCTTCTGGATTGTCAGGTTTCTACTGAAAAATCTGCTGTTAGTCTGATAGATTTTTCTTTTTAAGTTATTTGATGCTTTTGTCTCACTATTCTTAGAATTCTTTCTTCATGTTGCCTTTAGGTAGCTTGATGACTATATGCCTTCCTAATGTCCTTTCTGCAATGCATCTTCCAGAAGTTCTTGAGATTTTGAATCTGGATGTCTAAGTCTCTGGCAAGACTAGGGAAGTTTTCCTTAATTATTCTCTCAAAAATAGGTTTCCAAACTTTTTGCTTTTTCTTCTTCTTTCTCAGGAATATCTATGAGTAATATCTATGATTCTTTTTTTTCTTTTTTCTTTCTTTTGAGACAGAGTCTCACCCTGTCACCCAGGCTGGAGTGCAGTGGCATGATCTTGGCTCACTGCAACCTCCACTTCCTGGGTTTAAGTGATTCTTGTGCCTCAGCCTCCCAAGTAGCTGGGTTTATAGGCACATGCCACCATGCCTTGCTAATTTTTGTATATTTTGTAGAGACTGGGTTTTGCCATGTTGCCCAAGCTGGCCTCAAAGTCCTGAGCTCAAGCAATCTGCATGCCTTGGCCTCCCAAAGTGCTGGGATTACAGATGTGAGCCACTGAGCCTGGCCAGGAATATCTATGATTCTTAGGTTTGGACCTTTTGCATAATCCCATATTTTTTGGAAACTTTGTTTATTTATTTTTGTATGATTGAATTAATTCAAAAGCCATGTCTTCAAGCTCTGAAATGATTTTTTTCTGCTTGGTACAGTTTATTGTTAATACTTTCCACTGCATTTTGTAATTCCCTAAATTAGTCTTTCATTTGTAGATGTTCTGTTTTATTTAAAAAAGTATTTATCTCTTTGGAAAATTTTTCATTCTTATCCTGAATTTATTTTTGATTTCTTTTTGTTAGATTTAAAATTTTTCTTGGATCTCATTGAGCAACTTTACAATCAATATTTTGAATTCTTTATCTGGTATTTCAAATATTTCATTTTGGTTTGGATCCACTGCTGAAGAGTTAATATGATCCTTTCAGGGTGTTGCAAGGTTCTGCTTTTCTATATTGCCAGAATTATTTTTCTGGCTTCTTCTCATCTGGATAGACTATTTCTTTTCATTATTTTTGAATTTATTTTTTGATTGGACTAAGTTTTCTTTTTATACCTTGAGGATGTGACAATAATGTACAGTTTATGATGACCTAACTTCAGCTCTGGGTGGTGCTTTCAGTGGCAAAGACACTGTATGAGTTCCTTGGTTATAGAGAATCTTTATATTATAGCTTTCTCAGATGTTGCTCATAGTAGTGATGTACTGGGTGTATGAGCAGGCTTATTGTCTCCTTTGGGGTCAGAATGGCAGAGTTCTCAGGAAACTTATCTTGTTCCCCAGTGGTGTGCATTCCATTTTTTTTTTTTTAAACTGGGTTGAGCAGTTTAGCCTTCAGGCCAGCAGGAGGCACCTGTGGGTAAGAATTGGCTGTGGCTGAAGCAGGTGGGTATATTCAATACCCCATTGGTGAGCAAAAGCCCTATCCCTGATGAGGCAGCTGGGGGAGCTCCTGGTGAAATTCACTGACGCCTTTGCAGTGGGGGGACGGAAACAGCCACTTTATTTCCAGTACCAGGCCAGGAGGAAAGTGATCAAACTCCCTGTCACACCCTTGTCCTAGTACTCTGGATATTCAGATCAGACAGGGACCTCGTCCATCTGCAGAAATGCTGATGTTTCTTGTATAGAGGGAGTGGGACTCCACTCCTCATGCAATCCTGAACCCAGAGGGCACACCTCCTATGGTGATGCTGTCACCTCAGAATGTTCCATAAAAGCCTTCTACAGGTGCACCCTTGCCAAGCTCCCATGGGAGAAGCTCTGGTGGTGTCTTCAGTGGTGGGTGAGAGAGATAAAAAGTCCCTTTATGCAAAATGGTGAGAGGTATGAAAAGTCCCTTTATAAGCACCAGGGCTATTCAACTGCTAGGGCAGAACCAGTCTTCCCCTACTAAGCCCAAGACTGCACCCGTGCCTTTGTTGAAGGAGGTGCAGGTGCTTCCTGCCCACAGTGGGAAGATCTGGGACACAGAAAAGCCCACATTCTAGTTTCTTTTGTTCCCCAGAGTGCTCCCTTGATGTGGTACACTCCTCCTTCCCCCAGGAGTGGCAGTCTTGGAGAGCAAGACTACTGTGAATCCTGATGCTCCTCTGGCTCTAGCCATCACCTCGCGGGTCTGCCGCAATCCAGGCTGATGCTGGGAAATGTCAGCAAGTGATCTGGGGATGTGAAGACACAAGGGTTGAAAGTCCCATAGCAGAACAATGTCCCATAATGATTGCACATCCAGTATGGCACTTGCTTCTATAGCTCAGGTCTAGGGGGAAAGGAAGGAACATGCACAAGCTGGTAGCCCAGTGTAATGCCCTTAAGAAGCCCCCAAATCACAGGCCAATCCAATACTTGGGCTTACAAGTCCAAATAAGCTCTCCTTGAGTTTGGATACCAGCAGGCTGCCACAAGGCCTACAGAGGCTGAAAGCATTCCATTCACTTTCCACAGAATGCTCTGTCTCTTGGGGTTTAAGCTCTACCAGCTTCTTGTTTCTTTCTTTTTTTGTGTATCATAGATTTTTCCAGTGAACTCTCCAAAAAGCTCCAGCACTCTCCCCTTAATACTCCATTTGCGCTGTGATCATCCAAGTGTAATTTTGGTTTTTCCTTCCCAGAATTTGTCACTGATAATCTCTAGTCAGCCATCTGGAGAAGCTCTCGGATGCTTCAGGCTATGGAGTGGTCTGTGAGATGTGCAGTAGCCTGGACTCCACTCTTATGCTCCAGAGGTGATGTTGAGTGGAGCTGGACCAGGCTGACCCATCCTATGGTTTCCCAGTGGCAGGTTCAAGTACCAGCTCTAATGATGGTGGCACGGGAGTGGCTTACACTCTGTAAGATTTCCTTGGTTGTAAATAGCCTTGGCATTGTGGCTTTCTCCATTGTTAGATGTAGTAGTAATGTGTTGGGCATGTGAATGGGCTCAAGGCCTCCTGAGTAGCTTTGGTGGTGCAGTCAATAGTGTTAGCTGAGATCATGCAAAAGCCTTTTTCTTCTTGAGTGCTGTTATTGTGCCATCAGATATTGTAGTGGGCTAGGCCAGTTGACCTCTGGCCAGGATGTGGTGCGTGCAGTAGAGAGCCAGCTGCAGTGGCAGCTGTGGAATTTATGCTTGGTCTATATTACCCAGGGTAAATACTCAGATATCCTAGGCAATGGGTGAGCCCATGGAACTCTCAAAAATTCCTGTCCATGTTCTGCTACCAAAGCGAGTGGAAGGGCAAAGCCAGGTGAGGGTTGGATCAGGCAAGTCAGTGCTCTAGCTCCTCAAGTGTGGGTACAAATGGTGGCCCTGATGGGGGTCAGAGGGCAGCTCCCTGGCCACTGGGACAATGATGCGGGGAGGGGTACAACCACTTTTGCTGCACAAAAGTGTCTGTATGGGGAAAAGGGGTAGCAGGTGGCAGTAAGACCCACCCAACTCCCATGCCTTTGGCACAGTAGGTCTCACATACACAAACTTCTGCTGGCAGAAAGCTGAAACAGCCAGCTGAGTTCCAGACAGTTCATGCTCAGAATGCAAAACTTCCCAACCAAGACAGAAACAGAAGGATGTGGCCTGAAAGCCACATCCTTCCCAATATGACCTGCAAAACAGGGGCGCCTAATTTTGGACCTGTAGCAAGAGCATGCTTTCTTCTTGCCTCTTGGTTCTGGCCTTGAGATTATTGAGATTACATCTCATTCTTACTTGAGATGAGATCACACATCTCAGTTTGGAGCTTCTCTCAACCTATGACCACTGCCTGAGTTAGCTGGCAAGTTTCTGAAAGATTCCCTGTGAGTTAGGATCAGGAATGCCTTCTTTCTGTCCCCACTGACATCTGGGAGTTCATGCAAAGCACATCCTGATGCCATTCCTTTTCATATACTCCCCACTACTCACCAAATTAGCTCCAGCTCCTGGTAGGGTCAAGTCACTCCCTCATGGCCTGGATTGCACAGCTCCCAAGTGGGAATTTGTATCATGGAGACAGTCTGTCTCCCTTTCATGTTCTCAAGACTCATAGTTTTCCAACGGACTCATAGTGCAAGTTGCTGTCTGCCACTCCTTTCAAGGTATTCAAAGTTTGTTTCAGTGTTTCTGTTGAGTTCCTGTGCTCCTTCTTGGATAAAAGTTCATAGCATGAATCTACACACTATATTGCTCTTATCAAGTGGGTGCAATGTGCTAACAAAGACTCCAATCTATCATTTTGAAAAACAAACAAAAAATAGATAACTTGTTTTAAGAAGTGATGAGACGATGTTGAAGATGAAACATGCAGACCATCCACATCAATTAACAAGAAAAAAAAGTTCATCTTGTTCATGCCCTAATTGAAGAGGACCCATGATTAACAGTTGGAACAATAGCCAGCACCATAGATATCTCAATTGGTTCTGCTTACACAATTCTGGCTGAAAAATTAAAGTTGAGCAAACTTTCCGCTTGATAGGTCCCCAAACTGTTGTGCCTAGATCAGCTGCATACAAAAGAAGAACTTTCAATAAAAATTTTAAACAAGAGGAATCAAGATCCTGAAGCATTTCTTGGAATAATTTTAATAGGGGGTGAAACATGGCTTTTCCAGTATGATCCTGAAGACAATGCACAGTCAAAGTAATGGCTACCAAGAGGTGGAAGTGGTCCAGTCATAGCAAGTTTGAATCAGTCAAAACCAAATATTATGGTAACAGTTCTTTGGTATGCTCAAGGCATTTTGCTTGTTGACTTTCTGGAGGGCCAAGGAACAGTAACACCTGCTTATTATAAGAGTGTTTTGAGAAAGTTAGCTAAAGTTTTAGCAGAAAAATGCTTGGGAAGGTTTCACCAGAGAGCCCTTCTCCACCACAACAATGCTTCTGCTCGTTCCTCTCGGCAAACAAGGGCAATTTTGTGAGAACTTGGATGGGGAATCATTAGGCATCCACCTCGCAGTCCTGATTTGGCTCCCTTGGATTTATTTTGTTTTCTAATCTTAAAAAATCTTTAAAGGACACCCATTTCTCTTCAGTTAATAATGTAAGAAAATGCTTTACCGACATGGTTAAAATACCAGGACCCTCAGTCCTTTAGAGATGGACTAAATGGCTGGTATTGCTTACAGAAGTGTCTTGACCTTGGTGGATCTTATGTTGAGAAATAAAGTTCATATTTTTCATCTTTTAACTCCATTTTCCACAAACTTTTTGAAGTCTCCTCACATATATCACTATACTATATACTTATAACAATTTATGCTAATAAACATTTTTAAAGTATTTACTCATTTTAGATATATTTTAATTATATTACTACAGGTATTCGTTAAGCTCTTTCAAATCCTATGTGAAATGAAATAGAATATTAAAAAGTAAGTAATTTATAATTAATTATATATTTATCTTTGGTCAATAATTATACAAATACATTTATTATAAAATAAATGTAGCTGTGTGCTTGTGGAGAAAGAAGAGAAATTGAACCTGTTGTTAGCAAGAGAAGCTGCTAGCCATTTCACTGTCTTGAAAGATTTAGAAAGTTACTTGGGCAGATATTTTCTGATTCTTTCCTGAACACTTGAGTGGTTTCTTCAGAAGAATAGTTGTGGAATGCCTGAGAAAGCCTGCTCATCCTGGTAGCTTTTGGTAAACAAAGATTCTTGTTGGCAATAATATAGGCAAGTTTTCACAGATGCCAAGAGCCTCCTGGGAGGAAAGGAACTGATATCCTGTAATTTCCAAATTGGTCTGCCGTAAGGAAAGGCCTCAGAGCTTGCTGTGTCTGACCCCTCAGCCAGAATAGCATATTTACTAATCCTCGGACTTCTTGCATTTGGGAATGAATCTGTTAGGTACAAACAATGCTAGCAACTGAGATTGTAGAGTATGAGTTCTAGTATGGCATATTTCAGTATTGGTGTTGAAGAAAAACTTAGGAACTGAAATAAAAAAAACTCATATAGAGGTTTTTTTCATACTCTATTTTCCCCTATAGGGCTTTAGTTCTTATTTGACCTCTATAATAGCTTTAGGTATGGAAAGCCATCATACTTCAACCTCCTTGTCATTAAATTTGCTTGATAGGGTTCTGCCCATGATGTGTGACAAAATAAACTTCCAGGGAGTAGGACAGGCTGACCTTTGAACATACTGTGATGTCTTAGGCCTTTGCTCTATATCTTTTGTGTTTGTGCATATGAGTGATATCCTCCAAGACCTACCAGCTAGTTACTCAATCAAGTATTTAAAGTGTTCTTATTTACTCCTATAGCCTATAAAAACAAAACTTCCAGATATGTACTGAGCTGTCACATCAATAAAGCATAAGCAGGATTTGAAATAGAGATATGTACGCTTGATAGGTCTCAGAATTCTTAAGACTTTCCTTCTGCATAAGGCATGCAATACACCTGGTGGCATAAAATATTAAGGGTAGTCCTAAAATGACCAAAATGCCAATAATGCTTATGAGTGTAAAAATTCTGAACTGCAGATATCTGTCCTAACTATCCTGTCATTTTTAAAATTTGAAAAAAGTGGGACTTCCTTTCTTTGTCCTAATTCCATCAGGTCTTTGACATCCTGAAGTGTTAGTGTATCGTCTCCCCCGTTCCGGTATATATAGGTTTCTAACTTTAAGCAACTAGGAATCCCATGCACATTTAGCCAATGACCATATGTTCATCTTTTTTTTCCATTTCAATTTTCATATCCATAATATTTACCTTAAAATCAAATGGTTAGTGCCATGTGAAAAAAAGGTGAATTTACAGCATATTCAGGGGACTTGGGACTTAACCTGCCTATTGCATACAGAGAATTTCTGATTACTGATTTTCAGGAGTATTTTGCTGGGAATACTTTCAGAGAGGATAGTAAAATAAAAAGTATTTACATTCACTCAATAAACACTTATTAGATATCTATTAAGTTCTGGGCCCTGCGAATAAGGATTGGGGAGACACAGATAACTAGAATGTATCTAGTACATTGTGTCAGTGAGCCTGCCAACTTCCAATATATCCTTATTTTGAAGAGATATCTATATTTATTTAAGGTTTTTGTATCTTTACCATCATCCTTCATCTGAATCTCAATAATCTACATTTTAGTTATTTTATTTTATGTAACACCATTTGATTTCTTGAGGTTTGTTTTGGTCCCAGTTTTAAAGGTCTGTTCAGTGGTTTGGATCCTTACTTGTGGTCATGCCAAATGTGAATTGTTAATTTTGATCACCTCTGCATTTGTCCAACACCAAAATAGGCTCTGCTCATTTACAAACAAATTTAAAGTGTAAGTTTCTGTGAAAAAAACATTGTAAAACCTTGTACTTACATGTGGCCACTGAATAGTTTCATCTTTCGTTAAAAAGAGTATAATTTCACATGCAATTAGAAGTATACCAATTATTGCAAGGCCGAAACTGTTTAAATTCATCCATATGGCATACATCAACTGGAATAGATACAAAATGTCAACTAGTTATATGTGGAACAAACAAGCTGACATGAAGTTATTAGTTTGCATTACTGATAAACATGTTAAAGCTGAGGATTTGTTATAACTTCTGATTTTTTTCTGAATCAGCGTTTACTCTAAGGGTTCCCAACCTCCAAATGTGTCAGGATTCCAATAATACACATGGTTTTCTGATACTGCATGCAGATATTTCATTTCCTCATTAAATATAAAATTCTTATGGGCACTGTGTTGAGGCAAAAAAGAAAGTGCTACATTCTAATGGGAGAGAAAAACTAGCAACAGTAAATGTGAAGAGAATGCAATATATACTGACATCATGAATAAACCCAATGTTCTCTGCAGGGGCAGATTAAAATGAAGCTAAAGGCACTTGTGTCTGAGCTTCTCAAATGCACAGGTCTTTTCCAAGGCCCCAGGAGAAGCCATGCCTACCATCTTAAAATAGTGAGTTTTGGCTCTTCCTTTCCAATATTTATATTTCTGACTTTTTTTGGTCTTATTTCATTAACCAGGATGTCAAATTTGTATACTGAGTAGTAACAATGAAAGTGTTCATTCTTGTCTTGTGCCTTGTTTTAATAGGAATGCTTCTAAAGTTGCATTATCAAGTATGATATTTGCTGTAAATTTTTAATAAATATTTTTGTCATCAAAAGGACATTCCTAGATATTCCTAATAGCTTTTTACCATGAATGATTACAGATTTTGTTGAATTATTTTTTGACATCTTTTAAGATGATCAAATATTTTCTTATCCTTTAATGTGGTAAATTACATTGAAATAGTTTTAAAAATAAACATTGATGCATAACATGCATTCTAAAGTATGCAGCTCAGAGAATTATTACAAAGTGTAAGCATTCATGTAGCCACCACCCATATCAAGACACCAAACATATTCAGCAACCCAGAAATCACTTATATCTCTTTTCATTCCCTATTCCCATCCTCCTCCATAAGAGAAACCACTAGCTGACTTCCAACACCATTGATTCGTTTTGTCTATTTTTGAACTTTATATAAATGTAATCATGCAGTACGTACCGTTTTGTGCCTTGTTGCTTTCACTCAAAATTATGTTTGTATGAAATCCATCAATGTTGTTATGTTTAGTAGTAGTTTTGTTCATTTTCATTGCTATGTTATTTTCCATTCTATCAGTGTGCTATAATTTGTCTATCCATATTTTTACCAATGCACATTTGGGTTATTTCCAGTTTTGGCTACTGTGAAAAAGGAGGCTATAAACTTGTATTTCCTTTCGTAAAACATAGGTAAGCATTTCTGATAGGCCTATATCTAGAAGTAGAATTACTCAGTCATAGGGTAAACATGTGTTCAACTCTGGAAGATACGGTCAAACAAATTTCCAGTGGTTGTAGAAATTTAAACTTCCACTAGTAGTTGTTTTACATTCTTGCCAATAAGTTAACCATTCTGGCAAGTTTGCTGTAATATTTCATTGTGGTTTTAATTTTTATTTTCCTAATTTTTAATGAGCTTAAGCATATCACTTTTATTTTTTTCTATTTTTATCATTTCTGCCAAACTTACAAAACAGCTGTACCATTTTGTGATGTATTTGAGTTATACAGTATGATGTTTTGATACACATATACATAGTGTAATGATTACTACTGTCACACAAAAGATCATGTCCATCACATCACATAACTACTTCTTTTGTGGTAAGACCACTTAAAATCTATTCACTGAGCAAATTTTAAATATATGTTATCGCCTATAGTCCTCATGCTGTACATTAGATCTCTAGGCTTATTCATCCTACATCACTGCAAGTTTGCACCTTTTGATCTACTTCTCCCCATTTCCTCCCCTCTCTGCCTCTGATTACCACTGTCCTACTCTCTGTTTCAATGTATTTGTTGTTTATTAGATTCCACATATAAGTGAGATCATACATTCTTTTTATTTTTGTGTATAGCTTATTTCACTTAGCACAGTGTTCCTCAGGTTCATCCATGTTGTTGCAAATGGCAGTATTTCCTTTTTTTTTTTTTAAGGCTTAACAATATTCCATTGTGTATGTGTGTGTGTGTGTATGTGTGTGTGTGTGTGTGTGTACCAGTTTCTTTATCCATTCATCATTGATGGACACAGGTTGTTTCCAAATATACGCTATAGTGAATAATGCTGCAATGAAAATGAGAGTACAGATATGTCTATGATTTGCTGATTTCATTTCCTTTGGTAAAAGAGGGATTGCTGGGTTATGTGGTAGTTTCATTTGTAATTTCTTGAGGAATCCCCATACTGTCTTCCATAATGGCTGTACCAATTTACATTCCCAACAACAGCGTATAAGGGTTCCCTTTTCAGTTTAATTATATTTTAATGAATGTATTGGCCATTTGAATATCATTTTGTATAAGGTGGCTGCTCAAGGATTTTGTCTATTTTTATTGGGCTATCTGCACTTTTTATTGATTTTTAGAAGTTCTTGATATGTTGTGGATACAAGTCTTTCACTGGTGATAAATGTGAAATTAACTTTCCCTGTGTGGCTTACCTAGTTTTTGTGAATAGTGCCATTTGGTGAATCAAAGTTTCTAATTTTAATGTGTTTTCCTGTTTATATCTGGTTTAGGAAATTTTTACCCACCACAAAATCATGAAAATATACACTTATCATCTAGAAGCATTTAATTTTACTTTTCACATTTATATTTGAAATCTTCTTAAAACTGACTTTTTTGAGTGTGTATGGGGTACGGTAGGACTAAAGTTTCATTCTTTTCACATGAGTCACATTCAGATGGCTCTAATTACTGAAAAGGCTGCTTGGTTCCCATTGCTCTGCAGCGCCACCTTGGTCAGAAATCAAATGTCTATGTAAGCATGTGTCTGTTTCTGGAAACTATTCTGTTCTATTTATTGGTCTATTTGAGTGATAATATCATACTGTCTTTTTAAAGTTTTAATAAGTCTTAAAATTTGAGAGAGTACATCCACACTGTTTTTCTTCAAGATCATTGCAGCCTTTTTTATTTACACATACATTTTGGGATCAAGTTGACTTTCTAAAAATAGTTTTTTTTTTTTTTTTTTAGATGGAGTCTCACTCTGTTGCCAGGCTAGAGTGCAGCGGTGCGATCCTGGCTTACTGCAATCTCTGTCTCCCGGGTTCAAGCGATTCTCCTGCCTCAGCCTCCCGAGTAGCTGGGACTACAGGCATGTGCCACCATACCCAGCTAATTTTTTTATTTTTAGTAGAGACGGGGTTTCACCATGTTGGCCAGGATGGTCTTGATCTCTTGACCTTGTGATCTGCCCACCTCGGCCTCCCAAAGTGCTGGGATTACAGGCGTCAGCCACTGTGGCTGGCCAAAATAGGTAATTTTTAAAGAGCAGTTTTAGGTTAATGGAAAAGTTGAGCAGAAATTTTCCATATACCTCCTGACTTCCCCTTTATCATTATGTAATGCCCTACTTTGTCTATTTTGATCTTTGTTGGTTTAAAGTCTGTTTTGCCAGACAGTAGGATTGCAACCCCTGCTTTTTTCTGTTTACCATTTGTTTGGTAGATTTTTCTCCATCTATTTATTTTGAGCCTGTGTATGTCATTGTATGTGAGATGGATCTCTTGAAGACCGCATACTGGTGGGTCTTGGTTCCTTATCCAGCTTGTCACTTTTACATTTAAGATTAATATTGATATGTGTGTATTTGATCCTGTCATCATCATGTTAGCCGGTTATTTTGTCAACTTGTTTATGTGGTCGCTTTATAGTGTCACTGGTTTGTGTACTTCAGTGTGTTTTTGTAGTGGCTGGTAATGGTCTTTCTTGTCCATATTTAGTGCCTTCTTCAGGAGCTCTTGTTAGGCAGGTCTGGTGGTAACAAATTCCCTCAGCATTTGCTTGTCTAAAAAGAATCGTGTTTCTCCTTCACTTATGAAGCTTAGTTTGGCTGGATATAAAATTCTGGTTTGAAATTTCTTTTCTTTATGAATATTGAATATTGTCCTCCAGTCTCTTCTGGCTTGTTGTATTTCATCTGAGAGGTCTGTTGTTAGTCTGATGGGCTTCCCTTTGTACATGACTTGGCCTTTCTCTCTCACTACCTTTAATATATGTTTTTCTCCTCATATTGGTGTTGGAAGAATCTGATGATTGTGTGTCTTGTGGATGATCTTCTTGTAGAGTATTTTACTGGAGTTCTCTGCATTTCCTGAATTTGAATGTTGGTCTCCCTCACTATATTGAGGAAGTTCTCATGGATGATATCATGATATATGTTTTCCAGATTGGTTCTGTTCTCTGCATAGAACCAACCATATCTTTCAGGTACATCAATCAGTCATAGATCCAGTCTCTACATTATCCCTTATTTTCTTGGAGGTTTTGTTCATTCCTTTTCATTCTTTTCTCTCTATTCTTGTCTGCCTGTCTTTTTTCAGAAAGCCAGTCTTCAAGCTCTAAGATTCTTTCCTCTGCTCGGTTTATTTTGTTATTAATACTTGTGTTTACATTATGAAATTCTTGTAGTGTCTATTTTGTCTGTCAGCTCTTGCAATGTTTTATTATGATTTTTAGCTTCCTTGCATTGAGTTATAACATACTCTTGTAGCTTTTTTTTTTTAATTTATTTATTTTTTATTGATCATTCTTGGGTGTTTCTCACAGAGGGGGATTTGGCAGGGTCACAGGACAATAGTGGAGGGAAGGTCAGCAGATAAACAAGTGAACAAAGGTCTCTGGTTTTCCTAGGCGGAGGACCCCGCGGCCTTCCGCAGTGTTTGTGTCCCTGGGTACTTGAGATTAGGGAGTGGTGATGACTCTTAACGAGCATGCTGCCTTCAAGCATCTGTTTAACAAAGCACATCTTGCACCGCCCTTAATCCATTTAACCCTGAGTGGACACAGCACATGTTTCAGAGAGCACAGGGTTGGGGGTAAGGTCACAGATCAACAGGATCCCAAGGCAGAAGAATTTTTCTTAGTACAGAACAAAATGAAAAGTCTCCCATGTCTACCTCCTACTACACAAACACGGCAACCGTCTGATTTCTCACTCTTTTCCCCACCTCTCCCCACTTTCTACTCCACAAAACCGCCATTGTCATCATGGCCCGTTCTCAATGAGCTGCCGGGCACACCTCCCAGATGGGGTGGTGGCCGGGCAGAGGGGCTCCTCACCTCCCAGTAGGGGCGGCCGGGCAGAGGCGCCCCCCACCTCCCGGACGGGGCGGCTGGCTGGGCTGGGGGCTGACCCCCCCACCTCCCTCGCGGACCGGGCGGCTGGCCGGGCAGAGGGGCTCCTCACTTCCCAGTAGGGGCGGCCAGGCAGAGGTGCCCCTCACCTCCCGGATGGGGCGGCTGGCTGGGCAGGGGGCTGACCCCCCCACCTCCCTCCTGGACGGGGCGGCTGGCCGGGCGGGGGGCTGACCCCCCCACCTCCCTCCCGGACGGGGTGGCTGGCCGGGCGGGGGGCTGACCCCCCCACCTCCCTCCCGGATGGGGCGGCTGGCCGGGCAGAGGGGCTCCTCACTTCCCAGTAGGGGTGGCCGGGCAGAGGTGCCCCCCACCTCCCGGACGGGGCGGCTGGCCGGGTGGGGGGCTGACCCCCCCACCTCCCTCCCGGACGGGGCGGCTGGCCGGGCAGAGGGGCTCCTCACTTCCCAGTAGGGGCAGCCAGGCAGAGGTGCCCCTCACCTCCCGGACGGGGCGACTGGCCGGGCGGGGGGCTGACCCCCCCACCTCCCTCCCGGACGGGGCGGCTGGCCGGGCAGAGGGGCTCCTCACTTCCCAGTAGGGGCGGTCGGGCAGAGGTGCCCCCCACCTCCCAGACGGGGCGGCTGGCCGGGCGGGGGGCTGACCCCCCACCTCCCTCCCGGACGGGGCGGCTGGCCGGGCAGAGGGGCTCCTCACTTCCCAGTAGGGGCGGCCGGGCAGAGGCGCCCCTCACCTCCCAGATGGGGCGGCTGGCCCCGTCGCGGGCTGACCCCCCCACCTCCCTCCCGGACGGGGCGGCTGGCCTGGCGGTGGGTGACCCCCTCCTCCTTCCTGGACGGGGTGGCTGCCGGGCGGTGACGCTCCTCACTTCTCAAACGGGGCAGCTTCCGGGCGGAGGGGCTCCTCACTTCTCAGATGGGGCGGCCAGGCAGAGACGCTCCTCACCTCCCAGACGGGGTCGCGGCCGGGTAGAGGCGCTCCTCACATCCCAGACGGGGCGGCGGGGCAGAGCCGCTCCCCACATCTCAGATGATGGGCGGCCGGGCAGAGACCCTCCTCACTTCCTAGATGGGATGGCGGCCGGGAAGAGGCACTCCTCACTTCCTAGATGGGATGGTGGCTGGGAAGAGGTGCTCCTCACTTCCTAGATGGGATGGCGGCCGGGCAGAGACGCTCCTCACTTTCCAGACTGGGCAGCCAGGCAGAGGGGCTCCTCACGTCCCAGATGATGGGCGGCCAGGCAGATGCTCCTCACTTCCCAGACGGGGTGGCGGCCGGGCAGAGGCTGCAATCTTGGCACTTTGGGAGGCCAAGGCAGGTGGCTGGGAGGTGGAGGTTGTAGCGAGCCGAGATCACGCCACTGCACTCCAGCCTGGGCAACATTGAGCACTGAGTGAACCAGACTCCGTCTGCAATCCCGGCACCTCGGGAGGCCGAGGCTGGCGGATCACTCGCGGTTAGGAGCTGGAGACCAGCCCGGCCAACACAGCGAAACCCTGTCTCCACCAAAAAAATACGAAAACCAGTCAGGCGTGGCGGCGCGTGCCTGCAATCGCAGGCACTCAGCAAGCTGAGGCAGGAGAATCAGGCAGCGAGGTTGCAGTGAGCCGAGATGGCAGCAGTACAGTCCAGCTTCGGCTCGGTATCAGAGGGAGACCGTGGAAAGAGAGGGAGAGGGAGACCGTGGGGAGAGGGAGAGGGGGAGGGGGAGGGGGAGGGAGAGGGCAACGTGTAACCTTTGTAACTTCACTTCAGCGTCTCTATTTCAAGCTCTTTATAGATACACACAGACAAAGGGAAAATCACAGCAGTAGGATTGCTGGGACTCAGCTTATCAACTCTCTCCCATTGGGTAACTGAGATAGAGGAATCAATGTCTCTTTCCTTAAATATTTGGGATCTGCAACACTAAAACCATTTATCTACTCAAGTAGCAATGAATCTTACCCCCAACATTCTGGTTTCTTCTTTCAACACAATGTGAGATGATGGCATGTTATCCAAAATATGGTGTAGACATTAGAAAGGATGAATGGAATCTATCTCTAAAAGGCAACATAGAAAAAATAAACATAGTGATTTTAAAAATAGTGATCTCAGATAAGCACTTAAAGGTCATTGAGAACCCTATTATTGTTGTCTTTAATTTTTAAATAATGAAACCGTTCCCTGAAATAGGTATTTAAAATTAATCAATTGATATGCTCTCTTGGACTTGGCTAACCTCTTGGCAATTCTAATTGTCCTATTAGATTTTATACATTTTTACCAATTTTAAATGACATCCTGTGGGTCCTTAGGATGCTAAGATGCAGACAGCATAATTTAATATGGCTTGTTTAAGCAAAATAGAACATGAGTGAGCTCACGTAATCACTGGGAAGGGTGGGCTTTTCAAATAATGCCAGAGACAAATCGCTGATCAAAACTGAGGAGGAAGTGCTCTTGCCATTTCCTGCCTCAGAAGTCTGTTGTAGAACTGGCATCATGATAAAACCTTCCCTGTCTCCTGGACCATCATCTGTCCAATTGATGCCTACTGTAGGGTCTCTTTTGTTGTTCTCTCCTAAATCAAACTTTAGTGCAAGAATGTGTAATTGGCAGAACCTAGATCAAATGCCTGCACTTTGATTTCAAGGGAGGCAAGGGAATATAATTTTTTGGATTCCATTTTGGGAAAGGTAGCTTTTACAACTTAGTGACCAATAAAAAAGTAGGGAAGATGTTTAACACATGGCAGCCATGAATGTTTAAAAGATGGCAGCCACAAATTATCTCTATGACTTCGCTATTGTGGACACCATTTTGGGTATGTGGCCCACTCACCTCTGTTTCATGCTTGTCATCTGTAGGAATTATTCCCTTATTGTACTAACTGGAAGAGAGGTGGGGAATCTGTCTCATGTTGGATCCATCAGTGTCACTTTCCCAGGAATTGCATATTTAGAACTTAGATATTATAACCTTAGTCTGGGTTTGCTTCTAGATGAGATTATATAAACTCTTGAAATGAAGAACATTAATGTGTTCTACCGCATAAGCTGAGAAGACGTCCAGAAAAATAAAAAATAAAAAATAGACCAAGAGAACTACTGGAGTTCCTAATAACTTTCAATTTCCTAGTTATAGTCCTTTTCTGAAGCTGAGATGTCTTCCTGCCCTTGGAAAATACATGTTTCTTTGTTTTGCTTAAGCTAGCAAGAGTTGTTTTCTGTTACTTGCAGCCAAAGTCTTTTTAAATTATTGATTTGTCTTTCTTATAACTCTTGCCATATGGCTTTGAGAATTTACTCTTTAGATTTTACAATATCTGATGGATCTTTGTTCATTACCTAGTTTAGATTTTTTCTCAATATTTTGCCAATAGCCAACTCTGAAGTCTAAGATCTTGGTTTCAAAATCTTTACTTATATTATTTTTCTTTCTGATTTACATCATCCACTAATTCCTAAGGATCAGTTACCAAATAGATGTACCAATGACACATGAAACTAAGAAAATGGAGCATAGTGTTGTGAAACAAGTGGATATAGACTTGAGTTCAAATCTTGTCTATATTGACTGCTAACTGTATAATTGGTACAACTACTTTTAGACTAATAACAGTTGTCTATATTAATTACTAATGTTAAGTTCTACTTAATATTTCAGAGAATTAGTTTTCTAATCCCACAGAGTTGTTTTGGGAAGCAAATAATAGGAACTGCCACAAAGTCAAATGCCAATAATGCTTTTTTCCTGTTTCCCTTCAACCTCTCTCCAGTTACTTGTATCAGATTCCCGATTCCCCTATAGTTTTGGACACTACTTTTGGTTTCTTTTCCAGATTTTATTAGAAACAACCTCACTGGTTATTTGTGGGCAGCAAGCCACCCAGGTGCCAAGGCAAGAGACTGAAGGCACAAGCTGTTCTGGTATAATAAAGAAAATACTTAAAATAAGAATAGTTATATTAGACATAGAATATAGATATGATTATCTATGAATATTACTAATCATTAGTTTATAGCATTATTCTTTATTCCAATATTATAATAATCTTTGTTCTACAATTATAACCTAGGAAAAAACAGGCTATACAGAGGTAGGAGCTGAAGGGACACGGTGAGAAGTGACCAGCAGAGTGTGAGCCCTCTGTCATGCTCGGACAGGGCCACTAGAGGGCTCCCTGGTCTAGTGGTAATGCCAGTGCCTGGGAGGGCTCCCATTACTTAGCCGACCTTGGTCTAGCGGTAGCGCCAGTGCCTCGGAAGGCACCCGTTACTTAGCAGACCTGGAAAGGGAGTCTCCCTTTCCCGGGGGGAGTTAAAGAAGACTCTGCTCCACCATCTCTTGGGGAAGGCCTGACATGAGTCAGGCCTGCCCACAGCCATGCGGAGGCCTAACCGTCTCCCTGTGATGCTGTGCTTCAGCGGTCACGCTCCTGGTCCACTTTCATGTTCCACCCTGTACACCTGGCTCTGCCTTCTAGATAGCAGTAGCATTATTAGTGAAAGTATTAAAGTCTTTGATCTTTCTGAGAAGAGCATAGAAGAAATAATGACGTAAGCTGTCCTCTCTCTCTCTGCCTTGGCTACCTAAAAGGGAAAGGCCCCCTGTCCGGTGGACACATGACTCACGTGACCTTATCAATCACTGGAGATGACTCACACTCCTTACCCTGCCCCTTTTGCCTTGTATCCAATAAATAGCACGGTCAGGCATTCGGGGCCACTACCGGTCTCCACGCCTTGGTGGTAGTGGTCCACCAGGCCCAGCTGTCTTTTCTTCTATCTCTTTGTCTTGTGTCTTTATTTCTACAATCTCTTGTCTCTGAACACGAAGAGAAAAACCCACAGGCCCTGTAGGGCTGGACCCTACAGGTTATTTCACACCATTCCTTTGAATTATTCCCTTGAGTTACAATTTGCTACAAAATAGCAAAATATGAAACCACCCAATCACCACAGCAAAGGAACCTAAAAGCTTAAATCCAGCCTCTATAATATGACCACAGTGGCATTTCTAAAACAGAAATCACATGTAGGAATCACTTGCTTAAATCATTCTACCACAAAGACACATGCACTTGTATGTTCATTGCCATGCTATTCACAATGGCAAAGACATGGAATCAACCTAAATACCCATCAAAAGTGGACTAGATAAATATGACACATATGCACCATGGAATACTACGCAGCCATAAAAAAGAACAAAATCATGTCCTTTGCAGCAACATGAATGGAGCTGGAAGTCATTATCCTAAGTAAATTAATCCAGGAACAGAAAACCAAATACTGCATGTTCTTACTTATGTGAGCTAAACATTGAGTACACATGAACACGAAGAAAGGAACAATAGACACTAGGCCCTACGTGATGGTGGATGGTGGGAGGAGGTGAAGATAGAAAATCTACCTATTGGGCTGGGCGCGGTGGCTCACTCCTGTAATCCCAGCACTTTGGGCGACCGAGGCAGGGAAATCATGAGGACAGGAGTTCAAGACCAGCCTGGCCAACATGGTGAAACCCCATCTCTACTAAGAGTACAAAAAATTAGTTGGGCATGGTGGCAGGCATCTGTAATCCCAGCTACTTGGGAGGCTGAGGCAGGAGAATCGCTTGAACCCAGGAGGTGAGGATTGCAGTGAGCTGAGATTGTGCCACTGCACTCCAGCTGGGGTGACAGTGTGAGATTCTGTCTCAAAAAAAAAAAAAAATGGAAATCTACCCTTCAAGTACTATGCTTATTACCTGGGTAATAAAATAATCTGTATACCAAACCCCTATGACATGGAGTTTACCCATGTAACAAACCTGGACATGTTAAAATAAAAGTTGGAAAGAAAAAAAAATCTTTCAATGGCTCCTTGTTGTCTTCGGGCCACAGTACACATTTCTTTGTGTGGCACATTGGAGCCAGGTATATTTGGCCTATGCTTCTTTTCCCCACACAGCACTCCATCCATTCCTGACCGCTGACATTTCCACTACCATGTGATATTTAAGTACCTTACGATTTTTAAGTGCCTTCCCATATACATCATTGCTGCTGCAAAATCTCACAATGTCACAGTATCTGGCTCTAGCAATGAGTTTGCACATTGTTGGAAAACAATAATTGCTTGCAGAATCCTTTCTATCCATTTTGGGTATCTTGTGCCTTGAGTTTTGCATTAGAGATTATATAAACAGAAACTCATATTTTGGATGATAGGAATGGTTGATTTCCAAGAACAGTGATTTTCCAAGAGTTTCCCTGATTGTGTATTCCCTTTCCTGGCTGATGTGTTACCAGGAAATGCATGATACATTACCACATTACGTATAAATGGGTAGATTTGTTTATGCCAGTCATGAAACATGTTTGGGAAGTTCAGCCTTAGAGCATAGGTTCTCTGGCATTTATTGAATTAGTTTTGGGCAGCCTTGGAAGGTTACCCCAAAGACACATACTGTCTTTCTCCATAGCAGATGAACCCAAGGAGATAGAACAGACTTGACTGAGACATGCGGCAGGTACTAAAAAGTCTTGAGAAAGCAAACCTCGGTTTCAATGTTAAGGATCAAATTGAATTTATACACGCAGACAATATGAATTTCAAGAGGCGATTCTCAGAAGAGCCACTTTTCACACGAGGACTCTGTGGCCTGCTCCAGAGGAGCAGCAGCAGAATCTACTTATATAATCCTGGTTAAGGATTCTCCCTACTAAAGCTTTGTAGGTCAGCCAGGAAAGGGAATACACACAATCAGGGAAACTCTTAAGTTACTGTTCTTGGAAATCAACCATTCCTATCATCCAAAATATGAGTTTCTGTTTATATGATCTCTAGCGCAAAACCCAAGGCGCATCTCCTAAGCTAAAAAGAATATAGAAAGATGGTAAAAGATGGAAAGTAAGAGTCATTATTGCCACAACCATGACCCTGGGATCCCCAATTCACTACACTATCTCCATATTCTCCTCCTGTGAATTAGCCAATTTATTTTTACATGAGAGGATGCTGGGTGTGTCAAACAGGTCACTTATTGAAAACACACATTGGAAGAAAAGGTATTGAAAGAAATACGTGAAAAGTGCCACAGAGTATTAATTAAGGCTCTTTCCAACTGGAAGTGGTTTGGAAAACACTGTGACTATGGGGTCGTGGGGAACACCTGACCCTCAGCAGGTGCTAGTTTTATTCCCAGCGCCAGTGCAAATCCAACCAGGGATCCCTACACTCACGCGTGGGCCAACAGAGTGTGATCTGGCAGTCAACTTCCTCAATTTGGGGCCTGGCAGCCCCGGGAGCCCGGTGGGCGCTTCCTCGGTGGCGCCCCTCACCCTGCCTCGCGGGGTTCTAACGTCCAAGAGCGGGGCTGTCCGAGAGACCCGCGCGGACACCTGAGGCGCGGTGGGGCTCCCATGGCTCCGCGGAGCCTGCAGGCTCCCAAGACGAGGGTGGGGTGGCGGCTGACAACAATGCTGCCCTTTGCTGGCTGTGTGGGCATCATCCTCTGTCCCTGGGCCTGGCACACCCAGGAGGAAGAGGCTGTGCTTGATCTGTCGGCGGACTGATCACGTGGTGGCCCCACTGCTAACCCCAGACACACCCCCGCTTAGAAGCAGCATCGTTGTCAGAAGCTCGTTGCCACTTAGAATCCTCTGCAAGATGTGGTGGGTACAGCACTGCACTTAACTCCTTTGGTCCTTAGTTTATTATTTTGTAGAGTGGAGATGATACCCGCTCAGGTACCTCATACGCTTATACTGCAGAACTTTGAAAACCAAAGATGTTTTACAAACACATTCCACTGCGATTACAAACATATTCCACTGCAATAACCGGGTGCATATATGTCCGTCATGCTGAACCTGACAGTTTGAGTTGTATATTCAGTGTTTAACAACTATCCTCAACACATAGTAGGAATAAATGAATGATTGCAAGGTTTTGTCTAATTTATTAAAGTGTTAGCATCAGCTGGCTAATGAGTAATAGATGACAGTCATGTTTGTTGAACTCTTTTATGTTTGCCGTTTTTATGATTAATGAATTTAGCAAATTTCCACTGAGTGCCAGTATGTGCTAGGCATTGTTCTCAATGCTGGGGATACTGTAGTGAACAAAACAGATGAAATTCTAATAATAAGGAAAACAATAATAAGATTCATAAGGAAAATTTATAGCATGTTAAGAATAATGAGAGCTAAGGAGAATAATAAAGTATGAAAGGGAGGTGGCGTCAATGGAAATGTAAATGAGGGGAGTCAGGAAAGTCCTCATTACAAAAAAAACTTGCACACAAATGTTCATAGGAGCATTCTTATATATTCCTAATAGCCAAAAATGAAAACAACCCAAATCCCTATCAACTCATGAATGAACAAACAATATTTGGTATATCCATATAATGTATTATTTGATAATGAAACACAACAAAGTTATAGTTTATGCTACAGCATGAATAAGCCTTGGAATCATTACGGTAAGTGAAAGAAGCAAGTCACAAAAGACGTTCATATAAAATAGCCCTGGTAGGCAAATCCACAGAGACAGAAAGTAGACCAGTGATTTGCTAATACTGAGGTAAGTGGGTGGAGAATAAGAATTACTCCTAATGGGTTTGGGTCCAAAATTAGGTGGTGTTACTTACACAACTCTGTGAATATACTAAAAGCCACTAAACTATATACTTTAAATAGGTAAATTTCAGGCTGGGCACAGTCGCTCACGCCTGTAATCCCAGCACTTTGGGAGGCGGAGGCGGGCAGATCACGAGGTCAGGAGATCAAGACCATCCTGGCTCTACTAAAAATACAAAAAATTAGTCAGGCATGGTGGCGGGTGCCTGTAGTCCCAGCTACTTGGGAGGCTGAGGCAGGAGAATGGTGTGAACCCAGGAGGCATAGCTTTCACTGAGCTGAGATTGCGCCACTGCACTCCAGCCTGGGCAACAGAGCGAGACCCCATCTCAAAAACAAACAAAGAAACAAAAAAACCCACAAATAAATAGGTAAATTTTATAATATGTGAATTATATCTCAATGAAACTGTTACAAAAATGAAAGGCAAGATGTGTGCTTTATCTCTTTACTTATGAAATTTTGAAATAATGAACACCCTCCAAGGGTGACTATGATTCTTTTTCTTTTTTTTTTTATGGGGGAAGGAGAGATTGGCCTTTTAAATTTTTATGTATTTGCTTTGTTGACCAGTGCATGGTCCATATAGTGTCACTGACTTCCTCTCCCTAGAATATAAGCTCCCTGAAGGCAGGATCTTGTCTCTTCTGTTTAAATCTGTTGCCAGAAGCAAGAATTATGCCTGGTGCAAAGTAGATTGTCAAAAAGTAGTTTATGATGAATGTATGAATAAATGGAGGAGCTACCCTATATTTACATTTGCGGCTCATTCTCTCCGGTATCTCAATTGTGATATCCTGCTCTGTGATCAAAAACAAATATCTTTCAGATCTGCCATGTCATGACTCCCTATCTAGAGCTGTTCTTTGTGTTAAACTAGCTCAGGCTCTGAAGCTGGGACCTTGTTCAAGGATGCATGTAAATGGGGTCAAAGATTGGGGCTGCAGTTGCACCTGGTCTCCACTTGCAGGGCAGACTCCCTTGGTGCTGGGTTGATTAGCTAGGAGGAAGGGGCCTCAATTTCTAATTGTACTGTTCAGAGGGGACTTACCTTCTATTTCATTTTCCCAGAGGAGCTGTTATTAAGCAATCTGTCCTTTTGAACGGGGTACTTTTGTCTAGTTTGCACAAAGGCATCTTAGGTGTTAGCAGCCCCTTTTCAGATTATTGGCCCCCAATCTCTACATTTCTTTCAAAATTTCTGGCATCATATCCTTCCTCATTCAGCCTGGATCCCACAGATCCACTAATTATCATCTTATTAAAACCCACAAATGCAAGTTTGCCACCTTGTAATGCCACCTTTTCTGTGTAGGATATTTTAGGGAAACTCTCACAATGGCATGGATAGACACCCAACAAAGATGTCATCTGAAAGTCCAGTATCTTCATCTGTGCTTCTAATTAAATCGTTGAGTATAATTTGGCCAATTTTGCCTCTGATTCCTGGCAACTCTTAATCCAAACAAGTACTTTATTCATTACCACCCCTCACTCCTAAATGACTGCCTTGTCAATTTTTTCAAAGGAAAGACAAAGTCTCTCATGTTCTTTCTTATCCTTCTCATATGGAGGAATGGATAAAGAACATTTACATTAAAGCTAATTTTTCACTATTTTCTTACTTGATCAGAATTAGGTGTCTTTCCTCTATTCTAAAGTGTAATCTGTCCCTGTGCTACTAATCTCATGTCCTTCAAAGGGCTTATAAACCTTAATCCATCAATTATCTCTTTCTCCCCAGTATATTCAAATATTACTCCCTGCTTTGTATTTCTTCTCAACCCATACATTTATGCAAGTCTCTCTCACAGTTGTGGTTTTTAGTTCATGAAGGTAGACCAAGCAGATGCTACTTATTCTTCATATGAACTCCAATTCCAAGGAGCACACTTACAAAAAAAATTCCATTGCCACATTGAAAAATAAGAAGCAACTCTCTTGGTGAACCAGAATCTGTGAATTCCTAAGAGAACAAAAGTATACAGACTAGACTGAAGAAAAACACACAATAATAAAGGACCTGCAACAGAAGACTGTTCTAAATGGTGGAAATTTTTGCACTTCATAAACAAATGGCATATATGTAAATAACACAGATACTCTAATCTTGAATTTGTATCCCCCCAAATTACTTAAGGGGCAAGATGGGGGGAACCCAGTTGCCCATTTCTGGGACAGCGAATGTATAAATGTGCGGGGTGCATGGCACAGACTTTAGGCAGCATTTAAAATCAACTGATAGAGGTACTGATAGCCACACGGATAGATCTTTAAAACTTACTGTTAGGAGGAGCAAAGTTTGTGCATGTAATTTATGGGTGTGTATGAACTTCATGGATTCCAGATACATTCCTACAATAGAATGCCATACATTTTTGGGGAGATACTGACAAATAAAATATGCATGTTTTATAAAGTGGAACAATTGCTCATGGAGGGAGGGAAGGGGGAGTGGGGTATGGAGATCAAAGAAAATTTAAAAAATAGGAAGCATCCTTATAGACACAACAAAACATTTCTAAGATAATTTGCTTAAAATTTGAGTGTGATAAGCCACAGTGTAAAATTATAGGCAAAAATATGTAACGTTTTGGGAGCTGGACTTTCTAGACAAACTAAATCCAGTAGCTATTAATTCATGTAGTCTCAATAACATAAAGATATGGCTAATTGTAATATACCTTCTTCACTGTAGGTAAGCTATGCATGTTTTAATAATATCCAGTGAGAAAGAAATAATTAGTAGTATTTAGAGCTAATAAGCAAAGAAGCCTTCACAAGCAATGGGATTATTTATCATTTATGCGAAGTCTCCTTCTCACAATGAAATAATTTTCTCGAGTTAGCATTTATTACATCATTATCAATTTTAGGTATAGATTCTACTCTAGTAACATGTGCCCATTCATAGAACTTCTCTTGTATGGAAGAATCCCTTAACTCAGGCTGACCATATTCAAACTGAGATAAATTCATGCACAGTTCCTCATGTAGACAAAAATAACCATATTCATCAATTTTAATTTTTATTAATGAAATAGGGGGAAGAGAATACTGAGATGGATTTAATGAAATTACATTTTCCAAGAAGCCTCTTGAACAGAATGAAGTTCTTCATTTGCCACTAAACTTTCCTCCTTGACTGAGCTCACTGATGGTTTCTTTAATATGCAGAGAAAGGATCTCCTTCTGCCATGAACCTGAGGTAAGTTAGATATCAGTAAATTGATCATTAGCACACTCTAAAATAAAGAACTATAGAATTTGGGTTAGAATTTTGGAAATAATTCTAATAGAAGTATTCTCCTCATTGAGATTTTTATTTTATTTATTTTTTTAGAGATGAGGTCTCTGTCACCCAGCCTGGAATGCAGTGGCACTATCATTGCTCACTGTAACTCTGAATTCCTGGGCACAAGCCCTCCTTCCACCTTCCCCTCCTAAGTAGCTAAGGACTGCAGGGATGTGCCACCACTCCTGGGTAATTTTTTCAACTTTATGCATTTTATTTTATTTTATTTTACTTTACTTTACTATTTTATTTTATTTTATTTTATTTTATTTTATTTTATTTTATTTTATTTTATTTTATATTTTTGTAGAGATGGGGTCTCATTGTGTTCCCCAGGCTGGTCTCAAAATCCTGAGCTCAAGCAATTCCCCTGCTTTAGCCTCTCAAAGTGCTGGAATTATGGGTGTGAACCACCCCACCAGGCGAGATTTTTAAATTAAACCATGTGCTTTTGATACTTTTTAGTTTTTTTCTTTGTCCTCTCTCCCTTTCTCCCTGGTTTCCATCCTCCCTTCTTTTTTGTTTCTATAGATTGAAAGCCAAAGACAATGCTATATGAAAAGACAGTCCCCAAGACAATGATTGATCATAAAGGGCATATTGTTTTCTACTCAAACTTGATTACATTATTAAGTATAGCATTGAATAGCTGTCAGTTTAAATTCTATTTAGTTGGAGTAGAAATCTATATGTTCTTATATACCCAATCCATGTTTGTTCTCTTTTCACTTTATTCAGAGAAGAATTAAGAATAAGACCTCTGTGAGTGTGTGTGTGTGTGTGTGTGTGTGTGTGTGTGTGTGTTTGGTGTGTTTTGTTTACTTTGCTTTTAGTTAGAGCCATATTTTTTTGAGATTTCGAGTTTGAATACCTTTAGATGGAACTTCAGCTCCCCATTTTAATACCTTACTTAAAGAAGATTCATTGAAAGGCAATCAGTGATCCAGATAACAGGTTTTCAATACCCTAATTCATCTGGAATTATAGCTAATTCACATGTTTTGAAAAGCAAGTGACTTTTGCAGTACAAATGAAGATGTAGCCTCTGAGTGTCAAGAGAAAGTGGGAAATACAAGAAAAGAAATCTATATGATAAATTCCTCTCCCTCCTAATTCATTTTATCAGTTTAATTCAAAATAGAGATTCCTAAACAAAGCTATTTACAAATTAAGATGGTAAACTTAACAAGGCATATTTATGGAATGATAAGTAAATTGGTGAGGCTGGAGCACAGCATTTATGGGCGTGAGTGGTAGGAAATGAAGTCAAGAAAGTAGATTGGGCTAAATTATTACAGAAATGAATGTTGTGCTAGAATATCAGGCTTTCGTGTGGTAAGTGTTTCCTGTTTAAACTTTCATTTGGGGAGATGAAGAAACAGAGGACAGAATTGAAATACATTTAGGGGATCATGTAAAAAGGATTGTCAAATTGTTTCAATTTGAGAGTATTTCTCAGCTCCCTCGCCAGGGCAGGCAGGTAGATAGATGGTGGTGCTCTTAAATGGAAAAGACAAGGTAATGACTTTGTGGGTGAGATGATTAGTTCAGTTTTAGATATGTTTTATTTGAGGTGCTTTGGAATCCTTCGAATCAAACTCTCTAGAGAGAAGTTGGCAATATGAGCCTAGAGCTCAGTAGAAAGGTCTAGGGTGGAGATTTAACATTTGGATTATTATAAATTTATAGATGGTATACATCTACCAAGCTGTAGGTATATATGGTGTTGCCTATACAAAAACTATAGAGGTACAGTTGGAAAAGTCAAGGGACAGAACAGCAACCTGAAGAGATTAAGTAAGACCCAGGTAAGAAGGCAGGTCAAAGGGTCAAACAGATGAGATTAGAAAGTGGTAAAATGGGGAGGAAGCTTAAATTTCCTAAACCTTTCTACACATGTGGTCTAGGATATATGGACAACTCACTTTCTTCTTTGTGTTAACTGTGGTCTCCTTCTCAGTTGTTTTTATGATCTCATAGATCTCTAAGCCTCGGCCTGTTGAGTGGGTACTGGGGAAAAAGGGCAGGCATATCTTTCACTGAAGTTCTCTGATTTAGTGAGATTGAAGTTCTCTGATTTAGTGAGGTCAAATGGAGGTTAAGTTTTCCTTTAGACGTGAAGTAGTTGATATGGAGAAAGTAGGAAAATAGCTTTATTGAAAAAAGGCTTTACCATCTTTTTCAACTTCTCCATTACTCCCAAATCTTGGTTTCTGAAGACACTAAAGTTCTACACTTAGATATTCAACTTGTTCTCCCAAATTTTGAGAAATAAAGGCTTCAGTCTTCAGTAGTCCCATATCCCCGTGCCTGGTAACAACTTCTACAAAGCTTTTTGTTTCCAGGGTAATGTCTGTAGAATTAAACAGACCTGAGCCAGAAAATCACATATCTTCTACCTTATTCTCTCATATGTTATGGACATAAAAGCATCCTGTAATGCAAAACACCTTTATAAAAGGGAAAATTATTTATTCAGTTGTGGAGGGACCCATATAAGTGCATGACAGTTAGTGCCGAGTGTTTTCAGCTATCTACAATCACAGCTTAGTGATGGCATTATTTATACTTAATTCATATCAAAACCTTAGTTATTCAAATAGTGTTCATAACAGAAGACAACATCTTCTGATCTACTAAGGGAAAAATGGGATACTCACTGCATCTTTATCTTCTTCTCTTTTTTGCTTAGGATGCCCAGTGGCTGACTATACTTGCCACAAACAACTCCAAGATGGTTAATATGAACAGATATTCCGAAAGGAGTTTGCCACTTTTCTGTATCCACAAAGAAAATGTACATTCCTTACAGATCTTTCTATGTGAGCACTTTAGAAATAATAAAGGTATCTTAAAATTGAAGAAGAAAAATAGAAGAGAAAAACTACCCACCCTATCCTCCACCCTCAACAATAGAATTTTAAATATTTTTTAATTGTAATTACAATGGATAATTATTGAGGATGATGATATACTGATATATTTCTGCCAAATGTATGATGAGAATCATTGATTGTGTTTTCCTGTTTATTGTTGTGGATAATAACAGGAAATTTTCATTGAGTCCAATAAATCTCTGGGGAAGATGGAATTGTGACACCCTTGAGGTTTAGTGTTATAGAACTTATTTAATAGAGAAACTTACATAAATTTGCCCTGTTGATAGGAAAGGACACTAAAGAGAAACAATGAAAGAAAAGAATGTTTGGACTTGTAACCTGGACTCAACACAAGGGCTGATGTGACCTGGGGGTAGGAATTTCCTCCTGGGATTGTGCCTCTGTCTATAAGCTCCAATAGACCCATATCCTGACAGTATAGCTGGGTTAGAGACAAGAATACAGAATCCGTAATATTGGAAGCCCAAGCCTCTTCAGTACTCAGTGCACTTTTATGACAAGGTCACCATGGGCTACTCAAATCAGTGTTAAATAATGGCGTCATTTAATAGTAACTGAACCATAGCAGTGGAAATTAAGGGCACACTGGTGGACTGATGAGGTACTACATGACTCTGTTAACTAAGGGCTTGGAGTCAATATCGAACCTTTGGATCCCAGTGGTTTTGAGTAACTTGAGAGGGTCAACAGGGAGGGGCCCTCAGAAGGAAGATTCTGGATTTCCTACTAATATGAATATGATAGTTTAAGAGATAAATTAGAAAAATGAAAGAGTTAAGATCATAATTAAAGATCAATCCAATAAAATGAGCCATTCTTGTTATACAAATATAATCTTAAGCAATATCTTTATGTTTCTATTTATTTAAGATACCACTTTAAGGTATCCATCAGGGTATGTGTCATAAAATATTAGCATTCTCCGCAGCAGCAAAATGATTCTTTGATGTGCCACTGAATTGATTTTTGTAAAAGCTCCATTTTGTGGGGTAAGATAATTTAGAATTTAAAACCATTCTGCATTAGAAAAAATGATCTGTAAGTGACTAGCCACGTGACTCTGAGCAAGTAGTTTAAAATTTCTAAACTCATTTCTTTATTGAATCAGAGACATAAATCGTTCCTAAGGAGGTTTACCATTGCACTCACTGTAAAATCACTTTCAAAGCTACATAGAAATAAGAAAAATCCAATAAAATGCAAACTGGTGTATTCTTTGCAACTAGATAATTAACCAAGAGTTTTGGATGTTGAAGTAAGGAGAGTTTACTTAATTAGTTAGGAATTTAAATACAGGCAATATCCAATGGGTTCAATTCAGAAAAGTTGATTTCTAAGTATTGGTAAAAGTTCCCACTATTTTGCCCTTCATCAAGCCCTGGGCAGATGGGATAGAGCAGAAGGACCGAAATCCTAGAGAAGACTTTGGCCCTTATCGCTTCAATTTCTGCACAACTTGCTTAGCACTGACTTCTGCCTTCTTGCCCTCCTAGCCCCTTCTCTCTACACCAACAAATGTATACAGATAAATGCACATATGTCCACAGTTCCACATGAATGGGAACATAGATATACACAGATATTGAAATGCAAATGTGAACACAGTTAGACTCCCACAGACCTGCTGAACAACTGACAGACTCAAAGCAGGCAGTGCAAAAATGTCCACATAGTCATGAACGATATAGAACTGAGTACGTGCATTCAAAATTACATACATGTACAGAGTTCAGCTTTATTCTGTCTGTAAACTACAGCCCTGACATTGAACATAAGCCCTTGGGTATCACAGGTACATGAGTATGCCAGTTCCTTCTTGGAAGACCAAGTCTTGCTATAACAAACTTGATCTTTTAAGGCCTGGGAGAACTGACCTCAGAGATGCAGGTACCTGGAATGAACTGAGCTGCCCATCGTAAAAATATCATGGCTATCAGGTGGGTCCAGAATTGAATATAATGCTTAGTTACTCAAAATGCATCTATTAATATGTATAATACCTTTCATTTGTTTACTTGAGGTTTTGGTTGGTCTTAGGTTTAGAAATATAACTTGTAGTTTGATTCACATTTTTAATATATGCATATACCATGAGGTAAACTAATGGTGAGGGTCACCTCCATGACTTGCATTGTACTTAAGTAGTCTGACCACTTAGGAAATATTTAACACATAATTCTAAAATTGTGATGAGATTCTCACAGAAACCTGGTACATACATGTGGCCAAAGAGAATTTTTTGAACTTTTACTATATATTATAAACTCAACTGATAGTAAAAGCAGACCAATCACTGAAATACAGGCACTTACGATGTTTGCTACTAAAGTATAAGACACCTGCAATAGAGAAAAATAATCATTTGGTCATTGGAAATTATCCATATGCATCATTGACAAGTATATTAAAGTAAAAGTTTTTTTAAAAGTAAAAGGTTTATATAAATTCTGATCTTTTCAGCATAGTAGGATCATTACAAAGACTGTCAGAACTGCAGATTTGTCAGGATCCCAATAGGAATAAACAATTTTGGAGATGATAAAACTTTTGATATAATAAACAAGTTTATTTATCCACTGACAATTTATTGAATGCCTATTCTATATTCTGCAATCTATGCTCTGCATTAGTTGATAAAAAGGAAAGAAATGGTCTCTGCACTCAAGGAATTTTCAGACTATTGAGGAAGACAAACAAGTGCATGTTAAATATGAATAGAATGTAAAAAATTGTAATAATTTAGGCAAATTCATAGTGCCATACAGTTTCAGGATATCAGAGAACTAACATTTCAGGAGTTTGTTATGGTTCATTTTGGAGTGGAAGAAGGAGAGATGTAGAAAATTTTGTTGGAAAGATAGGTGCTATCTAGCTAGATATTTAGGATTTTATCTTGAAGATGGTAGAGAACTGCATGCATATGTATAATGCTGCTGCATAATTGCACTTTGTCCATGTATAGAATCAGAGAGGTGATATGATATTAAGAAGATCCTTATTTATTATATTTATTTCTTTGTCTACATTTATAGAAAAAGAATATAGAATATAGAATATTATATAATATAATATATAATATATATAATATATGATATATAATATGATATATATGATATATAATATATATGATATATATGATATATAATATATATGATATATATGATATATGATATATATGATATATATGATATATATGATATATATGATATATGATATATATGACATATAATATATATGATATATAATATATAATATGAAATATACTATATTTTATTTCTTTGTCTACATTTATAGACAAAGAATATACAATATATAATATATAATATATAATATGAAATATACTATATTTTATTTCTTTGTCTACATTTATAGACAAAGAATATACAATATATAATATATATTATATTATATATATAATATATATTATATATATATTATATATATTATATATATATTATATATATATATTATATATATAATATATAATATATATAATATATATATAATATATATATATAATATATAATATATTATAAATATAATATAATATATAATATAATAATATAATACTATTATAATAATATAATATATAATATAATATATAATAAAAATAATATTATAATAATATATGATACATACCATATATAATTACTTGGTCATTGGAAATTATCTAGTATTATCTAGTTTGTACAGGATATATAATATATGATATCATATATCATATATAAATATAATATATCATATATATCATATATAATGATATATGATTATATATCATTATATATTATATATAATTATGCATATGATATATATGATATATATGATATCATATATATAATATATCCTGTACAAACTAGATAATACCATTCTGGATATAGAAACCGGCAAAGTTTTCATGACGACACCAAAAGCAATTGCAACAAAAACAAAATTTGAAAATTGAAAAATGGGATCTAATTAAACCAAGCAACTTCTGCTCACAGCAAAATAAACCATCAACAGAGTGAACAGACAACCTACAGAATGAGAGAAAATTTTTGCAAACTATGCATCTGACAAATGTCTAATATCCAGCATCTGTAAGAAACTTAAACAAATTTACAAAGATAAAACCAAACATCCCCATTAAAAAGCAGGCAAAGGACAGGAGCAGACATTTTTCAAAAGAAGACATACATGTGGCCAACCAGCATATGAAAAAAAGCTCAACATCACTGATCATTAGCGAAATGCAAATCAAAACCACAATGGGATACCATCTCACACCACTTAGAATGGCTATTACTAAGAAGTCAAAAAATGACAGATGGCCATTTTCACGATATTGATTCTTCCTACCCATGAGCATGGAATGTTCTTCCATTTGTTTGTATCCTCTTTTATTTCCTTGAGCAGTGGTTTGTAGTTCTCCTTGAAGAGGTCCTTCACGTCCCTTGTAAGTTGGATTCCTAGGTATTTTATTCTCTTTGAAGCAATTGTGAATGGGAGTTCACTCATGATTTGGCTCTCTGTTTGTCTGTTATTGGTGTATAAGAATGCTTGTGATTTTTGTACATTGATTTTGTATCCTGAGACTTTGCTGAAGTTGCTTATCAGCTTAAGGAGATTTTGGGCTGAGACAATGGGGTTTTCTAGATATACAATCATGTCATCTGCAAACAGGGACAATTTGACTTCCTCTTTTCCTAACTGAATACCCTTTATTTCTTTCTCCTGCCTAATTGCCCTGGCCAGAACTTCCAACACTATGTTGAATGGAGTGGTGAGAGAGGGCATCCTTGTCTTGTGCCAATTTTCAAAGGGAATGCTTCCAGTTTTTGCCCATTCAGTATGATATTGGCTGTGGGTTTGTCATAGATAGCTCTTATTATTTTGAGATACATCCCATCAATACCTAATTGATTGAGAGTTTTTAGCATGAAGTGTTGTTGAATTTTGTCAAAGGCCTTTTCTGCATCTATTGAGATAATCATGTGGTTTTTGTCTTTGGTTCTGTTTATATGCTGGATTACATTTATTGATTTGCATATATTGAACCAGCCTTGCATCCCAGGGATGAAGCCCACTTGATCATGGTGGATAAGCTTTTTGATGTGCTGCTGGATTCAGTTTGCCAGTATTTTATTGAGGATTTTTGTATCAATGTTCATCAAGGATATTGGTCTAAAATTCTCTTTTTTGGTTGTGTCTCTGCCCGGCTTTGGTATCAGGATGATGCTGGCCTCATAAAATGAGTTAGGGAGGATTCCCTCTTTTTCTATTGATTGGAATAGTTTCAGAAGGAATGGTACCAGTTCCTCCTTGTACCTCTGGTAGAATTCGGCTGTGAATCCATCTGGTCCTGGACTCTTTTTGGTTGGTAAGCTATTGATTATTGCCACAATTTCAGATCCTGTTGTTGGTCTATTCAGAGATTCAACTTCTTCCTGGTTTAGTCTTGGGACAGTGTATGTGTCGAGGAATTTATCCATTTCTTCTAGATTTTCTAGTTTATTTGTGTAGAGGTGTTTGTAGTATTCTCTGATGGTAGTTTGTATTTCTGTGGGATCAGTGGTGATATCCCCTTTATCATTTTTTATTGCGTCTATTTGATTCTTCTCTCTTTTTTTCTTTATTAGTCTTGCTAGCGGTCTATCAATTTTGTTGATCCTTTCAAAAAACAAGCTCCTGGATTCATTAATTTTTTGAAGGGCTTTTTGTGTCTCTATTTCCTTCAGTTCTGCTCTGATTCAATGCCATCCCCATCAAGCTACCAATGACTTTCTTCACAGAATTGGAAAAAACTACTTTAAAGTTCATATGGAACCAAAAAAGAGCCCGCATCACCAAGTCAATCGTAAGCCAAAAGAACAAAGCTGGAGGCATCATGCTACCTGACTTCAAACTATACTACAAGGCTACAGTCACCAAAACAGCATGGTACTAGTACCAAAACAGAGATATAGATCAATGGAACAGAACAGAGCCCTCAGAAATAATGCCGCATATCTACAGCTATCTGATCTTTGACAAACCTGAGAAAAACAAGCAATGGGGAAAGGATTCCCTATTTAATGAATGGTGCTGGGAAAACTGGCTAGCCATATGTAGAAAGCTGAAACTGGATCCCTTCCTTACACCTTATACAAAAATTAATTCAAGATGGATTAAAGACTTAAACGTTAGACCTAAAACCATAAAAACTCTAGAAGAAAACCTAGGCATTACCATTCAGGACATAGGCATTGGCAAGGACTTCATGTCTAAAACACCAAAAGCAATGGCAACAAAAGACAAAATTGACAAATGGGATCTAATTAAACTAAAGAGCTTCTGCACAGCAAAAGAAACTACCATCAGAGTGAACAGGCAACCTACAAAATGGGAGAAAATTTCTGCAACCTACTCATCTGACAAAGGGCTAATATCCAGAATCTACAATGAAATCAGACAAATTTGCAAGAAAAAAACAAACAACCCCATCAAAAAGTGGGTGAAGGATATGAACAGACACTTCTCAAAAGAAGACATTTATGCAGCCAAAAAACACATGCAAAAATGCTCATCATCACTGGCCATCAGAGAAATGCAAATCAAAACCACAATGAGATACCATCTCACACCAGTTAGAATGGCAATCATTAAAAAGTCAGGAAACAACAGGTGCTGGAGAGGATGTGGAGAAATAGGAACACTTTTACACTGTTGGTGGGACTGTAAACTAGTTCAACCATTGTGGAAGTCAGTGTGGCAATTCCTCAGGGATCTAGAACTAGAAATACCATTTGACCCAGCCATCCCAAGGACTATAAATCATGCTCCTATAAAGACATATGCACATGTATGTTTATTGCAGCACTATTCACAATAGCAAAGACTTGGAACCAAGCCAAATGTCCAACAACGATAGACTGGATTAAGACAATGTGGCACATATACACCATGGAATACTATGCAGCCATAAAAAAGGATGAGTTCATGTCCTTTGTAGGGACATGGATGAAATTGGAAATCATCATTCTCGGTAAACTATCGCAAGGACAAAAAACCAAACACCACATGTTCTCACTCATAGGTGGGAATTGAACAATGAGAACACATGGACACAGGAAGGGGAACATCACACTCTGGGGACTGTTGCGGGGTGGGGGGAGTGGGGAGGGATAGCATTAGGAGATATACCTAATGCTAAATGACGACTTAATGGGTGCAGCACACCAGCATGGCACATGTGTACATATGTAACTAACCTGCACATTGTGCACATGTACCCTAAAACTTAAAGTATAATAATAATAATTAAAAAAAACAACAAAAAATGACAGATGCTGATAAGGTTTTAGAGAAAAAGTAACACTTATACACTGTGGGTGGGAGTGTAAATTAGTTCAATTAGTGTGGAAGACAGTGTGGTGATTCCTCAAAGACATAAGAACAGAACTACAGTTTGACCCAGCAGTCCCATTACTGGAAATATATCCAAGGGAATATAAATCATTCTGTCATACAGACACATGCATGTGTATGTTCACTGCAGCATGATTCACAATAACAAAGCATGGAATCCACCTAAATGTCCGTCAATGGTAGACTGGATAAATAAAATGTGGTACATATACACCATGGAATACTATGCAGCAATAAAAAGGAGAAGATCATTTTCTTTGCAGGAACATGGAAGGAGCTGGAGGCCATTATCCTTAGCAAACTAATGCAGGAACAGAAAACCAAATACCGCCTGTTCTCACTTGTAAATGGGAGCTAAATGATGAGAACACATGAACACATAGAGGGAAACAACACACTGGAGCCTATTGGAGGGTGAGGGTGAGAGAAGGGAGAGGATGAGAAAAAATAACTGATGGGTACTAGGCTTAATGCCTGGGTGATGAAATAATCTGTAAAACAAACCCCCATGACACAGGTTTACCTGTATAACAAACCTGCACATGTACCCCTGAACTTAAAATAAAAGTTAAATTTAAAAAGATATGTATATTTCCTTCTATCTAATATGAATTAGATAATAACTACAAAAGCTTAAACTACTGAATTCTGAAACCAGTTTCACTGGATAAAGGATGTGTTTATTGAAGTTGCTGTTGTATGTTGTATAGTGATCTCAACTAATTTATTCTTTTGTAACAAATCTCCCTTAAAGAAAGACAAATTAAAATAAAATGTTTATTATTATGTAAACATACAACTGTATTGCTTAGTAAATTTTGGCGTGTTGACATAATCCAGTCTTTAAAATGAAGTATATTTGGTAAATATTTCATTTTCTCAACTATACAGTAGGCAATAGCTATGTCAAAATAATCTGTTTTTATTTAGAAAAGAGCCACCTTGTTGAGGAAATGCATGAATAAGACCCCACGGAGCAGATGTTCTTCTCTGGAGCATGAAGTTTTTCTGGGAAAAACTTATCTGAATAAAACAAGCAGAAACACTTGTTTTGATTCCTGCTCTCGGGGTGGTATTGGACATATTTAAAGTACACAATTTGATAAATCATTAATACAAAAAGATATACAATAAGTGCACTGTAAGAAGAGAGTGAAAATATGGAGGAACTGGAATACTCAGCCTGTGAGTGGAAATGTAATATGCTACAACCACTTTGGAAAACAGGTTAGCAGTTTCTTGAAAAGTTAAACATGCATATATCCTATGACTCAGGTATTTACTAAAGAGAAATGAGGGCATACGTCTGTACAAAGACTTGTAAATGTTCATAGTAGCTTTATTTGTAAAAGCTCAAAACTGGAAACAATGCAAGTTCCATCAATAGGTGAATGGATAAATGAATTGTGATATATCCATAAAATTGAATATCACTTAGAAATAAAAAAGGGATTGATAATTTATATACATGGATGAATCTCAGGATAATTATGCTGAATGAAATAAGTGAAACAAGAAAGCATATGTACTGTATTATTCCATGTGTATAAAACTCTAGAGAATGCAAATTAATCTGTAGTGATAAAAAGCAGATAAGTAGATGCCTGGGGGAGGCAGGGTTTTGAGGAGGGATAAGCAAGAGGGATGACAAAGGGGCAGAGAAAACTGTTGGAGGTAACATATGCACTGTCTTATTGTATTAATGGCTTACCAAATTGTGTACTTTAAATATGTACAGCTTATTGATTATTATATGTCAATTATGCCTCAATAAAGCTATTAAAAATTAAGAAAGAAGAGCATGAAGGGGCACTATGAGAGCCAGATGCAATAAAAAAGTGTGAGGCATGGGATAAGCTACCCTCTATGACCCTGCCATCTACTATGAAGTTTTGTTTGTTTTTTAGTAATTTTTGAAAATAGAGACCATATAAACATTTTTTTTTTTTTTTGAGACAGAGCCTCACTCTGTCACCTGGGCTGGAGTGCAGTAATGGGATCTTGGCTCACTGCAACCTCCACCTCCCAGGTTCAAGCAATTCTCATGCCTCAGCTTCCCAAGTAGCTGGGATTACAGGCACATGCCATCACGCCCGGTTAATTTTTGTATTTTTAGTAGAGACAGGGTTTCACTATGCTGGCCAGGCTGGTCTTGATCTCCTGACCTCAAGTGATCTGCCCATCTTGGTCTCCCAAAGTGCTGGGATTACAGGCATGAGCCACCGTGCCCAGTGAGATGGTATAAAGAATATTTTAAGCAACACTTTTATACTTTTATTGCAGCCAGAGAAAATAATCAATTATTAACCTTTATTTAAAAAAACCCAGGCTTTATTTCTAAAATAACTAAAACATTTCAGATAAAAGTTTTCTTGCCTAGTTCAATTTCAGGTTTTGGCTATTGTGAATAAACTCCTATAAACATATAGGCAAGTTTTTGTTTTCTGGTTTTGACATACGTTTTTATTTCTCAGAGGTAAGTGCCTAGCAATGAATTGCTGGGTCATATGGCAGGTATATATTTAAATTTTGAATGAATGACCACATATTTTTACAAGGTCATGGTGTCATTTTACACTTCCAATGACAATATGAAGGGCTTGTTTTCTTCACATACTTGTTGACATGTGGTGTTAAGTATGCTATTTCTTCCCTTTTTGGCTTCTATTTTCAGGAAATATCTTTCTTTTTTTTTCTCAGTTTTTAAAATTCTTTTTGTTTTTAATTATACTTTAAGTTCTAGGGTACATGTGCACAACGTGCAGGTTTGTTACATATGTATACATGTGCCATGTTGGTGTGCTGCACCCATTAACTCATCATTTACATTAGATATATCTCCTAATGCTTTCCTTCCCCCCTCCCCTCACCCCATGACAGGCTCTGGTGTGTGATGTTCCCCTTCCTGTGTCCAAGTGTTCTCATTGTTCATTTCCCACCTATGAGTGAGAACATGAGGTGTTTGTTTTTTTGGTCTTGCGATAGTTTGCTGAGAATGATGGTTTCCAGCTTCATCCATGTCCCTACAAAGGACATAAACTCATCCTTTTTTATGGCTGCATAGTATTCCATGGTGTATATGTGCCACATTTTCTTAATCCAGTCTATCATTGATGGACATTTGGGTTGGTTCCAAGTCTTTGCTATTGTGAATAGTGCCGCAATAAACATACGTGTGCATGTGTCTTTATAGCAGCATGATTTATAATCCTTTGGGTATATACCCAGTAATGGGATGGCTGGGTCAAATGGTATTTCTAGTTCTAGATCCTTGAGGAATCGCCACACTGTCTTCCACAATGGTTGAACTAGTTTACAGTCCCACTAACAGTGTAAAAGTGTTCCTATTTCTCCACATCCTCTCCAGCACCTGTTGTTTCCTGACTTTTTAATGATTGCCATTCTAACTGGTGTGAGATGGTATCTCGTTGTGGTTTTGATTTGCATTTCTCTGATGGCCAGTGATGATGAGCATTTTTGCATGTGTCTGTTGGCTGCATAAATGTCTTCTTTTGAGAAGTGTCTGTTCATATCCTTCGCCCACTTTTTGAAATATCTTTCTTCACCCCTTCACTTTCAGCCTATATGTGTCCTTAAAGGTGAAGCGAGTGTCTTGTAGGCAGCATATAGTTGCATTTTGTTTTTCAGTCCATTTAGTTACTTAATTTTTTTATTGGAGAATTTAATCAATTTACATTCCAGGTAATTATTAATATATAAGAACTCATTGCTGTTTTGTGGTTTATTTTCTTTTTAAACCATCCTTTGTTTCTTTCCTCCTCTCTTACTGACTTTTGTGATTTGATGATTTTCTATGGTGGTATGATTTGATTTCTTGGTTTTTATATTTTGTGCAAGTATTATAAGTTTTTGTATTGTGGTTACCATGAGGCACAAATAAATTATTTTGTAGTCGTACCAGGCTTTTAAAGCTGATAACAACTTAACTTTCAATACAAAATGTCTACATTTTACTTTTTCCCCTATTTGTTATTTGGATGTCAAAAAAGTATATCTTTTGTAATTTGTATCCCTTAGTTTATTGTAGTTATAGTTGTTTTAATAGTTTTGTCTTTTGAGTTACTGGGTGCAGCACACCAGCATGGCACATGTATACATATGTAACTAACCTGCACATTGTGCACATGTACCCTAAAATTTAAAGTATAATAATAATAAAATAAAATAAAAAAAAGTTTTGTCTTTTAACACTCATATTAGAGATAAAATTGCTTTATGTACTACCATTACAGTAGTAGAATATTCTGAATATGACCGTATTATTTATACCATCAAGTTTTATACTTTTATATGTTTTTTGTTATGAATTTGTGTCTTTTTTTGGTTTCAGCTTAAATAGCTCCCTTTCATGATTCCTGTAACGCAGGTGTAGTGATGATGAGCCCCCTTAGCTTTTTTTTTTTTTTTTTTTTTGATCTGGGAAAATTTTAATTTTTCCCTTATTTCCTTAGAATAGCTTTGCAAGGACTGGGCACGGTGGCTCATGCCTGTAATCCCAGCACTTTGGGAGGCTGAGGTGGGTGGATCGCCTGAGATCAGGAGTTTGAGACCAGACTGGCCAACATGGTGAAACCCATCTCTACTAAAAATACAAAAATTAGCCAGGCGTGATGGCAGGTGCCTGTAATCCCAGCTGCTCAGGAGGCTGAGGCAGGAGAATGGCTTGAACCTGGGAGGTGGAGGTTGCAGTGAGCTGAGATCACGCCATTGCACTCCAGCCTGGGTGACAAAAGCGAGACTTTGTGTCAAAAAAAAAAAAAAGAAAAGAAAGAAAAGAAAAAAGAAAAAAAGTCAAAAAAAGAATAGCTTTGCAAGGTAAAACATTCTTGGTTGACTTTTTTGTTGTTGTTGTTGTTGTTGTTTTTACAGCACTTGAAGTATATTATTCACTCTCTCCTGGCCTGCATGATATCTGCTGAGAAGTCTGCCGATAGCTGTATTGGAACCCTCTTGAATATGATATGTTTCTTATCTCTTGCTACTTTCAGAATTCTTTGTCTTTGATTTTTGTTAGTTTGAACATGATATGTCTCGGTTAACCCTTCTTTGGGTTTAATTTGGTTGAAGACTTCTGAGCTTCCTGTATCTGCATGTTGCCATCTTTTTCCAGATTTGAAAAGTTTTCAGCCATTATTTTCTTAAATATGCTTGCTCTTGCTTTCTCTCTTTTCCTTCTATAAATTCAATTATGAAAATGTTATTTGAAATGGTCAGGGTCAGAGACTATATTCCACAGATATGTGTAGTCATAGGATTCCCTCCCCGCCTGGGTCTGGACAGAACCTCCGACTGGGTTCTGAAGATTGATGGGGCCTCTGCTCAACTGCTAGTGTCAGGCAGAGCCAGATGCTTTGCTTCACAGATATGCTCATATGTTGGCTTGCCTCCCAGCCTGATAAATCCTTATGCAGGTCTCTGAGGCTGGGTTACTGCTTAGCTAATCATGTTGAGCTGGGCCAGAAGGTACACTCTGTAGTAATGTACAAATGCAGACCTGCTTCTCAGCCTGGGAGAGCCTTATGCAGAGCTCTGATGCTGGGTGTCAAAGCTAGACAAAGACTTGAGCCTGGCAAATCTCTCAACTGTGCTTCCTGCAGAGAGATGCTTTTGGCTAATCTCTCTGGTCAGGTGCCTCTGCTGACCAGAATACAGAGCCACAGCCAAGATTCACATGCTGGTTGCTGTGGGCCCCAACTTTCTATTTCTAGCTGACACCACATAGTCTACCCCTGCTGATACTTCTAATGTTCCCCATTTGGCAGGTGGGCCTCCTGCAACACACCCAAGAATGCTGGGGAAGCTGGATGTCCACCACGGGCGCCCTCTTTATTCCCTTGTAGAAATCTTGGGCCTAGGGAAATCCTTTCTGTGTGGTGGGTGCTATGCCATTGTTGTGGAGAGGTGACATAGTCAAAGTGAAATCATTTCTCTTACCTTTCTAATGTGGCTTGTATTTTCATCACAGTGTGATCTGAGAGCATAAATTGTACAATATTTATTTTTAAAAATCGACTAGCATGTATTTTATGACTCAGAACATGGTCTATCTTAGGGGCTGTTACAAGTGTCCTTGAGAAAAATGTATTATTTTATTGTATGAGTATTGCATTGGTGTCAATCATATCCAGATGATTGACAGTGCTGTTGAGTTCAACTCTGTATATACTGATTTTCTGCTTGCAGAATGTCTTTATTAATCACAGGAGTTAAAGTCTTCAACTCTAATAGTGGATCCATATATGTTTTCTTGTAGTTCTATCAGCTATTGCCTCATGTATTTTATCACTTTGCTGTTGGCCACATACATTGACCCCTTTATCATTATGCAATGCCTCTCTTTATTCCTGATAATTTTCCTTGCTCTGATATCTGCTCTGTCTGAAGTTAATATAGTTACTCCTACTTTCTTTCAATTAGCGTTCACATGTACTACACTTGATCTTAGCCTAAAAGCCGAGAAGCGATAATTAGTGTTAACATGTGATATCTTTTTCCATACTTTTACTTTCAATCTATATGTGTCTTTATATTTAGAGCAGGTTTCCTGTAGACAACATATTGTTGAATATTGTTTTTTGTTTCACTCTTCAAAAATCTGTCTTTTGATAGGTGCATTTAGATCACTGGTGTTTATAGTGATTATTGATAGAGGTGGATTAATATCTGTCATATATTTATTACTGGTCTCTATTCATTTCCCTTGTCCATGATTGTTTTTTTCAGATTATGCTGTTTTTCTACCTTTTTGTTTGGCTTAAATGAACATTTTATGTGATTCTATTTTCTCTTCTTTATTAGCAAATCAAGTATTTAAGAAAACTTCTTAAAGTGGTTACCACAGTGTTTTCAATATACATTTACAACTAATCCAACTCTATTTGTCAAATAACAATATACTACTTCACAGATAGTACAAGTATCTTATATTAACAAAGTAGTCCTAATTCCTTCCTCTCATCTTTTGTATCATTGCTTTCTTTCATTACATCTATTCATAGGGTATGATCATTGAATACATTGCTGCTATCATCATTTTGAGCAAACTGTTAGGTTAAATATAAGAAAAATAAAAGTTTTAATTTTTTACCTTCACTTTTTCTTTCTCTATCTTTTTTTCTTTATTAAGTTCTGAGTCTGACAAATATCAATATTTTTTGGTTCCTGAAAAAACTTATTTTAACATTTCTTGCAAGGCAGGTTTACTCTCATCAAATTTCTTCAAATTTGCTTGTCTGAGAAAATCTTTGTTTCTCCTTCACTTCTGAAGTATAATTTCATAGAGTGCAGAATTCTAGGTTGGCACTTCTCCAAATACTTTAAATATTTAACTCCACTCTTTTTACTTGCATGTTGCATGAGGAGAAGTCCTATGTAATTCTTATCCTTGATCCTCTATAGGTAATTTTTTTTTTTTGGCTTCTGATATGGTTTGGATCTGTGTCACTGCCCAAATCTCATGTTGAACTGTAATCTCTCATGTTGAACTGTAATCTCTCATGTTGGAGGTAGGGCCTGGTGGGAGGTGATTAGATCAAAAGGGTGGATTTCCCCCTCTGTTCTCATGATAGTGAATGAATTATCATGAGAGCTGGCTGTTTAAAAATGTGTGGCACCTCCCCGCACCTTGGTCATGCTCCTGTCATGTAAGATATGCCTGTTTCCCTTTCACCTTCTGCCATGATTGTAAGTTTCCTGAGGCCTCTTCAGAAGCCGAGCAGATGCTATCCTGCTTCCTATACAGCCTGAGGAACTGTGAGTCAATTAAACCTCTTTTCTTTTTATAAATACTCAGTCTCAGGTATTTCTATATAGCAGTGCAAGAACAAACTAATAAAACTTCTTTCAAGATTTTTTTAAATATTTGATTTTCTGCGGTTTAAATATAATTTTCCTAAGTGTATGTTTTTGGCATTTATTCTGCTTAATGTCCTTTAAGTTTCTGGATCTGTGGTTTGGTCTGATATTAATTTTATGAAATTCTCAGTCATTGCTACAAACATTTCTTGCGTTCCCTCGTGTTCTGTTTTTGGCAGTTCCATTACGCACATGTTACTTCTTTTGTCTTTATCTCACAGTTCTTGGATTTTTGTCCTGTTTTTTTTTTTTTTTCCAGTTTTTTTCCCCTTTACTTTTTAGTTTTGGATGCTTCTATTTACTGATCCTTAAACTCACTAATTCTTTCCTCAGACATGTCCAGACTACTAATGAGCCCATCAAAGGCATGATTCATTTCTGTTAAAAGGTTTTTTATTTCTAGCATTTCCTTTTTATCACTTCTTAGAATTTCTGTTTCTCTGATTACATTACTTATCTGTTCTTGCATGTTGCCCACTTTTTTCCGTGATATTTCTTAGCATATTAATCATAGCTTTTCTAAGTCACAGTGTGATAATTCCAACACCTCTGTTACATCTGGTGTTTTTAACTACAGTCATCATGTTGCACCATAAGGTCTCTTGCACTTATTACTCCTAACTAACTAAAATTTTGTAAGCTTTGACCCTTCCATCACAGGATAATACACTCTCTCAGCTTTTGTTTGTCTGAGAAAGTCTTCATTCTTAATTTTTGAAGAACAGCTTTCCTGGGTTATTTGTTGACAGTATTTTTCTTTCACCACTTTGAATATATCATCCTATTCTGTCCAGGTCTGTTAGGTTTCTGCTGAGAAATCTCCTACTAGCCTTATTGAAACTTTCTTATACATTAGTTACTTCTTTTTTTCTTGTTGCTTTCAGGAGCCTCTCTTGGTCTTTGATTTTTGACAGTTTGATTATATCTTGGTGTAATCTTGCTTGGATTGATCTAATTGGAGACCTTTGGACCTTCCTGTACCTGGATATTTATATCTTTTCCCAGATTTAGAAAGCTTTCTTATGTTATTTTAATAATATTCCTACCCATTTGTCTTTGTCTTCTCCTTCTTGAACTCCTATATTTTGAATATTTCCTCTCTTGATCTTGTCCCATGAATCCTATAGACTTTTTTGTCCTTTTCATTTTTTTCTCCTATGACTGTATATTTTCAAACGCCTTGTCTTCAATGTCACAGTCTTTCTTCTCCTTGATGAATTCTGTTGTTGCTGCTCTCTATTGTATTTTTAATTTCATTCATTATTTTTCAGCTTCAGAATTTAATTTTTAAAAATAATTTTATTCACTCTTGTAAAATTTCTCATTTTGGTCATTTATTGTTTTCCTGATTTTATAAAATTATATGCATTTTCTTGACGTTCTTTGAGCCTTTCAATAACAATTATTTTGAATTATTGATGATGAAGTTCATATATTTCCATTTCTTTGGGGTCAGCTACTGGGAGCATATTGTGTTCTTTTGGTGGTATGTCTTCTTGTTTTCTCATCTTTTTTTGCCTTATATTGATATCTGTCCATTTGAAGTAGGAGCCTTATTCCAGTTTTTTCATGCTGGCTTTGTCTGGAAAAGACTTTCACCAGTGAGCTCATTCAAAGATTCTGGGCAGGACATCTGGTATGGCTGGCTTGTTGCTGGAGTCCTCAGGCAAGATGGCCTGATACCAGGTTAGCAGGTGGGTAGGCCTGAATCCTGGTTCTGTGGAGTTGTGCCTGTAGCCTTGATCTACCATGGTGGACTTGTTGATTGGCATATGGGGATGGGCCAGAGGCCTGTATCCATGGGGGCCAGCCTGAAGCCTGAGTCTACAAGAGCTGAGCTGATACTGGTGTGAACCTTGAGCCTGACTGTTTAGGGGTCACTCAGATGTTGTGATGGGCCTGGCACCTGGGACCACTGATATGGGTCTGCATTTTGAGTCCATGGGGCTGGGCTGGTGCTGGGGCTAGTCTAAACCAAGTCTGTAAGGATGAGTCTGGGTCCTGAGTCCATGGGCATTGGAATGGGTCTGCAAGGGTGGTCATGGTGCCTCATTCCATGTGGCTCATTTTGGCAATGGGGTGCACTGGGGTGGGCCTGGACCTTGGGTCTGCTGGAGCAGGCCTAGACCCTGGGTCCTCTGGAGACTTGGGCTACAGGGACTGGCCTGCAGCTTAGGGTTGGCCTGGTGCTAGGGCAGGTGTAGAGTCTGGGTCCGTAGGACTAGTCTGGAGTCTAGGATGGTTTGAGCTGAACTTGTGCCTGGCATCACTGGAGATGGCCTTATTTCTTGTTGTGTATACTTTCAGTCATGTTTTAAAGTGATTTCTATGGGAAATCCAATTAATGTATTAATTTTTTAAAATCTATAATTTCTATCTCTTTATTGATATTCTGTATTTGGTGACATATCACTTTCATGCTTTCTTTTAATTCTTTTAACAATTTTTTTTTGGTTCTCTGACCATACTTAAAAGATCTAATTTAAAGTCTTTGAGTAGTTAAAGTACCAAATTTTGGCCCCCATAGGAATATTTTTCTGTTGGTTGCTTTTTTTCTCCTGTGTATGTAAAATATGTTTCAGTTTCTTCGCATGTTTTATGTTTTTTAGAAAAATTGACATTTTACATAATACATTGTAGCATATTTGGTATTTAATTGCTTCCCCACCCCCAGGGTTTGCTATTTTTGCTTTTGTTGTTGTTGTTTTTCTTATTCCTTTGTCTTTGTTAAGTTTCCTGGATTAATTCTGCAAATATTTTATTCCCTCAATGTCAAGCCCATGGGTTATCTGCTTCCTAGGAGCCATCCCTGGCTCAGTGTAATTTAATGTCAGTCAATAATCCTTTGCCAAGGAGAGTGTGTATGAGAATATATGCTTAAAACTTCAGTTAGTTTATAAGACAGCTTCAGCTTTCACTTCTTCCTTGCCTAGGGCCTCATAGTCAGCCAGAGGTAAATGAGTGGTGGGCCTTTCTTCTTTCTTTGTTGCTTCCTGGGCATGCACATAGCTTTCCATATTTGTGAGGGACTTTAGATCTCCAAGAATATGTCAGAGCTTTTCAAAGCTCCTTATGATTATCTAGTTATTCAGGATCGTCTTTTAAATTTCTGACCAAGCCCTTATTTACCTGAATTCATAGTCTTATTAAGCTGTGCTATTGCTAGCAGATTGATAGTGTTTAAGCCATCTAGTGGTAGGACTTTGTTTTCACTGAGCGGAAATCTTTATCCAAAAAATAGCCAAAATATCCTGGGAACAGAGATGCAATTTCAGACAAAATATTGACTGTGCTCAGATGATGGCACTTTTAATAGAGCATCACATGATGTTGGTCCTCTCAGCTGGTTGCTATACTGCTGGCTTTTCATACATACTCTGCCAAGGAGCTTGAAGGGAGAGGGGATGGAAATTAGCCTCAAATTAAAACATTATAGATCTCTCCGTTTTTCTGAGGTTTACTAGTATCTCTTAGATAATTTTCTGTTTTAGCTGTGGCTTTGATTAATTTCCAATGCTTTGAAATCATTACTTTTGGTTGTTTTGCCAGCGGTTTCTCTGTTTTTGTTAAAGAACGATTTCATGGAGTTCTCAGTCTGCCATTCCAGAAGTCAATCTCCTAGCATTTACATACATAATTATTCTAATTTCTTGTTCTTTCACCTCACTTCCTATCAATACAAAATGCAATATTCACTAAAGGAAATCAACATGATCCAGACTCTTTAAAACACCACATACACAGTAGCCTCCATACAATTAAAAGTTTCTAGACATGTGAAGAAAGAAGCAAGAGAAAAAGAAGGTAATAACAGAAACTGGGTCATTTCAAGATAGCTGTATTTACATCTTAATTGAATTTTAATTTACATTAAATGATTTATGATGTAGAAATTTAGTTTCTTGATTAACTTCATACATCCTGAGTTATTTTTATAACTAATGAAATATAACAATGACTTCAGTAACTGGCACGTATTCTGTTTTTGTTTGAAAATGCAATGGAAACTTACATTTCTTACATTTTAAAAATCTATTCTTCAATTATATATAGGTTTCTAGTGACACACAGACAATGCTGCCTACGCACTGACTTTCCTTCTTTTGGCAAATAAAACTCTAGAGCTGCTATAAGCATTCTGACTTACCAAGAATGGTGAACATATCTTTTCTAACGATACTGTAAATGCTCCCGTGAAGATAAACTGGAAACAAGATCACATTTATTAATACCCAGTCATTATGTTTATGTATAAACTTAAAAAGTAAGAGAATTCCGGAGCGTTTTAACATAAAGAATATGGGACCATTGAGAAAATCATTCAGGATATAATTCAAGGGTTTTTTTTATTTGTGGAGATGGGAGAAAGCCATGAAATCTCTGGCTACTAATTTAATATATGTATTGGAAATAGAATCTAAGGGCATTCTGAAGTGACTTTATGGAAAAAGGAGTTTCAGTGTTTCCTTAGTTTTTGTCAATCATAATTTATTAAGCCAATATGTGAATTAGAAGAAAATGCACCCAATTAATGAATTTACTACTGGGAAATGTTATATCTTGGTGACTTCATATGAAAATACTTTTAATATAATGCTTAAATATTTTATTAATAGAAAATATCATTCATAAAATATTGATGCTTCAGTTTACATATTTAAATAGAAGAATTATACAATGTCTTCCATGAGTAGCTTTTTCTGAGATATTCCATCATTTCGTGACACTTGTTAGAAAGATGGCAGTTATGGTGTATCAGAAATTTATTTTCCTCACAGATGCAACATTTATGAACACATAAAACTTTCCACAGCATTAAGAAATGAACAGGTCAGTTAGTAGTATGGGAGAGGGATATTGTTTTCCCAGAAAAATCTGGAAACTCACATGTCAATACTAAATAGAATTTTGAAGTAAGAAGGATCTGAGGTTGAGTTCTTTGCTCTTTGCTTTCTCTGTGACTCAGGAAAATTACTTAACCTATAACTTAGTTTTGCTTTTTTCATTGGTAAAATGAGGATAGTCTGTTACATTGTGTTATTGTTGTAGTGTTGTAATAGTTACATATAATGTTTGATTTTTTTCCAAGATGGCAGATTAGGGGCTTTTACCATACGTTAGCAACTTGGAAATAAAAAAACAGTGCATAAAGATCAACTCTGTGAGCTTTAATTCAAAAAGGAAAACAGAAACTCACTGGTGTTGTTAAGGACACCCAGATCCTGGAGAAGAAAGCATGGGAAAACAGTCCCCGTGATGATGTCTGGCTGATAAAAGTGAGTGAAGTCCCACTGTGTGAGAGAAGCAGAAAGCGTCCCTCTGTGACTCATCTTTCCACTGGAAATCCAAGCAACCCAGGCTGAGGGGGAGCATTTTATTTCTCCCAAGCCCTGGAGCTAACTTAGGGAGAAGCTTGGAGACACTGAGAGGGAAAGGTGCTAGGAAAAGCTGCAGACATTTTCCCAAACCCAGGACCAATAGCAGGACATCATTTTTAATCTGGGTGCATACAAAGTCAGTCATTCTATGGTGACCCTGCAGCATGGCCACGTAAGGATTATAGTCTTGGGCCAGAGATGGGAGTTCTTGCCCTGGAGTGGGCTAGGAGCCTCCACAGCTAGAATTGTGGAAAGTGTCTCAGCAGTGAGCACTGGAATTGTGCTCTCCTGTGTTGCAGGCCTGAGGTGGGAGCAGAGCTGCTACAGTTGTGGATCTCATTCTTTTGTATGGTTGAATAGTCCTCCTTTGTGTATATGCACCACATTTTCTTTATTCATCTGTTTATGTACACTTAGGTTGCTTCCAAATCTTAGCTATTGTAAACAGTGCTGCAATAAATATAAGAGTGCAGATATCTCTTCAACATACTGATTTCCCTTCCTTTGGGTATATATGTAGCAGTGGGATTGCTGGATCATATAGTAGCTGAATTTTTAGTTTTCGAGGAACCTCCAAACTATTCTGCATAGTGGGTGTAATAATTTACATTCCCATGAACAGTGTACAAAGGTTCCCTTTCCTCTACATCGTCACCAGCATTTGTTAGTGCCTATCTTTTGGATATAAGCCATTTTCACCGGGGTGAGATGATATTTCATTGTAGTTTTGATTTGTATTTCTCTGATGATCAGTGATGTTGAGCACCTTTTCATATGCCTGTTTGTCATTTGTATGTCTTCTTTTGAGAAATGTCTACTGAAATCTTTTGCCCTTTTTTAAAATCAGACTATTAGATTTTTTTCTTATAGAGTTGTTTGAGCTCCTTATATATTCTGGCTATGAATCCCTTGTCAGATGGGTAGTTTGCAAACATTTTCTCCCATTCTGTGGGTTGTGTCTTCACTTTGTTGATTGTGTCCCTTGCTGTGCAGCAGCTTTTTAACTTGATGTGATCCCATTTGTCCGTGTTTGCTCTGATTGCCTGTGCTTGTGAGGTATTGCTCAAGAAATTTTTGCCCAAACCAATGTCCTGGAGATTTTCCTCATGTTTTCTTGTAGTCATTTCATAGTCTGAGGTCTTAGATTTGTCTTTAATCCATTTTGATTTGGTTTTTGTGTATGGTGAGAGATATTCATTCTTCTGCATATGGATATCCAGTTTTCCCATCACCATTTATTGAAGAGACTGTCTTTTTCCCAGCATATGTTCTTGGCACCTTTGTTGAATACATGTTCACTCTAGGTGTGTGGATTTGTTTCCTGGTTCCCTAGTTAATTTCTAGGTATTCAATTTTATGTGTGGCTGTTGTAAATGAGATTAATTTTTAAATTTCTTTTTCAGATTGTTCACTGTTGGCATATAGAAATGCTACTGATTTTTGTATGTTGGTGTTGCATCCTGCAAACTTTACTGAGTTTATCAGTTTTAATAGTTTTCTAGTGGAGTCTTTAGGTTTTTCCAAATATAAGACAATATGATGTGCAAACAAGAATAATTTGACTTTTTTCTTTTCAATTTGGATGGCCTTCATAGCTTTCTCTTGTCTGATTGCTCTAGCTGGGACTTCAGTACTACGTTAAATAACAGTGGTGGCAGTAGGCATCCTTGTTGTGTTCCAGATCTTAGAGGAAAGGCTTTCCATTTTTCCCCATTCAGTATGCTAGCTGTGGGTCTGTCATAAGTGACTTTTATTATATTGAGGTATGTCCCTTTTATCCTCAGTTTTTTGAGAGTTTTTATCATGAAGAGATGTTGGGTTTTATCATATGACTTTTCAGCATCAATTGAAGTGATCTGATGGTTTTTATTTTTCATTTTGTTGATATAATGTATTATGTTGATTTATTTGGGTATGTTTATTCATCCTTGCATCCC